>NC_000002.12:42917625-43220655 GCF_000001405.40 Homo sapiens
AGAAGGAGGAGCACCGTTCATGCCTCATTTGGCAAATACCCAGCACGGTGTCTAGCACAGGGCCACAAAAGGAAGAGGCACAGTCCTTTCTCTGTTGGAAAGACAAGGAAAAAGTATCTGAAAGTGAAAGAACAAATCGAAGATGAATAATGAGGTAGGCTTTCGCTCACGGGACTGGCCTTGCTCATGGTTGGTGTCAGCAGGACTTTCCCTGCAGAACAGGGTCATCCACCCACACTGGCCACAGAGGTGCCACCAGTGATGCTGCCATCTCCTTAAACATTTGTGGACTCATCTTGGGGACTCACCTTTTGAACCTCAACACATTCTTTTGATTATCCTCAAGATGCAAATCTCTGTCCTTTGTGGGTGAATAGAATTTTTGGAAATTATGGGTCAAAAGTGACCCCTAGCTGACACAGTTCATTCGATTCAGTTCTGCTCAATTCAACACATAATTATGGGGTGTCTGCAGCATGTGAGGCACGGTAGTAGGCTCTGGGAATTCGATAAACCCCAAATCTGCCCTCTTGGAGCTGACAGCGTGGCAGGAAAGATAGACACTAAGTGTAAAGATGAGTAATGGCACGCGTTGCCAGTGTATCAAAGGGGTGGGTGTTGTGGGAACGCTAACAAGGGCGGGGCATCCGAACAGACACCTGACGTGTGAGCGGCAGTTGGTCAGACAGAAGGGAAGGAAAGAGAGAGAGTATCCTAGGTTGGAAAAAAAAGCATAAAGGATAACAATACTAGCTATCATTTACTGAACACAAACCGTGCATCAGGCGCTTTTCCAAGTAGTTTAAGTTTGTATCGATGATCACATTAAATCCTCACAATAAACTTACGTGGTAGGTGCCATTATTATCCCCCAAATTATAGATGAGAAAACAGAGGCAAGGACAGAAAAAGCAACTTTCCCAATTAGGAAACAGCAGAACTGGAATTCAAACCCAAGCTCTCTGTTCCAGAGCCTCCTCTTAACTGCTGTGCTAGAGAGCTTCCACATGTGCAGATGGAATGGCACCATTTGGATAGGAATAACGAGAATTCCACTCAAGAGTGTGGGGTGGGAGTGGGGAGGTGGGGAGGAGACTGTGAAAGTATGAATTGGTGGACTCTTTTAGAAAATAACGTGGCAACTTATGAGTGCAGAGACATAAATTGTGCCTACTTTTTGACGCAGTATTTTTACTTTTGGAAATGGATCCAAACGAAACAATCAGAAATGTGCATAAAGGTGTACCACGGGAAATGACCTAAACATCCGTCAACAGGCGTTGGTTAAATACATTATGTCACATTTATGCAACTAAATTTTATGCAGCCTTTAAGAAGTAAAGATCATGACTGCTCCTCTTGGTTTGTGTCTTAGGCATGCTTTGAAGAAGCATGAGAGAAGTCTGTGAACAGAAGGGGTTGGGCCCCTCTGTCAGCACCCCTGGGTAGTTCTTGGGGAGGCAGGGAGGCCAGGAAGAGGGGAAGTGAGACTCAGCTCCAAGTAATCCTGACCCAGGGGAGGGGAGGGTGCGACTGGCCAGCGGACAGCCTGAGCTCTGGCCCTGGCTCCAGGCTCTGGGTTTAAAGAGCTTTAAAAGCTTATTAAAAAGGTTCCTTCGACATCAAATGGCTCTTAAAAATCAATATTTTGATGATTTAAGTGCAAGAGAATCAGAAACATATGGATCAAATTGCCCTAAAATTATACACACTTAAAAAAATGTGTTGGTCTTTAGCAAGATCCAAATATTTGAAAAACAGAGACATTTTCCTCATCTCCTGACAGAGCTCTGCTAGGTCAACTTGAGGAGTCCAGAGAGGTGGTAAGTGGGAGTGGGTTGGGGCTCAGAGGGAGAAGCATGGAAATGCCTCTTGGTGCCTTCCATGTAGACAGGGCTGTGAGGGGCAGCTGTGTGTGTGTGCATGTGCATGTGTGCGCCGGTGTACATGTGTGCACATAGGCATGTAGCAGTGAACATGGGTGCACATTTTCCTCTGGGTCTCCTCATTCTGAGCCCGTGTCCCATAGCCAGTTTCATCCTTTCATGTCTCGGACATATGTATTTGGACTCAATCTAAGTTTTAAAAAGTAAGTTCCTGCCAGGCACAGTGGCTCACGCCTGTAATCCCAGCACTTTGGGAGGCCAAGGTGGGTGGATCACCTGAGGTCAGGAGTTCGAGACCAGCCTGACCAACATGGAGAAACCCCGTCTCTACTAAAAATACAAAATTAGCCAGGTGTGGTGGCACATGCCTGTAATTCCAGCTACTCAGGAGGCTGAGGCAGGAGAATCGCTTGAACCTGGGAGGCGGAGTTTGCGGCAGGAGAATCGCTTGAACCTGGGAGGCGGAGTTTGCAGTGAGCCGAGATCACGGCATTGCACTCCAGCCTCAGCAACAAGAGCAAAACTCCGTCTTAAAAAAAAAAAAAAAGTAAGTTCCTTTGGCTCCTCCTTCTGGGTCTGTCCCCTCTCCCCCAGCAGCAGACATGGCGCTGTCCATTTCTGGAAGGTTCAGGCCAGGAAGGACACAGGTGTCACCTTGCCCAGAGGTGACCAAAGGTTCTTCGGCTGTGGGCTGGTTCTGCAAATGAAACCTTAGGGGTGATGGTCGGTGTATAACGCTAAGACCAGAGCTGCAATGGCTCTGATTCTCCGCCATAGAGTGCCAGGGCTCTGGGAGGAGCATTTGAAAACCACATATCTCATGCCCAATCCTCATTTTACAGTGGCCCAGAGCAGGAAAACCAAAGGTATAAGGTTGGGACCAGAGGAAAAGCTGTCACACACGTAAGTCCAGCTCATCTCAATCCAAACCACCACAGACTCACCCCGCCCACTCCTTCTTCTGTCCTCCCACCCCCTCCTTCCCTCTGCTTGGCATGGGGATGGCAGAGCCCACCGGACCTGGGTTTCAGTCTGGTGGTGCCACATGGTCTTGAAGGTACTCTGGCTGTGAGGGGCCGCTCCCATGTTGTCTTCCATCTCTGGGACAAGATGGTAGGTTGGGAGTGGGGAGCTCTGGCCGTTGGAGCCTCTAAGAAGGAGACAAGACACACCTGGGGGCTGGGCTAAGGACTGAGGGGCTCCAGAGAGAACAGGATTGGGGCCAGCTGGCTCCTGCCTTCAGCCCCTCCAGCCTTTCTGGTTTAGGCCTTTCAAAGGCCCCTCACCCTGCCGGCAGAAGGAGAGTCCCAGGTGAGCTGCGTGCAGGGAGCAGGCGAGACATTCGTGCTGTGAGGGATGATTGTGACTCAGCAGGCTCCTGAGGGTGTTTCTTGGGGACTCCACCTCCCTGGCTAGACCTACTTCTGGGCTGGTACCCGGCCCTCCCCACTGGACCCCTGAGCCTTCACTTCTCTCGTGCTAAAGAACATTCTAGGCCCTGAGAATGGCTGGGGGAGCATAGGCCTTTTTCCCAGGGACCTCCCCAACTCGGCTGCTGGCGCATTAGGCAGGCTGTGTGTTGCGTGTCTCCTCCGGTGGCCAGGGAGCCTTGGTAATTAAGACGATGATTTCCACCTCGATGGGCAGTCTCACTGGCCAGGATTGAGGCTTGGGTCACTCTCCGCATCCCAGGTACACAGGGGCTGTCCAGTCTGAGAAGGGAGATAAGGGGGACAGAATATCAGAAACAGAAATGGGGGCCAGATGAATGGGGCAGGGCATCCCAGAGGGGATGGGGCCATCTGCTGGTATCTGAGGCTGGCTGGGCCAAGCCCGTGGGATAGAGTGGAACACCAGCAGCTGGTCACCAGCAATGTCCCCGCCACCAGCAGAGTCAAGGGCAATCAACCAGCTGCATCTGCTGGTCTTATAGAGAACTCACAGCCCTCTCCCTGGACCTTCTTCAGGGAATTCTGGGGACAGGACAGAGGCTTGGACTGGAGTGTGGAGACCAAGAAAAAGCTGGGAATGCACTGGGGTTTGGAGGCAAAGGGGGGTCCCAAGGGCTTCTGCCCACTCTTGCGTGCCTCAGAAAGAAGGGCTGAGAGCTGATGACAGATACCTGAGGACTGTGGCCACTGTGGCTGGATGAGGTGGTGTGTGTCCTACAAAATGCAAAGAGAGAAATGAGAAGGGAGGTGAAATTCGACCTTCAACACCAAGGAAAGGAAAGGGAGTGGGAAAAGACGCCCAGCTTGGGGTTCCTTGTTCTGGACTTGTCCTACTCCTGCTGCCTCAGCACTCAGCCCCTGGAGGCCCCGCTGTGGAAAGAAACAAGAGACTGGAGATGCTGGCTCCCTGGGTTGGACTGGGCAGTGCCTGGGATAACAGCTTCTGTGGGGGTTGGGAATGCCCCTGTAGCATCTGGTCACTGTGCTGGAGTAGACTGGAGTTCATCCCCAGAAGGAAGAGTCATTCCAAGCATCCAGTCATTGCTCCCAGGACTCCCAGTGGGCCATGGAGCTGACACTGGGCCCAAACTAGGGAGGACCCTTAAGTTCTTAAATGTGTCTCCCGCCTGCAATCCTGCCTCTGCACCCTTGCTCCCCACATCCAAGGCCATCCACCATCCTAATCTACTGCCCTCCTTGACGCAAGTTCCCCTCTTCCCGACAGTCTTTGTTGAATGCTCTCCCACATAGGTGTGGGTTGGGAAGGGGTGAGTGGATCTTGAAGCATGCTAAGGTTTGGCTTAGTAGAAAGGGAAGGGCACTGTCCACTCTGCTCACTCCACTCCATCTCCCAGCCTCTTCCTCTCCCCAGGCAGCATTGAAATCTGGGTTCAAACTACTCCAGAGCACCAGGCCAGCACCTCCCTCTCCAGACCCACATCCCTAACAGCCAGCCAGGTACATGGCCAAGGCCAATACACCAGCCTCTCCCTGGATTCCTGCTGCCACCCTTCACTCAGCCAAGCTGTCCACAATCCTGGTATTCATCCTTAACAACAGCCCGGCCCTTGTCCCCCCCATGCTGGTTCATCACAAGCCTCTCTCACTCCCTCCTAAATATTTCTTACAACTGTCCCCTCATCTCCATCCCCCCGGCCCCAAGTCCAAGCTATCACTGCTCACCTGGGTGACAGCCACATCCTCTGAACTTGTTTTGTGTCTGTGCTTTAGTTTGTGCTTTCTGCACATTTTCAGTCGAATGAACTTTCTAAAATGCTAAGCTGCTCATGTCTTTCCTCTCTTTAAAGCCCTGGCAGGCTCCCTACTGCTGACCCTATGAAGCCCTGGCTTCTTGGGCCAGTGGACTTTGCTCCCTGTGACCTGGGCCCATCCCTTCTCCAGCCCCTTCTCTGGCCTCTCCCCATGCTCAAACTTTCTATCCAGGCCTAGTGAACTGCTGGCATGTCCCAGACCTACTAGGCTCTCCCTTACTCCTTTGCACATGCTGTTCTCTGTGCCTGGCAGGCTTGTTCTGGTCACCCGCTCTCAGACCACCTCTGATCTCTTAGTGAAGTCATTCCTGACATTCCAGTTCCCAGATCATCTCATCCTGTGCTGGGTCTGAGCACGCATCGCCAGCATTGCTTCTTTGACTCTCTCCTAAAAAGTCTAGACAGACTCTGAGGCAGGCACTGCATCTAAGAACCAAGCTCAGCACCTGGAAAATGTCCACAGAATGGAGTGAGTGAATACGTCTAAATGGCATGCATCAGCTGACCCTCTTTTAAGGTCCCATTGGGTATAAGCCTCTGGCACACCCTGTCTACTGGGCATCTGGTCCTTGCATAATCCACATGCAGCCCAACTGTGGAATCTGATTATTTTTTAAGTTTAGGCTGTTTGGGGTACAGCCCAGGGCTGGAATGAAGAAAGGCTCTGAGCATCCCCTTTCCTCTGTCTTGGAGGGATTTTGATGGACAAGGGCAGCCACACATCTGAGTGGGGGCCAAGGCTTCAAGGATTCCAGGCCTGGCTCCGCCTACCCCAGCTACAGAGCCATTCAGTTCTTAATCAAGTCCACAAATATTTATTGAGTGCCTACTGTGTGCTCCCGCCTGTAATCCCAGCAGTTTAGGAGGCCGAGGTGGGAGGATTGCTTGAGCCCAGGAGTTCAAGACCAGCCTGGGCAACAAAGAAAGACCCCATCTCTACAAATAACAACAACAACAAATTAGCTGGGTATGGTGGCACATACATGTACTTCCAGCTACTCATGAGGCTGAGGTGGGAGGATCACCTGAGCCCATGAGGCGAAGGATGTGGTGAGCCATGATCATGTCACTGCACTCCAGCCTGGGTGACAGAGCGAGACCTCATCCCCCTCCCCCCAGAATCCTCATGCGCTGGAGGAGAAACAACAGGGAGGCTAGAATGGGCCGACTACATTTGTTGCCACAGAGCTTCTTGGAGGATCAGTATTTAAGCTGAGACCTGAAAGATGGGAATGAGTCAGCCATTCAGGGATCTGAGGAGAGGGAGAGAGCTCTAAGCAGGAGGCAGCCTGTACAATGGGTTGAGTGATTTTTATCTCTTTCTGAACCTCAGTTTCCCCATTTGTGGTGGGGACCATAATGCTTCCCTTGCCTCCCCACAGGGCCTTGGCAGGGTTCAGAGGAGCCCATGCTAACAAATAGGACATAGCTGTTCAGACTCAGAGGCCATGAGATTCTGTTCCTGTGTTTATGGCAAGATGGCTGCCCCTTCCTGTTCTCCACAGGGAGGCACCACCATATATGTCCTGGTTAAAAAGTAAATCAGGAGCACATGTTGTCAAAGCTTCCTGAGGCTGTGTCATGAGTAAAAAAGAAAAAAAAAAAAAAAAAAAGGTAAAGCAGCCTGGGAGGGTCTCCCTTTGAGGCTTATCAGCCTCCCACTCCTCTGTATGAATATGATAATCAGACTCTATCAGACCAGATTTTTGAGGAAAGACAGAGTGTTGGGATCTGAGACAGATGGATAGAAAACACCACCCAGGGGAAATGGGGGCACCGGGTTTTCCCAGCAGTGAGCCCTTCAAGGGGAACCCCAGGCCTGGTACAATGCCTGGCACAATGCCTGGCACAGAGTGGGGGGTTCCATGCAGCATTGATGACAGGATGAGCCAACGTTCCCACAGCCTCACCAGCAGAAGGGAGACTTCCAGGCAACAAGGGTTCCGAGATCCCAACTCCCTTCCCCTCTCCCCGTCTTTCTTCAATTCTTCTGTCGTCTGCCCCCGCTTTTCTTGCAGGCTTTGGGGGGTATTCATGCTCTCCGTTTCCCAGTGGACAAGTGGCGGGGCCAGGGGGGCTGTGTGTGCGTGTGTGTAGGCACGCGGGCTGTGAGGGGGCTGGGGACAAAGGCCCCGGAGTGAGATTCAGGGCACAGCTGAACTGCCCTGAACTCTCCTTTTTGTTTTCAAGGAAATGCATAATCCAAGAACCACCCACGGCCCTGGCGGCTCTGCTAAGCAGGGCTGGAATGTGCTGCCTTTCCCGTTAGTAATTGTTTTTTCTAGTTAGCCTGTAACCCTTCGCCTGCCATTCCCCTGCTGCAGGGGTGAGGCCCGCAGGGATGGACACCTCGGCTGCCCTCCTGAGATATCCCCGCACTCTCCACCCCACTCCCACAGGGTTCAGGACCTGGTCCTGGCAGCACCCTCCGGACCATCTGCCTTCGTGGCGACTCTTTCCTCACTGAGAGGGGCCAGGGCTGCTGGAGACTGCAGAGTCCTGCATGGGGCCTGCAAATCCTTGTTATGGAGTCTCCGTGTCTGGTTGTAGCCAGGGCTGTGACTGTGAATGGGTGTCAGTGCAAGCTGGTGGAGGAATGTGAGTTTGTGTGGGTGGCTGTGACCTGGGATACTGAGGACTCAGAGAGAGAGAGAGAGAGAGAGAGAGAGAGAGAGAGAGTGTGTGTGGACCCTGTGAACATGGGTACACATCTGTGAAAGCCAGCAAGCATGGTTGTGAATCCAGTTTGTGTGCAAGCAGGTGGTGTGAGTGTGCGTGTGCCTGTCCCGGGAAGGAAAAGCCATGTGCACCTGAGCTGACTCAGCACTTCTCTTTCCTGCCCACCCAGTTGAGCGCCTGAGCCTTTGCTCCAGGGAGGAGGCAATGCCCTCTGCCCCCGTGTTTGTGTTGTTGGCTGCCTCACCCTCACCAGCAGGAGGGGAGCAAATGTGGCGCCCTGGGCCCGGTCCCAGTTAGCTGAGCTGCGTATCTTTAATCCCTAGGGATTAAAAAGGTCACAGGCTCATGCTATTTCCCGACCCCTCCCTGCCAGGTCCTGTCTGGAGCTCTCTGAAGTGGCTATAGCTAAGGCCAGGCCTCTGCTCAGATGGAGGTGGCCTCTGTGGAGTAAGAAGGGGTACTGGGGTGTCGCTTGCTGTACCCTGAATCCCACCTTCTTGCAGCACTGACTGTTGCTGCTTCATCCTTGGTGAGGCCTGACCTGTGGCCTTTAATTCTTAGTGTGAGCTCTACCACCCTGAGCGGTGAGGGGTGCTGGGCTGGCCTCAGCACCTGCATCTCTCAGGGAGGTCTGCCCCTCCAGAAGTCGGGGCTCAGGATCACAGAGGGGCTGGGAAGTCAGGAGGTGGAGACAAAGCCCAAAGTCTCCCGTTGCAGGCTTTGGGGCAGAGGCCAGCCTGTGCCCTGAGCAGCTAGCAGTGCAGCAGTGCCAAGGCCCGGTCCAGTGTGGCTGCTGAACATTTGGTTCAAATCAAAGGCCTTTTCCAGCCAAGAGAGGAATGCTGCCGAGTAGGATTTGGGAACGGGCCCGGCAGGGCAAACACTGCCTTAATTGAGGCCCTTCTAGACTTTTAATTACAAGCAATGTTTTCCCAAGCTTCCTAAATTGACCATGGAGACCTGCTGGTGTTAGTGCCCATGGCAGGGACGAAAAAAAAATCGTCGTTAAAGCTTTTTCAGCAGGTTTATTTTAGCAAATGTTTTGAGGTGGAAAGGCTCACACAAAGTGGAGGCCGGAGTCATTTTTCTCAGAGGGCCAGGCACAGACACGGAGAGATCCACACCCACAGGTGTGATCAGACACACAGGTGGAACACACGCACACAGACGGGCACCTGTTGAGAGAGGCACGTGTACAGGCGGAGGACGTGACCGTGGCGTGGCTGCAGAGGCTGTAAACACCAGGCTGGAAATCCAGCTCAAGCACCTGGAGCGCTTTAGAAAGGCAAACACTGTTGGCTGCCCCTCCCGCCCGCTCCCACCTTCACCTCCTCCCACCCCTCCAGGCTGGCTGGGCCTGGGCCTGCTTCGGAGCCCCTGTGCCCTTCACCAGGCCTGTTTACAAGGCCCAGGACAGCCGCCAAAACCCCAGCTGTGTCCCTGTCCTTGTCTGTCTCCAGCGGACATGACTGACTTGGAAGGAAGGCGTGCCCTTGTCTGTGGAAGAGGACCCGTATTCAGCACCCAGTGGAATCCTCGGGGCACCTTCTGAGGGAAACGTCTATGGCTGTTCAGGGAGCAGCTGGTCCAGGTTACAGATGCAGAAAACAGAGGTGTCCCTGAAAAACAGACGCCCTGGGAGGAAGCTCCCAAAGCACCAGCCCTGCTTGTGCACAAGAATTGCCCGGACTCCAGGACTCCCTCAGAGCCAATCTGGATCCCCAGGCGGGGACCTGTGCCCCGGTTTTCTAGCACTGCTCACCATTGCAGCGTCAGCACTGAAAGCCTGAGCTCAGAACCTGTTTGTTTAATAGTGACTGTTCACTGCTGGGCTCTGGGAGCCCTGACAGCTGGAAAGACAGAGCAGGTGCCCCAACACGGGTGATTTTGGAAGCCCCAGAGGGTCCCTGTCTACTCGCTTTTCCTCTTTCCCTGATGTTTGTGGCCCATGTCTGTGGGCCTGGACACTCAAGCAGCCTCCAGAATCCCTCCCAGTGTTCAACAATGAGCCCAGAAATGGTGCATAGTAGAAATGGGAACAAGTAGGGTGCCTGGAGAGGTAGGGAGGCCAGAGACAATGATGCCTGCGTCACCGTTTTGCCAAGGGTCCCCTTGACTGTGGGCACTGCCCAGACACAGGGAGGCCAGAGGCCAGGAGCAGAGGGAGGCCATTCCCTAGGCCCAGCCCTGCCAGCCAGGGTGAGCCTTGATGGCCGTTACAGGCCGTTGCTATCGTCCCTTATCTGGGGCTCCTGGCTCTTACACCATGTCCCCAACCGCCCCTGGAGTGTGTGTGTGTTGAGGGGGGGCCTGCTGTTCCCTCCCTAAACAGACCGTTACTTGGTTTCCGTTGTTTGGGGAGGGGGTGGGGAGCTGTCTGCTTAATTAATCATTTTAGGCCATCCTGGGAAACTCATTAAGCCACCTCTCAGGGCTGGGAGCAGGAACACAGCCCTCAAAGTTGGAACTTTTTGGTTTGCCATATCCGGGTCTAGTTTTCCTTCCACTCATGTGCACACATGTGCATGAGAGTGTGTGTGTGTGTGTGTGTGTGTGCATGTGTGAGAGAGTGGGAGTACAAGGGAGAGTGCCCTTGTAGCTATGATTCTGTGTGTGTTTGCGTTTCCTAGATTCTGCAAGGAACTTCCCCTGATTCTTCTTAATTACCAGCCTAGAAGAAATTCAAGATGCTTAGAGCAAAGGTCAAACTCCACCTGTTTTCCCTGCACTTCATTTTCTGGCAGTTCCCACAATAGTACAGATAAGTAAAAGATTAAGGCAATCTTTTCTAATTAAAGTAATTAAAAAACGGCGATGATTGCACCTTTCATCTGAAAGGGAAAATATTTACTCATCCAACTGCAGGCCCTTAAAAGCATTCAGGAGGTCTATTTTGACAAACGGATCCTCCTCCCCTCCCCCAGCCCATTCTGCTTGTCCTGGACACACACACACAAAGGCTGGTTTATTTAGTAAGCGGAGGCTTGACGGGGGCACCCTGAAAGCTGGGAACCTCGGGCAGTTTTAAGCAAATGGACACTTTGGTTCAATCCCTGCTAGGCCCTGTTGAGAGGTTTCTGGGACCGTTGGGATTTTGATTTGACCAATCAATGTTTTACTGTTGTACCTTCTTCCTCTCCTCCTTTGGGTGGGAAACCACCCAAAGGTCCCTGTCTGCCTCTGATAGCTCCACTCTTCCCTCAGACCTGGCTGGGATGGAGACCTCAAAAAGGAAGAACCGGTCAGAGTCTTGGATGCAGTCCGTAACAACCATATATTACATTGCTGTTTCGCACAAGCCTGTGTGCTTGACATATAAGTACTTGCTCAGTGCCAAAGGGGGCGCTCTTGGGGTGTGTGGCCCAGTCCCTAAGAAGTGCAAAGTCTAAAAACTGTCCTTGGCTCCCCCAGGAGAAAGCAAACTTGCATACAGGCTGCTGTAATTCACTTTGAGTTTTTGAGGCAAGTATAATCAGCCAGTTTCCTGGTGCATGGGGCTTGATCTCACAGATTGCAATTTTTCCCTAAGTAGGTAGGGACAGAGGTACCTTACTCCAGAGGAGTGGGAGGTGTGAAGGCCGACAGAGATGTTAATACCCAGTCCAGCAATCTGGGAGTCCCTGATCGCTGTCCCAGGCTGCTCTCCTCCTACATCCCACCTATAGGGGATGCTCTGGAGCCTGTGCTGCTGGAGCTTGGAGCAGCATGGATAGGCTAATCCCCTTTACAGGCTGTTCCTCAAATCCTCAGAATATGACATAAAAGAATATCCCGGGAACCAGCTCCAAAAACACTGGGGCCCAGCTGTCGCCTGAGAAGGGCCTGGTTTGCCTCTGCCTGCCCCAGGTCAAGCTAGACAGTGTCCTCAGCATGACCTGCTGCCCTCCACTGTCCTCCCGGCAGAGATACAGCCTCAAAAAGCCAGTATGGACAGGTCCAGCTCTGCAGTGGACCCTGCTCTCCAGAGTGGGCTGGGGAGGGAAAAGGAATGCGGTGTGTGTACACACGTGTATACGGATGCGTGTGAGCACATGTGTGCGCTGTGTCTGGCCTGTTTGGACGGGCTTGCTTGGTACCAAGAACAGCCTCAACAGAGATTAGAGAAAAGCCTTTGGGGCTCTCTGTACTGCAAGCTCACCCAGTGTCAACAGCACCCTCTTTGGGCTCTGGACTGTGTGTAGCAAAGCCACCCCGAAACCTCTCTCTTTCCTGGCCTTGCCTCTCGAGTCATGGCCTCTGGAGTGACAGCTCTCCTTGTGTCACTTCTCTGCCTGGTCACCCACAATGGCTCCCAGCTTTCGGAGAAACATTCACCAGCACACCTAAAACACAGGGTCCCAGTGGCCCACCTTACACTCAGGGGGCTTGATTCAGGCCCAGCCTCAACCGGACTCTTCCTGCTAGTCCCAGACACCCTTTGTGAAGCTGTGAGAGCAGTGGATTCCCTCCCAGGAATCCTACTGATCTGTGTGCACAAGGGCCCACCCCATGAAAGGGCAAACAATTGCAGGATTCCTGGGTGCCCTGAAGCCCCTACCCTGAGCCCAGGCTGAGAGCTTTTGTCCCACACTTCCTATAAGCCAGATTTGTCACTGGGCTCCCATAGGCTGCCCCTCACCTTGTCTTCCTTCCAACATCAGTCCAACCCCCTCCTTGTGGGGAAGACAGGAGGAAGCCTCTAGTGCCAGCTGCCTCCACCCAATGGTGGCTCTGCCTGAATTCGGCAGGGAACCTTCAGCACAGCCCAGGGCAGCTGCTGTTGGACCCACTCAGGGAATTGTGTCTGACCCGACCTACGCATTTGGTGGTTAGCTTGCTCTGTGCAAACAGTCCCCAGGGGACTGGAATCCTCGCTGCAAAAATAAATTCTCCCTCTGGACTTGCTTTTCTCATTTTGCTTTCTCTGCATTCTGGCTTTTTCTTTTTTCTTTCTAGTGTCCCAACTGCTTTTATCTTCTTCCTTTCCTCCCACTGAGACCCAAACAAACCTCCTGGTAAACAAACTCTCAGGCCAGTCTCTTAAAGAGACAGTATGTGTTTGTTGCCATCTGGATGTCCAGTCCTGCTCAGGGGCTGCATGAGGTCTGGGGGCAGATGGGCTGTGAGGTGTTAAAGATCATTCAAGAGACTCACAGGAAAAAGCTGGCCTAGAACAGTGCACCGAGAAAATTGCCCTAAGAGCCCCCTCTCCTTTCCCACTCTCACCTGAAAATACAGAACAGGAGGGACCAGCGGGGTTTCCCTTTAGCCAGTCTCTCTGAGTGGTGTTGTTGAGACTATTGTCTGCTTTTGTCTGCATGACCTGGAAAGGATTCCTTTTTTTTTTTTTTTTTTTTTTTTTTTTTTGAGACGCAGCCTTGCTCTGTCGCCCAGGCTGGAGTGCAGTGGCGCAATCTTGGCTCACTACAACCTCCACCTCCCAGGTTCACGCCATTCTCCTGCCTCAGCCTCCCAAGTAGCTGGGATTACAGGTGCCCGCCACCACGCCTGGCTAATTTTTTGTATTTTTAGTAGAGACGGGGTTTCACCATGTTGACCAGGCTGGTCTCGAACTCCTGACCTCAGGTGAGCCGCCCTCCTCGGCCTCCCAAAGTGCTAGGATTACAGGTGTGAGCCACCTCGCCTGGGCAGGATTAAGAGTGTGATTTAAAAAAGAATATTTTCATGTCAACCTCCTCCTGCTCTGCCCCACCAGGTGAACACATCTCTGAAGTGATCATATCAAACAGAGGCAATGTGAGGAGAGGGACAAATCTAGCTTGCACACCACTTTCCTGAAACTTGGTGACTTTGTGACTTGGAGGGACTCTGCTCTTAATTTGTCATTGTGTGTGTGTTGCTGGCTTGGTGGGTGGAAGTCACTGCGGGGCAGGGGAAGTGTGTGCATACTCTTGAGTATGCATGTGTGAGTATGTGTCTGCACCAGTGCCAGACAGCTGCCTTGAGGGTCTCTGCCTGGAACAGGGTTCTCCACCGTGCTGAGCATGTGGACAAGCTGAGGATGCCCCTCACTTCCCATCTGAGTGGTCTGAATGAAAAGACTGGCATCTATCTCCCGGAGAGTGGGGCTGTGCTCATTCCTGTTGCCCAACTGGCAGAGCAGCCACAGGGCCCAGCCCAGGGACAGACAGCATCCAGGCCAGGGCTTCCTGGGGATCCTGTGAAGATCCAGGTTCCTTTGCAGTAGGTCAGCAGAGGCTGAGATTCTGCATTTGTAACCTGCTTCCTGGTGGGGGCGCTGAGCAGCTGCTCTCCAGCCTATGATCTGGGCAGTGAGGTGGGAGAGAGGTGGCATGGTGGTCCTGCTGCCCACTGAGAAGGCAAGGCTGTCTCTGCCACTGCCTCTTCCCTGTCCCCTGCGTCGGGGGCTGGCCGCTGCCAGGCACAGGTACCGCCCTCAAGGGACAACAGCTGACAACTTCTAAACCAGGGCTCTGTGGAACAAACCACACCTAACGAAGGTGTTTTTTCCCCTTTAAGAGAATACATTCCTCAGCAGGATAGTGGCCCCAGGTTCTCTCCCACTACCACTTGGAAGCCAGGCAGAAAAATTGCCTGGTGGGCAGGATTACAGGATTAGTCAGCTTTCCCAAAACAGACCCACAGGCTCTTAGGTGGAAATGAGTTTTGGTCTGAGCCCTTCTTTCCTGGTGACAGATGTGTTTGCTGGGCCCTCCCCCTGTCTCACTCCTCAAGTCTCGCCTCTTCCTGAGTGCTCAGAACTCCCATGCTCCCTCACTCAGGCCCCGGGAATTGGGGGGAAACAGGTTTGGTGGAAATGAGCCTTAGGGTTCAAGCATCCAGGCCCTGGGAGGAGGGTGGCACTGCTTGGACCAAGGGGCTGGCTTTACCGACCCCTCCCCATCCCCACCAAAGAGCAGCCCTGCCGAATCTACCCTGTGCTGGAGGTGCCGAGTGGAGCCCAATAAGCCGTGATGGTCGCGGGATTGTCTGCTCCTGCCCCAGATTCCCATCGTCCCTCTGTCCCCACTGGGTCTTGGGGTGTCTCGGCCTCCCTGAGCTGGGCCTGCCCTGCAATCTCAGAGTCTGCAGTGTGTGAGCTGGCCTGTGCCAATTCCAGAGCTGGTGTTTCCCAGAAACCAAGGGACTGAAGACCAGTTGCTGAGGGCAAGCCACCGTGCTGGGACACTCAGATGTCTGAGGATGTCACTGTGGCTAGATCCAAGATTTGGACCTAAGCGAGGGAGGATGTCTCATAATTCTCTGCATGGAACCAGCAGCCTTGCTTGCATTTAGAAGTTCCTTGCAAAGAATCATATACTCACAGCTGGTGTCCTATACAGGGGATGTTCTCCTTGGAGCATTTTTCTTTTTCTTTAGATAAAGCTGGCAAAAGAAAATAAACTTTGGTTCTTTTAATAGCCCCTATAATCCTTGGAGTCAGTGTGGTCCTCCTTTCAGCTCTTTGGCTCCTCAGGAATCTGATGGGGCTCTCCTGGCAATCTGTCTGGAAGCCACGTTCTGCCACCATGTGATAGCCACTGGGGGCTGCCTGGACTGGCTCCTCTAGGCTGTTATATCCCAGGCCATGCCCAGAAACCGGAGTCCTGAGCTGAGGGCAGATTTCAGAGCATGGTAGGCCCAAGGCCAGAGCTCTCTTGAGGCTAACGTCAGAGCTGACTGTGATCAAAGACAGGGCTGAGCTGTCAAACTTTCTCAAAGAAGGGCTGATACTTCTTTTAAGGGTACGATATTACCTGTGAACTAAATAGTTCTCATGAGTAATTGCTGGACGGAAATGTATAGATCTCCTAACTTTGGCTTGCATCAAGGCTTGTAAAAACACCTATTTCTGGGCCCTGCCTGAGAGGTTCTGACTGAATAGGAGAAGCCGAGAATTTGTATTTCCTTTCATTTTATTTTAGAGATGGGGATTTCACTCTGTCACCCAGGCTAGAGTGCAGTGGTGCAATCGTAGCTCACTGCAGCCTTGAACTCTTGGGTTCAAGTGATCCTCCTACCTCAGCCTCCCAAGTAGATGGGACCACGTGTGTGCACCACTACACCCAGCTAATTTTTTAAAACTCTTTTTTTTTTTTTTTTTTTCTTTGTGCAGACGAGGTCTCGCTCTGTTGCCCAGACTGGTCCTAAACTCCTGGCCTCAAGTACTCCTCCTGCTTGGGCCTTCCAAATTGTTGGGATCATAGGTATGAACCACCATGCCCAGCCTAGAATTAGTATTTCTAACAAGTTCTCAAATGATGCTGATGCTGAAGGGGCCACACCTTAAGAACCACTGTCCTAGTGCATTTCTCCGATTTTACAGATGCAGAAACCACGGCCCAGGGAAGACGCAGCTTGAGCAAGGTCACCGGCAGGTAAGTGGTGCAGCTACAGTAAAGGTCTCCCACTCCCAGGTTAGCGAAGAGTCACTGCCCAGCCCTGCCTCATGGCCTTAAGCCCAGGGTCACACAGCTGGTAGTCAGCCCTTCTTATAGGCTGCCATGGCCCACTGGGCACTACTTAGTGCTTAGAAGACGAGTTAGTGCTGGTAGCACCCAGTTGGTGCTGGAAAAGGAAGTGGCGTGTTTTGGCGTGTCCTGGCCTCCAGGCTGAAAACTGTTTATTTGGACAATTAAGAACATGGCTTCAGCTGAACCACAAAATCAGACGGAAACCTTTATCTTGGGTGGCACGTTCTTGGTTTCCTCCCATGCCCTGGCAGGCTTGTGGTGTGGGGCCACGCTGGCCAGGGTGGGTCTGGGAATGGTTCCAGTGGCTCTGGCCTCCACCCTGGAGAGGTCGGTTAAGTGTGTCAGGAGCAAGCCTTTGGTTGCCGTTTGTGTTGATGATGCAGATGGAAAGGTGGGTGTTGGGGGCCCCCAAGCTCTTTAAACCCCTAGGGCCTCTGGGGTCCCTTGAGGTGAGGCTTCTTCTGCAATTGACCATAAAATTCAGTGTCTGCCACACCACCTTCCCCTACTGCAGATCTTGTCTCCAATGATTTACCCTCCTCCCTCCAGCCAAGAAATGGGTGAATTCACATCACCTACTCCCCATTCCAGCACCCCAGGGGAGCCCTTGGTTCCGGCACCACCTCCCCTTCTGTCCCCATCCCTTTTCAGCCCCCATCCCTCTAGGGTTCTGGGCCTCTACCTCCATGTGAGGTATGAGGGTAAGATAAGTGAGGTGTTTGCTTACAACCCTCGTTGAAGTTTAAGCTTCTCCCATACTAGGAATGGGGCTTGAGGCCCCAGGGCCTAGGATCCCTACTGAGGATTATGGTCGAGGCTGGAGAACAAAAGCCAACAGCTTTGTGCCACTCCACTCTCCAGAACTCCCAATCAAAACAAACAGAACAAACACCGGGAGTTGCAAAGATCCATTCTGAGAATTTGCTATACATTGGCTCCGTCACTCGGGCAACATGAGGGCCATAGTGGACTCAGAGAGGGGCCCCTGCCCGGTGAGAGAAAAGGACAAGCTTAGCAATAATTAGAGAAGAAGCTGGAGCTGGAGAGGCAGATAAAGAGCTATGGGGTCAGACGAGGGTGGGGTTGCTTCAGCTTCATGCTTGGTGGCCAGAGGTGCTCATAGGAAAAACAAAACCGGAGTTGCAGCCTCCCCCAGCACCATCCCCCAAGTAGCGCCGAGAGGAGCTGCCCACCTGGGCTGCAGCAGGTCACACTTAGCCACTGTGTTGAGACACAGTCTCATGACTGCCACTTGGGGAACGGCCACTCTGCCTCCCTGTCTGGGCTGTGCTCCCTGCCCGCAACGGACACCAAGCAGGCCTGCCCGGCTCTCAGACCTTCCGGAGCTCCCGCCTGTGTCCCTGTGAACATCAATAGGACTTGTTTCCAGAACCTCAGGTTTGTTTTTTTAAAAATTTTATTTTAGGTTTAGGGGTACATGTGAAGGTTTTTACGTAGGTGAACTCGTGTCACAGAGGTTTGTTGTACAGATTATTTCATCACCCAGGTATTAAGCCCAGTACCCAATAGTTATCTTTTCTGCTCCTCTCCCGCCTCCCACCCTCCACCCTCAAGTAGCCCCCAGTGTCTGTTCAGAGCCTCAGGTTTTAAAATCCTACATCTTACTCTGTTTCTAAATGACTCTCATCTGCCAATCTTGTCTCCCTAGTTTCACACTATAAAAACTTCTTAGGCTGGGCATAGTGGCTCACGCCTATTATCCCAACACTTTGGGAGGCTGAGGCGGGCGTATCACCTGAGGTCAGGAGTTCGAGACTAGCCTGGTCAACATGGTGAAACCCCATGTCTACTAAAAATACAAAATTAGCTGGGCATGATGGCGCATACCTGTAGTCTCAGCTATATGGGGGGTTGAGGTACGACAATTGCTTGAACCCAGGAGGTGGAGGCTGCAGTGAGTGAGATCACACCACTGCACTCCAGCCTGGGCAACAGAGTGAGACCCTATCTCAAAACAAAACAAAACACAAAACACCTTCTTAGGCAGGAACTGAGTCTGCTGCCAGTCACAAGCTCCACCCATCACACCCCTCCTCTCATGCCCCACCTGGATCTCAGTTGTGGCTGATGAGTGATTTTGGCAGTCACTACCTAGGCTAATGACGCTTGTCACAGAGCGTGTGTGACTGCAGGAGACTGCAGGAGATGGGGGCACTGGAACACATCTGGCCTCTATCTGCCTCAGCTGCTACCTTGGGGCACATCTTCCACCCCCAGTGCCCCCCTCACACTGGGGACAGGGCTGAGGGCCTAGGAGGCGAGAGGGTGATGTCTTCCACTGGGATGTGCCTTCCCCAGCTGCTCGGTGCGCACTCTCCTGCAGATTCCAGCAAAGAAGGCGGAGGGAGGGAGCCCCAAGGGGCACAGTCAGATCCCCAGTCCGTTTCTCCTTCCTGGCTCCAGACCCAATTTTAAAAGAAAGAAGCGGCAGCAAAGAAAATAACTGCAGTGCTGTTAGTGCTGTTAGATGAGGAGGGCAGCCCAGGGTTGAGCTGAGGGCGTTGGGGGTCAGCAGCCCAGGGAGGTGAAAATTAAGCAAGAGTGTGAAGAATTCTGCATTGCTTCAAAATTAGTCAATTGCTTCCACATTTATATAGACGCCTAAAGATGACATGGTGAGGGAGAGGGGATGAGAAACGGGATTACACAACAAACACCTGGGAGGATCCTGTGGGTTGCCCATCAGCCCCTAGGCCAGTGGCTCAGGGAGGTGACAACGCATCCCTGTCCTCCTCTGCCTCTCCCTCCCTGGTCTACTGGTCCCACCCTGCCCCTGCCTGGGGCAGCCTGGAGGTTCTGAGTGCAGCAGGAGCCTTCCCTCAGGCTGGGTCCTCACCCTGCCCCATTTCCTGGAGACCTTGGGAAAGTTTTCCAAGTTCCGGGCTGGGGTCCTTGAGGAATGAGGGGAAGTCACCTGCTGCAGCTCGGCTGGGAGGAGGGGAAGGAGGGACAGAGAGCCGAGGACTCTCTGGGCCCATCCCTCTCCAGGAAAGAGGAGGGAAGGGTAAAGAGAGGCCAGAAGAGGAGAGAGGCAACTGGCTCTTTCAGAGGTCTTGTCCTGTGACCTGCCCCTCAGCAGAGTCCCCTGGGCCCCTCATGCTTTGGAGAAGAGGCCAGACTTTAGGGACAGTCAGTAACAACCATCACTCTGGTTTATTGAGTGAGTGCCACACCCCAGGCACAGAGCTTAACGCTTCACATACGTGTTTCGTGTAATTGTCACAACACCCTCCCCAGGTGAGAATTATTGCCCCCCTCTACAGAAGAGGAAACAATTTCAGGCCAAGGGGCTTGCTTAAGGTCACCCGGTTCTTAAGTGGCAGGGCTGGGGCCGGACAGCAAAGCCTTCTTGCCCTCTATTACCCAGCTCCGCATGAGTCGCTCCAGGGGGGTTGGCGCCTGCCCCGTGGAGTCCAGGGCAGGCTGGGGCAGACAGACTGTCGCCAGGGCTTGCCTCTCTCTGGAGGCATTGCGGATAGCATGACCCTGCCTCTGAAGGCTGCAGTGGCTTCCTTGAGGAAGGAAGGCCACTCCCCACAGAGCGGGGCCCATGTGCTAATCATCAGGGCAGGCCTGACTCCTCACCTGAGGTGTGAACGAGCCTGGTGTTGGGACTGGAATGAAGCACTTTAATGGACAAGTTGGAATCTGTTTGTGAGCAGCAAATTGCCCCCGTCCCTGGGGCCATTTTCCACCATAAATCTCAACTATTCGACTCTGCAGATCCCCAGCCCTGTAGCCATGACCAGGGCAACAGGAAGGTTGTGGGAGCTCTAACAGGGCCTGGCCCCCAACAGAGGTTACAGCCCTTGCTCACCTCCCGCCCTCCTCCCCCACCATGCTTGGCACTGAGGGTCCTGCCTTCCTTCTTGAAAGCCTGCTCTGGTCTTCCAAGCCGTGCATGCTCCTGGTGATCCTTGGACCACCAAGCAGGCTGTTTCCTGTCTTCTGGCTGCTCGTTCTGTTTCTCCCACCACGTCTGGTCAAGGGTCCCTCTCCTGGGGGTGTCATTTGTGGCCACAGCCTCAGGGGTCACACTATGTGTATGACTTCAGAGCTGCGTCTGTCTCTAAGGCCTGACTTCTTTCCCATGTTTCTAAGATTCTTCACCAAGGTGTCTCAGAGGTACCTCAAAGTTTTGCCGTCCAACCAGAACTCATCTTCTCCTGCTGCCCCCACTCCCACGCCACCAACAGGTCCAGAACCTCTCTGTAATTGCCTTCAGCTCCTCCTTCTCCCTAGTCTAGGAAGCCCCAAGTCCTGCGTCTCTACCCCTAGAGGCCCCATCTCCATCCTCCTTGAAATCCTAAGTCTGGAATCATTTATTGCAAGAGCCTCCTGATTGTCTGTCCCCTTCCTGAAGTGTAACCCAACGTCCTGAGCAATCATCCCAAAGCCAGGCCCAGAGTGTGTTTCTTCCCAACTTAAAAACCCTTGGCCGGATGTGGTGGCTCATGCCTGTAATCCCAGCACTTTGGGAGGCCGAGGTGGGTGGATCAACTGAGGTCAGGAGTTTGAGACCAGCCTGGCCAATGTGGTGAAACCTTGTGTCTCCTAAAAATACAAAAAATTGGCCGGGTGTGGTGGTGGGTGTCTGTAATCCCAGCTACTTGGGAGGCTGAGGCAGGAGAATCGCTTGAACCTGGGAGGCGGAGGTTGCAGTGAGCCGAGATTATGCCACTGCAGTCCAGCCTGCAGTGCTGCAGGCGAAAGAGCGAGACTCTGTCTCAAAAAAAAAAGAAAAACCGAAAAACCCCCCCAAAAAACCCTTGAGGGCTCCCCGTTGCCTCCAAAGTAAGGCCCAAACTTGTTATACAGATTCACAGTCCCCTCCTTGAATCAGCTCCCAAACTTGCTCTCCAGCATGGTGGCCCCCTCTTGCTCCTGTGAACCTGTGTTGCAGCTGTTCCAGATTCCATGTCATCCCCAGCCCCACAAAGTCAGCCTTGTGCTTACTGACTCCATGGTGTGGCTTTCTCATGCCTCCTGCTTGGTATGGACAGTCCTGTCTCTGCCCATCACATTCCTACCCTTCGTTCAAGACCCAGACACCAAATGCTCAAACCCACATGGTGATTAAGAGCATGGAATCTACAACCAGATTGACCAGGTACAAGACCCAGTTCTATTTCCTCTAGAGTTTGACCTTTTGAGAAAGTTTTGTAACCCTTCTTTGCCTAGCTTTACTCATCTGTAAAAGGAAGACAATAGTAGTAGCAACTGCTTCATTGGATATTGTGAAGATTAAGTGAGGCTACGTGTAAAGCACTTGAGACAGCGTCCAGCTTGTGGTCTGCACTGTATGTCAGCTGTAATACCCCAGATTATGAAGCCTCTGCTGATCCTTCTGAAGGCTACTCTGGGCCACATCAATCTCTCTCTTTCCTCCATACCTCAAGAATTTTCCTTGACACCAGTAGCAATCTGTACCATATCTGCCTGGTTGTGAAGTTAGGATTCTTTGATGGCAATTGGACAATTGTTCAAAACCCACTGGATCAAACGAAGGGATTTTTTTTTTTTCTTTTAGAGACAGGGTCTATCTTGCCTAGGCTGGTCTCAAGCGATCCTCCCACCTTGGCCTCTCAAAATGCTGGGATTAGTGGCATGAGCCACCACGCCCAGCCCAAACAAGGGGATTCTTATCACAAGCGTGTGAATGGGCCTTGCAGCGTCCCAGGGCAGGAATGCACAGCACCTCAGGAAACCCTGGCACTGGCGTCTGGAAATACTGCTTGGGTAGGGTTCTCTCTCTGAACATTCATTTAATTATTCTCTCTGTAGACTGTGGCCTTGCAGACTTGGCTGGAATCCACTGTTTATGGTACTCAAGGGTACACGCCACAGTCTGACATGGAAAGATGGAATCTCCTCCTTCATCCCAGTTCAGCCCTGACCAGCCTCTCTAGGGGCAGGGGCAAAGGGAAGGGTCATGTTATACAGAATTATTGCTGAGGGTGTCTCACTTTGGGTGAAAGGGTGCATTTAGAGGGGTCCATGCCAGAGACTACAAATTGGTCCCCAGGATTTATTTCCCCATCTTTCTCAGTTATAGAACTCCCGGGTTTTTGCTGTCCTAAATAAAGACTGCATTTCCCAGCCTTCCTGGCAGTTGGAAGGGGCACGTGATTAGGTTCTGGCCAAAGCGACATTAAAGGGAGGAGAATGCCTTTCTTTGCTTCCTCTGGCTAGATGGACTCTGGAGCCAGGCTGGCGGAGTTCAAATCCTAGTCCTGCCACCTATGAGTTGTGTGACTTTGGACAAGTACCTAACCCTTTTGTGCCAGTTTCCTTTGCAGTAAAATGGGAATAAAAAGAAAATCTACGTAACAGTAGATATTCTGTGAGGATTACGTGAATTCATATTTGAAGAGTGAGTAGAAGGGTTCCTGGCACAAGCTCTACAAGTGTGGCTGGAATGAATATGATGATGAGGATGAAGATGAGGATGGCGGGGCTGGAGCTCAAGTGCCATACTGTGTCCTGGAGCAGAAGCCACGTGTTGAGGACAGTCTGGACCCTTAACGAGGGTTGAGCCACGACACCAGCCTGTGACTGTTTACCTCTTGAGTTTGTTTACAGGAGAAGAAAATAAACTCTCACCTTGTTTAACACACCATCCTGTTGGCTTTTCAGTTTGCTTGTAGCCCGATCTAATCCTAACTGATACAGGAACATTGTAGGTTCAACTCACATCCCTGTCCCCTGCACCATGTTGTCGCTCTTTAAGATAATGTCTCACTGTTCCTACTTGGGTTGTACATTCCTTGAGGACGGAAAAGCTTCCCACTCACAGTAGGTGCCCAGAAAGTAAGTATCGAATTAATGGAAGAACAATGTGAAAATCATTCTGGTTAGGTAGACAAGGAATTCTTTGGCTAGTTGCAGAAAATCAGTGATAGTAATAACAAAATTTATCAAGCATAATGGCTGGCGTGCTTTTTTTTTTTTTTTTTCCAAGTCAGAGTCTTGCTCTGTTGCCCAAGCTGGAGGGCAGTGATGTGATCACATCTCACTGCACCCTTGACCTCCTGCCTCAAATGATCCCTCCATCTCAGCCTCCTGTGCACCAGCACACCCAGCTAATTTTTAAATTTTTTTTTTGTAGGGATGAGGTCTTACTATATTGCCCAGTCTGGTCTTGAACTTCTGGACTCAATTGATCCTCCTGCCTCAGCCTTCCAAAGTGTTGGGATGACAGGTATGAGCCACTATGCCCAGTCCCTGGCATTCCAAGTACTTCAAGTGTATTTTATAGTTCAGCTCTCATGACAATCCTATGAAATAAATACAGTTGGCCCTCTACACCTGTGGGCTCTGCATCGATGGATTCAACCAACCATGGATTGATAATACCCTATTTGAGAAAAAAAAAAGATAGTCCCATCTGTGATGAACATGAACAGACTTTTTTTTCCTTGTCATCCCCTAAACAATACAGTATAACAGCTATGTATATAGCATTTACATTGCAGGAAGTATAAGTGATCTAGAGATGATTTAAAATATAGGGAGGATGTGTGTAGGTTATATGCAAATACTACACCATTTTATATCAGGGACTTGAGTACCGTCACATTTTGGTATCCTTGGGGGAGTGAGGGTCCTAGAACCAATCCCCCACGGACACCAAAGAATGACTGTACTCTCATCAGTTCCATTTTACAAATAAGGGAACTGGGCTTCAGAGAGATGGAGGTCAAGGTCATAGATGCAGCCAGTGGAGCCTGGCTTCAGAGCCCAGCACCTTCACAATTTTGCTGTGAAACCTTCTCAAGGGCTTTTCTCTGATGGGAGCTTTGGAAAGGAGAGGCTGTACAAGTCAACAAGAACACAGCGCGTCAGAGTGACCTTGCTTCTCTCTTGATTTTGGAGATTTGTTTGGAGGGCTGAACTTCAGGGAAACAAAGTGAAATGTCAGGGTTTTCCTGAGGTCAATGGGGGTAAAGACCCAAATGGATTATGAAGCCTTCCCTGACCCCCTAGTCCACACTGACCTCCCCTGTCTTCTCTGTACTTGCATAGCCTGTCTGTTGACATGGCTAGCAGCTGGCCATACTGGCTAATCTCCGGCAAAAATTGTGACATTGGCAGAGTTTGTCTTCATTCCTCTCCTATCTGCCTGTTATTTGATTTTCAGCCTCTTATGTCCTGTTTGGGCCCTCACATGTTCTCTCAGCAAGGAAAGCTTCATTCTGAAAGATGAAAATAGAGAACACAAAACTTAATTCCCCAAAATGAATATTTAATGGTGGGATTTTAAGCAGCAGAGATTTGGGAGTTGAGGAACTTGCTGTCTCTCTAATCATCTCGTTCTTCCCCTTCCCCTCTCCCTCCCCTTCCTCTTCCTCCTCCTGGTGTCTTTTTATGATTATTATTTAACCACTTCACACTCCCCACTTCACACTCCCATCTATTAGTCTGGATGGCCCACTTCCAGTCCTACATGGTCCCACTCGCATGGGTCACCCTGGTCACCCTGGGCTCAGGACCCCCCTGGCACTTACACTCCAGGCTGCACAGCCCCCTGCCTCCACAACCCCCTGCCTCCATGTGCACACTGCCAGTCCCCGGAACACTGCTTATGTCTTTGGTTTTGTTAAACTGTTTGTTCTGAGAGGACAAAGACCACATCTAATGACCAGGGATGTGGTTGCAGGAATTTTTACTTCAAAAGGCATGTTGGTCTCCATGGCCTCTCAAAGCTCCTACACCCTGAGCCTTAAAGCTTCTCAGCTCTTCCCCTCGTTCTCCCCATTGTGCCTGCTTCTGGATTGGGTAGAAGAGAGGTGCTTAGGAAGGATGTATTGAGCTGCTGTCTAACTCTTTCTGTAAGCAAGGGCACAGGCCCCTGAGACAATGGTGGAAAAGCTCTCCTGTTTTCAAAAGTCCCTCAACGTGCAGGCCCCTTGGAGGCAAAGCACCTTCAGGATTTTAGAATCAGAGTTTTTTCTGGGCCGCAGGACAACCTGCTCTGGCACTCGCTCTGGCCTGGCCATCTCTGGGCTCCTCTTGGTCAGTATCTGGGCAGCCTTTTAGAGGGCCTGGAAACCACAGCTAGCCCTTCCCAGAATGACTCGACATCCAACGTGGACTCAATTCCAGTCCCCCTTGGCTCCAGGAGGCCCGTCCCACAGGACAAGGCCAGGGCCACAGAGGTCCCAGATTTTCTCAGATTCACTGCTGACCAGGGGCAGCCATGCCAGAAATTCTGCAAAATGCCAAGCACAAGCACTCTCAAGCGGTGGCTTCATAGTTCCCACAACCTCATCTACCATACTCCATAATGTCTAGGTGGAGTGAGTTCATCTCAGACGGGAACACATTTTTCCTCCTGTGACTTCTCCCCTGACTCAAGTCTACAACCACCAGGAAACTGCTTGGGACAAGGCTGGGGCAAGGAGGCAGGGCCCGTGGAGTTGGGACCAGGGCAGAGCACCCTGCCCCGTGGAGCCTAGATCCTTGGCCCCAGCACCCCTAGAAAACATGGCTCCTCGGGCGCGGTGGCTCATGCCTGTGGTCCCATCACTTTGGGATGCCAAGGCGGGTGGATGACCTGAGGTCGGGAGTTCGAGACCAGCCTGACCAACGTGGAGAAACCCCGTCTCTACTAAAAATACAAAATTAGCTGGGCATTGTGGTGCATGCCTGTAATCCCAGCTACTCAGGAGGCTGAGGCAGGAGAATAGCTTGAACCTGGGAGGCGGAGGTTATGGTGAGCCGAGATCACGCCATTGCACTGCAGCCTGGGCAACAAGACTGAAACTCCATCTCGAAAAAATAAAAGTTAAAATAAATAAAAATAAAAATTTTTGAAAACCTGGCTCCTCAAGGAGCCACATTCTAGACAGAGCTGGAGAAGTTGATGGGGCTTGGGTTTAAGTTTGCATTGTGACCTAGGCACCCTAGGAGATGGCACCCATGTGCCCAGAGCTCAGACAGGACTTTTCTGTCTGCCTCCCTCACCCAACACTTTGCAGCATTGGGTAGACTGAATAGAGTTGTGACTGTAGACACAGGAGACTCAATAACCATTTCTTCACATCTGCTTGAGACCATCTGGCCTTTGCATCTTGCCAGGCATGAGTTATTCCTCTCTTAACCCATGGAATCCATTGCCTGGCACGGCTTCCACGCCCTTGCACCATCCACATCCTCCCGTCCACATCCCCCCGTTCTCCAAGGTGGGCTCCATCCTACCTTCACCTCCTTCATTCCCTACCCTGGAGCCCTCAGGGACCTCCTTTTATCCCTTAAGCTCTTAACTCTCAACGTCTGCACCACTCTCATGTGGTAGTAATCCCCATTCAACATGTAACATTGTTTATCATCTCAGGTGGCTATGAAGGGCTTTGTATGTGCCTCTTCTATCCCCAAGCACACTCTATTTTTTTATTTAGTTATCATTATTTTTCTGAGACACAGTTTCAATCTGTCACCCAGGCTGGAGTGCAATGGCAGGATCTTGGCTCACTGCAACCTCCGCCTACCAGGTTCAAGAGATTCTTGTGCCTCAGCCTCCTGAGTAGCTGGGATTACAGGCATCCACCCCCATGCCTGGTTAAATTTTGTAATATTAGTAGAGACTGGGTTTCACCATGTTGGCCACGCTGGTCTGGAACTCCTGACCTCAAGTGATCCAACGGCCTTGGCCTCCCAAAGTGCTGGGATTACAGGTGTGAGCCCCTGCGCCCAGCCCCTTTAAACCATAGTTTAAACCAGCATACTTTAAACCAGCTCTGTTCAGTAGACTTCTAATGTGAACTACTTATGTACTTTAGAATTTTTCAGCAGTCACATTTAAAAGTACCAAAAAGAGACAAAATGAGTTTTAATACATTTTATTTAACCCAATATATCATAAAAGGTTATCATTCCAATATGGGAGTAATATAAAAATTATTAGTTAGACATTTTACATTTTCTTGTACAAAGTCTTCGAAGTCTGGTGTGCAGTTTATAGAAAGCTCTTCATCTGATTTAGATTTAATAATGACCTCTCCTTCTCTTCCACCTGCCCAATACCAAGCCAGAAAAGATGTAGCCCCACAAGCAGGGCATTCTGGGAATTGTAGTTCCTAGCTTCTCTCAGAGCCACAGAGAAGACCTTGGAAAGGGATAGTGGTGATGAATTGACCACAGACAATCCGGCCCATTATTCCACTGGGCAAGTGCTCCTAGAAGTACATAGGAGCCAGTTGCCAGGTTGGAGGAACAGCAAGGCTGCACAGGGAGGGAGGGCAGTGGGCACGGCAGGGGACCCTGAGCGAGCTGACTCCCAGGGGCAGAGGGAAGAGGAGCCTCTGGTGGGGGTAGGAGAATAAGAGATGGAAGGGCACGGAAGGAGGAAAAAGGTGGGTCTCTGTGAGTCCCTACCGCATTCTGGACATACAGGTGCTCTAGTGTCATGAGGCGGCCAGGCCCGCATTTCAGTGACCCCCACATTGGGGCGGGGCGAGGCTCACAGGTGTCACTCCCCCTGACTCTGGGTGCTAAGAGGAGCTGGGGCAAGGTGGTTGCCCCCAAGGCCTCAGATACTCTACTTCAGTGCTTCAGTGTGGGTGGACTCAGAAGCCGTAGGGACCCCACCCCTCCAGAAGGCTTCCCAAGCAACTCTCCTGTCAGCCTGGACTCCTGACTTCGATGCTTGTTCGCACATGCATGGCCACAGCTCGTTTGCTGTGCTGCACGGGGCATGCCCCCACTCACAAGGAGCCCTTCGGGGTCAGAGCCCAAACTATCTTCTAAATCCCACAGCATCTTGGAAGGTGCCCTACACATCTGTGCTGAAGGGAGCTGGGGTGGAGGCCAGGAAGAAAGGTTTGCAGGCATCGGCAGAGCCACTGAAGCTGCTCCTGTCACCAACAACCAAAGCTCTGAAAGAAAGGGGAGAAGTCCCTCCGGGGCCCCTTCCTTCATGCCCTGAGCAGCCAACCTGGCTCATACAGACCTCAGAGACCCAAGAGACATCAGAGATTAGCCAGAGCCAGTCCTTAGGCTTTCGAAAGGAGCAGCACAAACACACATAGGTGTGGGGGCATGAGGGGGGAGGAGGTGGTGGTGCTCCTGGCTGCAAGACACTAAGAGCACGGGGCCACACTGCTGGTGCTCAGCCCCAGCAGGGGCAAGGCTCAAGAGGGAAGCTGGAGTGTCCTCTTGGAGAGACCCCCACTGAATTAGATCACCTGCCTATTAATGAGGAGACCCCCTGACTGAGGACGCCAGCCTCTGACCAGTGGCTGAAACCCGTCTTCTAGGCATTAATCCAGAAGTTAGATGTACCATGAACCTTCTGGTCTTTCTTAAGAATCGTGGGATTTTTGGCCAGGCGCGGTGGCTCACGCCTGTAATGCCAACATTTTGGGAGGCCGAGGCTGGTGGATCACGCGGTCAGGAGATCGAGACCATCCTGGCTAACACGGTGAAACCCCCTTCTCTACTAAAAAACACAAAAAATTAGCTGGGCTTTGGTGGCTGGTGCCTGTAGTCCCAGCTACTTGGGATGCTGAGGCAGGAGAATGGCGTGAACCCAGGAGGCGGAGCTTGCAGTGAGCCGAGATCGCGCCACTGCACTCCAGCCTGGGCGACAAGAGTGAGACTGTCTCAAAAAAAAAAAAAAAAAAAAAAAAAAAAAGAATTGTGGGATTTTAGGGCTAGGCTGAGTTATGGTCTGAAGCTCACCTAGTCCAAGGCTGTCACCTCGCAGATAAGGAGACCAAAGCAAACGTGGAGTGAAGCTGGAGGTGGGCCTGGTCTCCTCCACAGAGGCCTTTCCTTCTTCCCCACCCTCCCCTTGGTCCTCCCTACTAGCCCCCACCATACGTTCTCTCTTTCATCCTCTCTCAGGGCTGGAATCTTTTCCCTGATAGCCCATCTTCTAAGACACAGCGGTCCCCAGATGTTACTTGAGCAGAAACAGAGCAAGCGCGGAGTGCCTGATGCCTCTGAGAACCTAATGAATGGCTCAGATGTCACGTGGCGATCTGGAGGGGAACACACATAGGACAGAAAACCAGACCCCACGGGACTGTTGAGCCCTCCAGAGTCAGACCGTGGTGTCTGAAGCAATGAAATAGGGTTAATTTGGCAAGGCTTGTCCCTGGGCACAGTTTCCCTCCCCGGCTCCAGTTTGTGCTTGCAATTCAAGTTTCTGGCACCAGATGGCAGCGTTGCTCTGTTATGAATGACTTGATGGAACAGTTTTAAAAGTCATTCATTCATTCATTCCACAAGTATTTACTGAGTGCTTTCAATGTGCCAAGCCCTTTTCTAAGTTCTTGGGATAGAGCAGTGAACTAAACACAAAAATCTGTGCCTCCTGGGAGCTTCATTCTCATGCAGGAAGACAATGAATAGATGAGAAAAACATTTGGCGCGTCAGATGATAGGTGCTATGGAGAAAAAAAATAAAGCAGATAGGGATGAAAGGAGGGCTGGAATAGGGGCATTGTGAAGTTAAAGGGGAGGTCAGAGATAATAAGATCAGGGAAACAGAGCTGCGCAGAGCAATGGAGGCTCTAGGCAGTGGGCGAAGCAGAGAATGTTTACATGGGAAGGGGCTTTAGAGGTGGCTTTGTTACATTTGACAGTTGGGGACACTGAGGCCCAGAGAGCTCAGTCTCAGCTGAAAAATCTGCCTCAATTGAAATGACCTGCCCAAGTGAAAAATCTGGAGGCAGGCAGCCTAGAGTTTCAGGTCCACCACATCCTACCCCGCTGCCCCTGCCACCTCCTAAACCCACCTCAGTCCTCCCGCAATGCAGCAGGACTAGGAACTCACCAAACTCTGTTTGCTTTTCTTTCTGGACACATTTTCTAGCCTGCCTTGCTATTACCATGTGCAGCTACCAAGTTCTGGCCAATGGCTATTGGGCAGGAGTAAGGTACATCTATTCCAGGCCTGGCCTCCAACAGTTCCTGTATCATCTTCCACGTACCACCTCCACTCCTTCCCCATCAGTGCAACTACAAGCACAAGACTCCAGAACTCTAGGGAATGAGGATGTTGCTAAAATAAGGGGGCCCTCTATGACTGCATGGAGATGAATACCCCATCACCATGCTTTGGACTGTGGTGTGACTGAGTTTGGTATGTTGAGCTATTGGGAGGTGGGGGTTGTTTGTTACAGCAGCTTTCTTACCCTAACTAATACACCCACCATCACTGAACCCAACTGAATGCATAGCCCGCCCAGCCTCAGCTCCCAACACTATATGGAGGACATCTGATGCTTCTGCCAACCCTTTCTCTCTTTGCCTGCTCTGAAGCCCATGTAGTCCAATGCCATTACCTCACAGATAAGGAAACCAAAGCAAATATAGCTGGTCATAGCTCCCTTTATATTCCAGGAGCCAAACCAGTTCTTGGTGAAGTTCTTTCTTATGATGCCTCTCCACCATCACCCAGAGCTGGGCACATGACCCAGGTGGTCATTCTGAGCACACAGTCCTCCCGGCCAAGTGACTGGTTCAGGGATAGACACATCATGCAATCAGAGTCTTGCTTAAGATTCAAGCTATAGATGCTGGAAAGAGGATCTGTCTTCCTCTGAGATGCTGAGTGATGACCAAGAGAGTTGGAAGCTGCTGGAGCCATTGCCCAAGGATATGAGGAAGAAGCTGTTGGGGGAATGAAACTAACATGTAAAGGTGGCCATAGAGCTGGAGAGAAAATCATACTCCACCATATTGTTGTTCCAATCTTGCCTGAAGTCAGGTCTTCCTTCAATTTCCCCAGTTACAAGGGCCAGTTAATTATCTTTTTTTTTGTGAGACGGAGTCTCACTCTGTCACCCAGGCTGGAGTGCAGTGGTGTGACCTCGGCTCACTGCAACCTCTGCCTCCCGGGTTCACGCCATTCTCCTGCCTCAGCCTCCCAAGTAGCTGGGACTGCAGGTGCCCACCACCACACCCGGCTAATTTTTGTATTTTTAGTAGAGATGGGGTTTCACCGTGTTAGCCAGCATGGTCTCGATCTCCTGACCTCGTGATCCGCCCGCCTCGGCCTCACAAAGTGCTGGGATTACAGACGTGAGCCACCACACCCGGCCAATTATCTTTTTAAAAATTTTGATTCAGTTTGAATTTCTGTCACTTAGAGCACAAAGAGTTCTGATTAATAATTATTGGACTAATATTTACTGAGCCCTACTGTGAGCCAAAAAACTGGGATAAAATAGTGAGCAAATTAGACACCAGCCCCTAGGATCCCCTGTCCACCATATACAGATATATGTGACAGGTAGGTTTGATGCCAATGAGAAGTTGTTGAGAAGTCGGGTCTCATTTTTCCACTTTCTAGGTTGCTGGCTTATCAAGATAAAGGAAGAAATATTTGCTTTTTCCTTTACCCTTCTGGAGCACCTGGCCTTTGAGTTCTTGAGGTTTGAGATTTCCTTATCACGAGGAGGAAAGTAACAGTCTCTGGTCTGTGTTTCCGGCTGAATGGAGAAGTTGCCAGGCCAGGTGGGCTGCCCCTGTGATTTGAAAGGCCTACGCCCCTTAGGAGGTGGTAAACAAAGTGTCAGTCAGATTTGGCCAGGGGAGGGCCATGGCCTTCAGGGCTTGTGAGGCTCTTTGGACTGAAGGCGAGAGGTGTTAGGGGTTTTGCAGGGGCCCCAGAGATCCGCCCCCATCAAGTGCTGCAGTGGCAGGGCCCTGGATGTTGGTGGGGGCTGCCCTGTGCCTTGGAGAACTGCGCCCAGATGCCCAGTCTCAGGAACCTTGAGCAATGCCCCCCAGGTCAAGCCTGCCTCAAAGTTGCCCTAATCCCTCTACTGTCTCGTGGGCAGCACTGGGGACAACCATGGTTGACAGTTAAGTCCCTACTATGTTAAAAACACATGTTTTCATGGGTGGGGCAAACTCTGGGGTCTTTCTGCATCACCTTCTGCATCAACTTTCTATAACTTTGACAAAGGAGGGTTTTAGCCAGATGCAACTTAATGTGGAACATTTAAGAAATGTAACATTTCTTGAATCCTAAATTTTGTGGCATGATATCATTTGTAATATATTTAATTACAAATTGTTGCAAACTATGAGGGGAAGTGACTGGGCTCCATGAATCCATATAACAGGAGGATCTGATCAATTCAGGGGCATAAATATATTTTGCTCAGAGGGACTAGCTCTAGAAAACCTCCTAGGATGCATTTAGGCTTCAGTGAAATGGAGTTTAGTTCCTGAAATTTGTTTTTTACCAAGACAAATGGTAACAATCGCTTAGTTACGTGCAATTGCTTTAGGCTCTCTTGAGCCTCGTTGTTCAACATCCCAGAGGAAGACAGACCCCCTCCAGCATCCACAGACAAAATTTAAAGCAAGACTCTGGTTGGTATCATCAGGTCACATGTCCCTCTCTGAACCAACCAAGCCAAGAGGATTGTGTACTTGGAATGGCCAGCCTAGATCACTTTATTCAATCCCCACAACCACCTCCTGGGGTAAATATCATTAGCCCTCATTTTACAGATGAACAACTGATGTGGAAATAGGTTCATTTACTCCTCCAAAGTTGTGATGGACAACCTCACCAAAGTTATCTCTTCACAACCTGAGACTGGGTTGTGGGAGTGGGGATGGAAAAGATTCTGAGAAAGACTTTTCATCTCTGATCAAATAAGAAAAGCACATAAAGAGAGCTCTTGCCACATTGACCATCACCCTACATCCTGACTTTGGAAGGAGATTTAAGAAGATGTGATATCTGGAACTGTGGCAGCCATCTTGAGACCATATGGGGATGAGGGAGAGAATTTAGAGGCATTGGCATCTTGGAGTTGCAAAGCCAACTTGAGAATTGCCTGCCTCTAGACTTTTTTTTTTTTTTTTGAGACTGAGTCTTGCTCTGTAGCCCAGGTTGGAATGCAGTGGCGCGATCTCTGCTCACTGCAAGCTCCGCCTCCCGAGTTCATGCCATTCTCCTGCCTCAGCCTCCTGAGTAGCTGGGACTAGCCTGCCTCTAGACTTCTTAGTAGGCAACCACTTTTATATTGTTTAAGTCCCTGTTAGCTGAAGTTTCTGTTACTTCCAGAAAGACTCATAGGCTCTGTTAGAGGCCCTTTGAGGGTTGGTGGGCTGGCATCATCCTTAGAGTATACGTGGGACCTAGAGAGGGTAAGGACTTGCCTGAGGTGTCCTGATGTGGAAGAATGTGCTCTCTCAGGGGGTGACTGAGCGAGGGGGGTAGGTGGTTAGGACAGGGGAACCCCTGGGGCAGGGTGGGACAGTCTGGGATACCAGGAGAGGAGCAGCGAGCCCAGCAAGTGTCTCAGCAGGAGGAAGCCTGCAGGCCTGGAGTTGGAGAAGGCACAGGGAAGGTTTGGAGGGACTTTGCCCAGAAGCATGCATGCAAACTTGCAGGTGAAACAACAAAGGCAGACCCCTTCCAGCAGTGACTTCCCGTGGCTGTGCTACAGAGAGCCTGCAGGAAGGAAGGAAAGGCAGTGGCTGGGATTCAACTGTGACTACAAGGACCTAAATTTAGATCAGACATCCAGGAAGACACCAGGAAACCCGCTAATGATGATCTCTCACTCCATGCAATGCTTTGTCCTGTGCAGGCACATCCAGCCACAGTTTCTCATTTGACCCCTGAATAGTCCTTTGTGGAAAGCCAGGGTGAGAACATCAACAATGGCACAAAATCATGTGATGGAGTAAGGGTGAGAACCTGGTCCCATGAGCCCCAGTCCCATGAGGTCTCTCTCAGCCATCTCTCTGGACCAGCTGCAGTGCCGGCTTTCTGGCGGGGAAAACGTGGCCTGGATTTGTAGCACTTGCTGATTTCCATGGTGTAAATACTCCCACTGTGGCTGATTTTGTCAATGTTTAAACAACTTTCTTGAAAAATTACTGGCATTTAACAATGGCTCTTGGAGCTGGTATGAATTTGCTCCAGCACACATTAGGCCCTGCCAGCCACGTACTCGCATCCAGTGTCCTGGCCCCCTGCCCTGTTCTCACATCCAATGTCTTGGTTAAGGCCCATGGGCCTGTCTCTCTCCTGACCTGACCCTGGCTTAGTGTTTTGGCTTTTGGCCCCATAACCTGAAGCCATCACGTGTCCCTAGTTTGCTACCTCTGCTCCCCGGAGTCCTGACTCCTACATTCCTGCCTCTGGTCCCTCTTAGTGTCCTGCTGGGTGAGACCCACTCCCTCCTACCTCAGCCATGGCTGCCTCTGGCCATTGCCTGCCTCCCTGGAAGGGCTCCAATGCTTCACCATAGGGGCTAAGATGCTACTCCATGACTTGGGAATGGGATGTCTGCATGGTTGCAGATGAAAAGGTCCTGGGAGCTCTGATATGGTTTGGCTCTGTCCCCACCCAAATCTCAAATTGAATTTCCACATGTTGCTGGAGGGACCCGGTGGGAGGTAATTGAATCATGGGGGTGGGTCTTTCCCATGCTATTCTCATGACAGTGAATAAGCCTCACGAGATCTGATGCTTTTAGAAATGGGAGTTTCCCTGCACAGGCTCTCTGCTCGTGTCTGCTGCCATGTGAGACGTGCCTTTCACCTTCTGCCATGATTGTGAGGCCTCCCCAGACACGTGGAACTGTTAAGTCCAATAAACTTTCTTTTGTAAATTGCCCAGTCTTGGGTACGTCTTTATAAGCAGCATGAAAACGGACTACTACAAGCTCCTTCCGAATTTCTTTCATTTTTTTGAATGCCCCACTCTTCCTGTACAAGCTCTGAGACCCCCTTAAAGACTGGCTTCCCTCCCACCTGCCTTCTTAATTGCTACCCTCTCCTCTACCTTGATTCATTTATTCTCTTTCCTTCACTGAGAGAGACATCCTAATGTCCCAAGCTGACCTCCAGCTCCTCCAGCTCTCGGAGACCCTCTGTCTGTCCTAACCCTCCCCTCCAGATCCATCCATCTGGGGTCTGTTGTCCTGTGCCCCAAACCTACTCAGTCTCCTCTGTCTGCCTTAAGGTCTTATCGCTGTCCCACGACCCAAATTCTAACCACTACTACCAGGGCTTAGGTCAGCCCCACCACCTCCCAGTCCCACCCCCTAAAGTCCCACTGGCACTTCCAGCCCAACTCCTCAGCATGCTCAAGTATCATTTCCTCCAGGAAGCCTTCCCTGACCTCCTCCCTTCTCCTCTCAGAGCTGAGTGTCCTACAGGTGAATCCTGTGCAAACCTTGATTGTGACTCCCCTCCTACTGAGAAACAGCCATTGACTCGCCGGTCTCTCCCATCAGGCCATGGTTTTGCGGGAGGAGGAGCTACGTCAGTCTGCCTTGGAGCTCAGCACCGTGTTTGGCCCATGGTAGATGCCCCACAGAAAACACAAGCGGCGTTGAGGGCTCCTGTGGTGAGTGGTCGTTTCTCTTTTAGCATGCTAAAAGCACTTCCTGTGGGAGTGCCTCCGAGCCCCTCTACTTGAGTGGAAGTTTCTCAAGGCCAGGACCCTGTCCCGTTCCTCAGGGCCCCTCCCCACACGGAGTTTCAGGCAGGCCCTGCTGCTAGGCGCCACAGAGGCTGGGCAGGGTGAGGGGTGTGTCCTGTTTCTCCAGGCACACTCGGTGGTTGACTGATTAGTCTCAAGAGGCAATTAAATTTAAGAGAGGCTTTTCACCTGCTCACAACTCCTCACCCTATCTGATTATGATGTTATGCCCCTTGGAGGGGCAGAGAAGGGCAGTCATTAAAAGACAAACATTTGGGCCAGGCGTGGTGGCTCACCACAGTAATCCCAGCACTTTGGGAGGCCGAGGCAGGCAAACCACTTGAGGTGAGGAGTTCGAGACCAGCCTGGCCAACATGGTGAAACCCCGTCTCTAGCAAATATAAAAAATTAGCCAGGTGTGGTGGCATGCTTCTGTAATCCCAGCTACTCGGGAGGCTGAGGCAGGAGAATTGCTTGAACCTAGGAGGAGGAGGTTGCAGTGAGCTGTCCAAGATCATGCCACTGCACTCCAGCCTGGGCAACAGAGCAAGACTCCATTTCAAAAAAAAAAAAAAAAAAGACAAACATTTGAAGGGGCTGTGTGCTGTCTGGGAAGCCAGATGGCAGGACAGCCACTTTGGTTTTTTATTTTTATTTGAGACAGGGCTGGAGTGCAGTGGCGTGATCTTGGCTCACTGCAGCCTCAACCTCCCAGCCTCAAGCAGTTCTCCCACCTCAGGTTCTTAAGAAGCTGGAACTACAGGTGTGTGCCATCAGGACTGGCTAATTTTTGTATTTTTTGTGGAGAGGGGGTTTCACCATATTGCCCGGCTGGCCTCAAACTCCTGGGCTCAAGCAATCCTCCCACCTCAGCCTTCCAAAGTGCTGAGACTATAGGTGTGAGCCGCCACGTGTGCCCCCCTCCCTTTTTTGGTACAGATGAGGTCTCACTATGTTGCCCAGGCTGGTCTGGAGCTCCTGAGCTCAAATGATCCTCCCACCTTGGCCTCCCAAAGTGCTGGGACTGCAGGCATGCGCCACTGCGCCAGGCCAGGCCAGTCACTTTAAGCAAAAGCAGCAAGACTGGGAGCTGGGCAGGCCAGCTCCCAAATGACCTGCCCCACCCTGGGAGCTGGCGCTCCACTGAGGGGTCAGAGGTCAAAGGGATCTTTGAATTCATCTAGGGGGCTGGGGACAGCTCATGAGAGTGAGGCAAGCTCTCTTCTGTGACCCCTCTACCTACTGAGCAGCCTCCTTAGCAGGGAATAGGGACTCCAGCTCCCAGCTGGAACCCATGAGCAGAAATGTTCTTTTGGTTTTCCTGTTGGAATCCCACGAGCAGGAATGTTCTCGTGGTTTTCCTGTTGGAATCCTTCAAGCAGGAATGTTCTCGTGGGTTTCCTGTTGGAATTCCATGAAAAGTGCTTTCATTCTTCCAGCCTTGTGCCCCTGAAGTTTCAGGGGCACGGAGTCCTGGGGGATCCCCAAGCCCGGCCCCTCCCAGCGTTTGCCCTTGGCCTCTGGGCGTCTCATTAGCGTGGACACCCTCTGGAGGAGGAACTCTTCATCACATATGCTGTTGCCACCGCCAGGATTTCTGAGCTAAGCTATGGTTGTTTCTATCCTGCTGCTATAAACTGAGTCCACCAGAAAGTGGCCAGTCCGGATCTGGGGTGAGGAGGTGGGATGGGGTAGTGGTTTGAGGGAAACACAGTGCCTGAATCTGAATCTTGGCTACCTGCTAGCTGGCCATACCATGACCCAAGACGCTCTAAGCCTCCGCTTCCTCGTCTGAATGATAATAGAATCTATGCTGCAGAGTTGCTGATGGGAATAAATGAGATAACTCTCCCATTACCTGTCCCTGAGCCCAGGACTAGGCTGTACCTGCCTCACCTTGGTGTGGTCCAGCCACTCCCTGTCTTCAGCTGAGCCAAATTTCTCCTTTTTTCTTTTTGAGATGGAGTCTCGCTCTGTCGCCCAGGCTGGAGTGCAGTGGTGTGATCTCAGCTCACTGCAACCTCCACCTCCCGTGTTCAAGCAATTCTCCCATCTCAGCCTCCTGAGTAGCTGGGACTGCAGGCGCCCGCCACCACGCCCGGCTAATTTTTGTATTTTTAGTAGAGACAGGGTTTCACCATATTGGTCAGGCTGGTCTCGAACTCCTGACCTTGTGATCCGCCCGCCTCAGCCTCCCAAAGTGCTGGGATTACAGGCATGAGCCATCATGCCCGGCCAAATCTCTCCTTTTCCTTCTCAATCCGTCATCCATCCCACAACTTCATATTCCTGGCACCCCTTCCTGCCCCCAAGAGCTCCAGCCAGGTGTCAAGGGTCACAGGCAGGTCCCCAGGAGCCCTACCCCTGACCCCACTCACGTGCAGATAACTCTCCTAGCATGCTTGGCTGGCTGAGGGGCCTTCTTTGGGCCTTGGGTGTTTGAGGAAAGTGGCCAGAGGCCCAGGCCAGAGCAAACTGCTTAGATGGCTTATCTAACTCTACTGAGGCTCAGCTCCTGGGACAGTGGCTCAGTGAGTCCCACCATGGCCCTTTGAATGAGAGCGGCCGGGAGAGCTGCCCTACCCACTTCCCCTGCCCTCCTTCATCTTTGTCTACATCTGCATCCTCATCTTCATCCTCCTTATCTTCAGCCTCGTCCTCCTCATCCGAGCCTCATCCTGCTCATCTTCAGCCTCATCCTCCTCTTCTGGGCACTTGCATATTCACTTTCTTTCTGAATTCCACAAAAGTCTAGTTAGGCAGTGGCGCATAGACCACCTTCCTCATTAGGAAAGAAACCGACACCCAGAAGGAATAATAATGCTGAAAGCACACCTTTTATGTTAATGTAAACATTTTTGGGATAGGTAAATCCAAAACCCTCACATGATGAATTGTTAAAGAAGTGTACAAAAAATTAGCTGGGCATGGTGGCGGGCACCTGTAGTCCCAGCTACTTGGGAGGCTGAGGCAGGAGAATGGCGTGAACCCGAGAGGCGGACGTTGCAGTGAGCCGAGACCACGCCACTGCACTCCAGTGTGGCCGACAGAGCGAGACTCTGTCTCAAAAAAAAAAAAAAAGGGGGGGGGAACAGTTCAGAGTCCTGCTCCCAGCCCCGCCCCTTCCACTTCCCCACCTCCCACGAGGTAACTTTGTTTACTGGTTTCTTCTGCATCTCCCCAGAATGTCCTTATGTAAAATCCGAGCAAAAATGACCATGTGGTCTGATCTCTCTGCTTCCCACCCAGATGGCAGCATGCTATACACGCTGCTGTGCTGTGCTTTTCCCCACAGAATCTCTCCCCATCAGCTCCTAGAGGGTGCCTTCATTTGTTTTATGAGCACTGACCACCTGCATTGAGCGTGGCGGTCAGGCATTGTGTGTGACGGTCGGGCATTGTGCTAAGAGATCTACGTGGATTACCTTATTTAATCATCACACAAACCTAAATGCAGAGTGTGCTAGAACCATCCCCCTTTACAGATGAGAAAACTGAGGGCTGGAGAATTTGCATAGTCCGGGTCACATGCCATCAGATTCCAGAAACAGCGCTGTCATTCTTGCTGCCACGAGGTTCTGGAAAGGCCAGCCTCTTGATTTTTTTTTCTTTTTTTTGAGATGGAGTCTTGCTCTGTCGCCCAGGCTGGAGTGCAGTGGTGCGATCTTGGCTCATTGCAACCTCCGCCTCCTGGATTCAGGCAATTCTCCCTGCCTCCGGCTCCTGAGTAGCTGGGACTACAGGTGCACACCACCATGCCTGGTTAATTTTTGTATTTTTAGTAGGGACGGGGTTTCACTATGTTGGCCAGGCTGGTCTCAAACTCCTGACCTCAGGTGATTCGTCCGCCTCAGCCTCCCAGAGTGCTGGGATTATAGGTGTGAGCCGCTGCGCCCAGCACCAGCCTCTTGATTTTTTTTCCAACCCTCACTGGGTGGTTTGAATGCAAATGCTAATTGGGTTCAGCTGAAAGCCACAGTTGAACCAGTGACCTTAGATTGTTGATTAACACACCAATTGCACCATTTTACCACTCACAAAAGGAACAGGTCAGAATGCTATCTAAGTGGTTACAGATATGTGTCATAGTTTCACCAGATTCCCAACGTGTAAAAATGGTTATCCTTATTTCCTGGATGAGTAAAAGGAGGCTCAGCAAATTTAAGCCAGGATTGCAGCTTGGGTCTTGGGACTGCCTCTTAGTGGCCCCCATGGTTGGCTTCCCTTCTCCTACCTTGGCCCCTGAGATGCGGGAGGGGTTGGCTGCCAGGGCCCCTCTCGCGGGGGAAGGTAGTGGGGTGGGCCTGGCTCCCCAGATGGCCACAGTGGAGACAGGGCAGGCACTGGGTCAGCCCAGGTGGGTGGGAGAAGGTGCCATTGAAGGCTGGTAAAAAAGGGGTGAAGTGCTGTCACTTCCTTCCCAACTTGGGCCTCCTGCAACAGAAGGGCGCCGAGCCCTTGTGGCGATCCTGAGGGCACTACAGCAGCTGCTGAAAGTGATTCTTAACCAGGAGCTGGCCCTCAGGGGCAGCCAGCATCATGGCCTCTCCCTGGTTCCCTGCTTGCCCTAGACATGTGTTAAGGGCTCTGGGTGGGCCCTAAGCCCCAGCTGCTGGCTCATCTGGCAGCCACTGTTCTTCTCTTGGCTCAGCTTGACCATCCCATCAAAGGAAAAGCATGGCATGAATGGGAAGGCTTAGGGCTTGGCAGGAGACTGACCTTGGCTCTCAGAGTGGGGAGCCCTGGAGCCAGGGAAATCTAGCAGGAGGGATGGCCTCAGGTCCTTCAGGGGTCCTGGATACGGTCAGCACTGGGGGTGCCACTGGTGCCATCCAGCTTAGGGACATATGGATTCCTTCTCTCAGACTCCTCTGCCTGCCCCCTCTGCTCTCCTTTCCAGCGTTCACAACCCTGCCTCTCCCCGCGGAATGCCTGACTCCACACCACATGCATTAAAGCTGCCATCTGTACCGCCCTCATGGTGTGCCAGGCATCCAAGTATTTTACATACACACACACACACAATGTCAGTCAATCCTTGCAATACCCAAGTGAGGAAGGTATTACTACCATTATCTCCGTTTTACAGATCAGAAAACTGAGAAGTGAAGAGTATAGGGAAGTCTGCGTGGCTCCGGCCAGGCTGCTGCTGGAGGACCTCTACCTTCTCACCCCCAAGGACATGGGCATGGTGTTGATGGAGAAAGGAAATGGCTCACTCCGGGGGGTGTCCCTCATTCTGGTCCTCTTGAGCAGTCACTCTTCCATCTGTCCTGATGGTCATGGCTGGGAATCATGGCTGGGAATGGGGTCAACAGAGAAGAGCTTCCTCCCTCTTCTTCTTCCTTTATGTCTTTTCATCTCTGCCCACTCTCTACATCTTTTCCTTTCTCCCTTCTCACTTTATGTTTCTTTTATCTGCATTTCTCTCTCTCTCTCCCCGTCTCCTCTCTCTTTCCCCCACACCCCCGCCCCCAGGGTCTTGCTCTGTCACCCAGGCTGGAATGCAGTGGCACAAACAGGCTCACTGAAGCCTCGACCTCCTGGGCTCAAGCGATCCTCTCACCTCAGCCTCCCAAGTAGCTGGGACCACAGGTGCATAGCACTACACCCAGCTAATTTTTAAAATTTTTTGTAGAGGCAGGGGTCTCACTATGTTGCCCAGGCTGGTCTCAAACTCCTGGACTCGTGCCTCGGCGTCCCATAGTGCTGGGATTACAGGTGTGAGCCACCTCTGCCAGCTGGATTCTTTCAGCCCCAGCCTAGGCAGTCGCACCTGGCCTGCACCCTCTCAGCCCTGTATCTGCCTCTGGGTGTACCCGCTGCACAGAGCATCCCAACCCGTGGACTTGGGAGATGGATGGCTATCAAGCAGCCATTTTCTCTGTGTGCGACTTCTCACACTCTTCTGTTAGCCCCACTGCTCCATCACACTGGCACCCCCAGGGCAGGGTTTGTGCCTCCCTCACCAGTTGGAGACACTACCCCTTCTCCTCAGATCCTCTCTCTGCCCCCCTCACCCTTCCTTGTTTCACTGGCTATCCTTTGGGCCCTCTGGATCTGGGGCTGTGTGCTTGGTGTGGGCCAGCACAGAGCAACAGGGGCCCAGACACACCCAGAAAGAGCTCCCTGGAGGGCAGAAAGGCAAGCCAGGGAAGAGGTCAGCCTTGCAGAGTGTTGCTTTTTTGGCTTTTCTGAAAGTTGCGAAAATGTGGCTTTGTCTGAGCGAGTTAAAACAAAAAAATCAATGGTACCTCCCACAGATGATACTGTTGCTCAGGCTCCTGGAGCCACAGTTGGTAGACAAATAACACATAAAAATAGCCTGTGTTTCCCAATCTTATGGCCTCTGGGGGCTGCAGGGGGAGAGGCCTTGGCTGAGCAGGGTTTTCTGGCCCATTGTTTGCCTGCCCTGGGTTAGGGGTGGGCGTGGGGGCTGTTCGTGGGCACAGCAATTCCCGGTCAAAGAAGGGAGGAGGGTGAGTTCTTGGCGAGGATGAGCAAGATAACGCACACTTGAATGGGGTAGCTGTTTGATGTTTATTTTTCCTTTCCCAGGCCAAGAAATTTAGCACACTCCATTTTGAACTTCAGTTTCCACCAACTTTTTCCCCCAGCCTTTTCTTTTTTCTGAAAGTGTGCAAGGAGGACTGAGATACAAGGTCTTATTTCCATCTGGCCTCTGGCCCAGGAGCCTCGACCAAAAAGTTACTTAAGTCATATTTCCATCATTTGCAGATGGCTGTGTATTTATTTCTCACCAAAGTAAAATCCCAAATGGGCTTCAGATATTTGCACGAGTCAAAACTGCTTCCTCCTGGCAGGGCTAGGAAAGGGGCTTTGATCCTTCTGAGAAAACAGAAATGTTGGCCCTGGCCCAGAGAGGATGGTGCATTTAGGGGTTCCCATAACTACCCAAGATCCAGGCCCTGATGGGGTGAAGTGAGCTCTGGGGGCTGGAGAAGCCATATCCCTGAGATGGGCACAGGGCTTTGAGAAGCAAGCTGGAGACAGCTGAGTGATGAGGGCAGAAATCAATGCAGGTGGGGTCACCGAGCAGGTGAGTGGCCCAGAGTAACCCTCTGGAGGACCAGCCACCATCTGAACTCTGTGAGCAAGCCTGTGTGTGGAGGAAAAGCCAAACTGTGGAAAATTACTTGGGGAGAAACTGCCGCTCCCAGACACAGGGCCTGCTGTTGGGCCTGTGTTGTCGGCCCCGTCTCTTTCTTTGCGCCCTCATCCCCAGGGCGCTGAGCCTGGCACAGGGAGACAGCCGTGGCCTGAGTGCCCAGGCTGGTTCATCCCTGGGTCAGGAAGGGCAGCCCAGTTTGTGCTGTGGTAGGGCCTCTCCCTGGCACCAGGGGTGCCCTCACCTCCAGGGCAGAAATCCATTCAGGACTCACTGTCCCCCTCCCCATGTCCCACCTCCTGGCTCCTAGGAGGAGAGGGTCTGAGTGAGCATGGTGAGGGCCTCTCCGAGTAGGGGAGGACCCCTTAGGGCTGAGGAGGGCAAACTGGAGGGACCACAAAGGTGAAGAGAATGGCAGCCAGCCGAATGCCAAAAACTGGCTTTCCAATCACTTCTCTCCTCTCCCCATTCCTGTTGCGGTTTGTGGATGTCCAGTGCACATCTGCATCGCTCCCTCTGCTTCTTGGCTCTCGTTTTCCTCTGTTTTGGCTTCAGGCATCCCTTGCAACAGTGCTGATCTCTGTAAAGTGAATCCTGTGTTCCTGTTGCCATGCATTTTGAGACCTCAGATGTGTTCCCATAGCTTTGGGAAGGGGCATATGAGCCCCCAGGGGAGCTGAAGGCTGCGTAGAGGAACAGACCCTATGCATGGATGAGGCGGAATACTGCGAATATCACTGTGCCACTTCCAGAACTTTCCAGGGTTCCTCAGGGCTATCCTTCCTGAAACCCTTTTCTCAGCCCCACACAACTCCTCTTAGGCTGGGGATGTCTTGCCATCACTCTCACTACAGGGCCAGAGTGGGACCCTATGCCCCAGGGTCTGAATTTCTGGGTGGAGCCCCTGGTAAATTCAGCACTACTTTGCAGGGAGCTGGGACTCAATGTCTCTGGCCTCCTGCTTGGTTCTTCCCGGTTCGCATCTCTGGCTCTCTTTGGCTCTTTTCTCTCCAGGTCAGCCAGCAGGCCCTCCTCCCTACCCCGTCCCCTCCCTCTCTCCCCACATCTTGGCTCCACGCTCTGTTTTCCTTTAGGACTTGCTTTCAAAGAGCACCAAGTTGGCCACTAGCGTCTCTGGCCTGGCCCACCTTAAAGCCTGACCCTGACTCATGGTCCTGGTCCCGACAGGACGTGGTTCACACCGGTTTAGAAAACTCTGGACGGCAAAGTCACAAACCATCTGCACCCTCTTCTTCCGCCCCAGACGTTATTTATGTGTGTGGCTTTGTGTTCGTTGCTAAATGCGGCCTGTGTGAAGGCTGTTAATTAACCCTTTGAGAAATGCGCTTCCCATCGGGGCAGGGACAGGAACAAGGAGCATGCTTCTAATCACCGAAGATTTATCCTGCTTCAGACGAGGCGTTTAATGAAGGCAGGGGAAGGGGCTGGAGGAGATGCCCTTCGAAGCGGTTTAAAGAAAGCCCGTTTTGTGCACGCAGATTGTCAGAAGGGCAGGAAATTCTAAATCAACTGTGCTCCTGGGCCTCAGTGAGGGGACAGGGGGTGCATACAGGGAGGGGGAGGGGGCCTGTGGGGTCGGGGGAGGTCTAGGGGCACAGGCCGGCTATCAGGAAGCAGGGCCAGGCAGCTCTCCTGGGATGAGCTGTGTAGTCACTCAACTCTTTGGCCGTCTGTAAAATGGGACCGCGTCTCGCCTGCCTCCTCCCTCCAGGGCATCCATGGAGGGGACTGTAGAACAGAGTTGGAGGAGCCGCTTATAATACAAACAGTCATCAAAGAGTGACCATGCTGTGGGTGCCTTGGGAGGTGGGTGGGGGTGACAAAGTGAAAAGAGGGACTTTCTTTCCCAGTGAGGGAGGGTGAGCTCTGGGGTCAGGGTGTTCATAAGCTTTCCAGGGGGCCCTCTAGTTCCTCACCTGTAAAGTGAGAGGCATTCTGGAATCTTCACAGCTGGCTGTAGGATTATGGGTTTCCTGACACTGAAAACAACCTTTCTTCCGAAAAAGGAGAAATTCAGTTTTGGGTTTCACTCCCCCTTGGTTTCCCAGCCCAAGGCGCATCACGGTTCCCACCCTTCCCAGATGCACTGAGGGTGGTACTGGCTGGAGGGGTTGGGGGAGGAGGGCAAGCGGGAAGTCCCAGGACATCCCAGCTGGGCGTGGGGGCTGAGGGACGGAGTGGGCCACAGAAGCCCGCTGATATTTATAACTGCGACTCTTTACATTCTGTATAAAGGCATGCCTAAAAAGCACCATTGAGGGAGGGCTCAGACGCCTGCCCGCACGCAGCCAAGCTTCCTGTCAAAGCCGAATGAGCTCAGAAAACAAAAAAATGTATTCACAGCTCTGAGTCTTCCCCGCTTCCCAGGCTTATTTCGTTTGAAAATACTCAGAGTTGGAGGGAGAAAAGGTAGAGGAAACAGAGTCCAGCCTGACTCCCTAGGGACCATGTATCTGCTGCAAGGTTGTGTAATCTCTCAGAGCCACACATTTGCCGACTTGTAAGGTGGTTGTGAGGAGGAGGTGAGAAGATAGGTAGGAAGAACAAGGTCAGCAGGAGATGCACGAGCGGGCTCCCACTCCATCCCCCTCTTCCCTCCTCCCTCCCTGTCCTCCATCCCTCGCTTCCACCCCTTTCTTTCCTCTCCCCCAACCAGTCTCTCCTGAGGTCTGCCATATCACCCTCTCTGCTGCATCCCTAAGATGCCCAGATAAAACCAACCTAATATCTTTCAATGATCTGCCCCAGACAGGCCCACACAATAATGAACCCTATGATGGACAGAACCCAGATATCCCTATTTCGGCCTGCCGCATAGACAGTGGAAGTGTGCGTGTTTCAAGTTTGTACTTAGTTGGCTGTGCCTTAGCAAGCTTCCAGGGATTCCCATGCAAGCTGAAGTTTGAGGACCATTGTACTGTAACATGCAAATGCTCCTGAAGCCTTCAGGGAATTCATCCAGAGGTGAGGATTGGGGAGGGCTGATGTTTCCCATTTGGAAGTAGCTCCTGGGGAGCCCTTTGCTAGGAAGAGCACCTGCTTCTGGCCACTTCCTCCCTCTCTGAAGCTTCCCCCAGTGCCTCTTCCCAGGGACCCAGGAAGCCTGCTTTCCACTCCAGGAGTCAGGATGGAAGCTGCCTCTGGGGTGTCCACACCTGTACTGGGTGTCAGGCTCCTGGCTCCCCTCATGGCGAGTCCACCTCATCCGTGGTGAGGTGGGGAGAGGAGTGAGAGGATGTCTCCAGTGTTTCTCAATCACAGCCCCCTGCCCCAGCTCCCCACCCCAGGAGAGTAAAGCTACTAGTGTCCCTGGCACCTGGTCTTTCCTAGCCAGGGCATGCGTCTCGGTAGAACTTTCTGTATTGACGGAGATGTTCTGTATCCGTGCTATTCAATACAGTGGCCATGAGCCACCTGTCGCTACCTACTGAGTACTTGAAATGTGACTGGAGGCCAGGCTCAGTGGCTCACACGTGTAATCCCCGCACTTTGGGAGGCCAAGGGGAGTGGATCACTTGAGGTCAGGAGTTCAAGACCAGCCTGGCCAACATGGTGAAACCCAGTCTCTACTAAAAATACCAAAAAAATTAGCCAGGTGTGGCAGCATGTGCCTGTAATCCCAGCTACTCAGGAGGCTGAGGTGGGAAAATCGCTTGAACCCGGGAGGCAGACGTTGCAATGAGCCGAGATTGTGCCACTGCACTCCAGCCTGGGTGACAGAGCAAGACTCCATCTAAAAAAAAAAAAAAAAAAAAAAAAAAGTGACTGGAGTGACTGAGGAACTGAAATATGAATTTTCTTTCCTTTAAATTCCTTTAAATTTAAATGGCTATGAGAGGCTTGAGGCCACCATATTGGACAGTGAAGTTCTAGGAGCTCCTTCGATGCCTTGGCCTCTGAGGCCTTCCTTCCCGACATCCTTGGCATCTGCTCCAGCCCTGTGGAGTCCTGTCCCATTACATAGAGGGGAAGCTGAGGCCTAAGAGAGGGGGTACTCTGCCATGGATAGGAAGCGAGGGTAGGACTGGACCCCACCCCCTCCTCTGCCTTCCAGCCCAGGCCTCTGGCCAGCAGCCCCATTCGACCCTGGCCTCTGGCCGAGGTGTGGGAAGTTGAATGTGATGAAACCCAAGACCCCTTGGCTGGCACCCAGCTGTGGTTTTGCACTTGAGCTGCAGAGCTGGGTGGAGGCGGCTGGAGAGGAGTGTCAGAGGATGGGAATTCGGGTGGCCTGCCCAGCAGGCCCTGTGAGCAGGAGCTGTTCCCAAGGGGGTTTCCAGGCCAAGCAGGCTTCCAGGTTCTGTTGGTGTCTCCTGGCAGCGGAGGGCCCTGAGTGACCCAGATTCTCCTAGATGCCCCACTGTGGAGAGGGACAGAGAGGGGACCATGGAGGTGAATGAGCATGTGTAGCTGTGTGTAGTCAGTGAGTGGAAGTGGGGAGGGCAATAGCACTGGCTTTTCTAGGGAGGAAACCAGCCAGCTTGCTCCACCCTCCCCACCATCACCACCAGCTGCATAATTTACAGGGCCCAGTGCAAAATGAAAATGCAAGATCCCTTGTTCAAAAATTATTAAGGATTTCACATAACATGGGAGCATTAATCCAAGTTGTGGGGACTTTCTGACAGCAAGGCCCTGTGCAGCTGCCTTGGTCACCAACCTGTGAAGCTGGCCCTGCCATGAGCGCCTTCATCCTTTGAGTCTCAAAAGAACAGAGGATGGCCAGGCTTACTTTGGGAGGCTAAGGCGGGAGGATCACTTGAGGCCAGGAGTTTGAGGCCAGCCTGGGAAGCATAGCAAGACTCCGTCTCTACAAAAAATTTAAAAATTAGCATGGCATGGCGGCATATATACCTGTAGTCCCAGCTAATCAAAAGGCTGAGACAGGACAGCTTGAGCCCAGGAGTTTGAGGTTTCAGTGAGCTATGATTGCAAAACCCTATCTTTGGGCCAGACATAGGCAAAAGCTGGCCAATTCCTCCACCCCCAGCCCCATCATGGCTTCTGGAGACTTACGAAAATGGTTCCAAGTCTCCTCCAAGACACATATTCCATCCCCCCGAGTCTTCTTCTAGTCTGGCTAAATGGCCTTAGGCTGGAGAAGGGAGATGGTTCAGCATATGCCCTGATCCCTGCCCCAGTCAAGGAGGGGGACAGCCAGGGAATGATAGCAATGCATTTATCCAGCGTTTCCTGCGTGCCAGGCGCCTTGCTAAGGATCTCACCTGTATTATCTCATTCGATTTTCCTAACACTATGAGGCAGATAGTTTTGTTTGCTTCCTTTTGTTTGCACGGAAGGAAGGGCTTTCTGGGGTAAGAACAATGTTCCACGTCTTGACTGTGTGGTTATTACATGGGGGTATCCATTTGTCAAAATTCATCAAGCTGGGCACATAAAATCTGTGCATTTGTTGTATGTAAATTATCCCTCAATAACTTTATTGAGGTGCATTTATTAAAGAAACGTATTTTTTAAAGTAAGGCACAGGAGACTTTGAGAACTTGGCCAAGGTCAAATTCCTAAAGGATAGAGCTGGAATTTTAACTTGGGTACTCAAGAGTGGTGCCATGCCTGTGCAAAGACCCGGATCGAGGGGTCAGAAGGATAAGATCTCAGATGTAGTGGTTTCTTGTTCTTGAGCAAATTACAGGGCCTCTCTGAGCCTCGGGTTTCTCATCTGTAAAATGGGAACAAAGATAGTACCTGTGTTACAGGGTCATGGTTTAGTGCTGTCAGGGACATGTTGGAAGGGGGAGGACCCTGGGGAGCTGTACAGTGTGCTGCTTATGTCCTGCTGTTCAACCTGTAGGCAGGGGGCAAAGCTAAGGGGCAGCCTCCCATGTGGCCGCCCTCTTCTTCACCCTTATCAGCCCCCGCAGCTCCTTCAACCCAGGGCCCTGCCCTATTACGAGGAAGCAGGTAGCATAGTAGGTCATGGCTGGTGCAGGACCCAGGGCAGCAGGGGTGGCATACAAGGTTTGGGGTCCTGCCATGTGGCGGGGGGGGGTGGGGGGGGGAGTCACTGATGAGCTTCTATAAGGGGGAATTGATTTGGGATTTAGAAATGTGGAGGATTGCGGCCAGGTGCGGTGGCTCGCACCTGTAATCCCAGCACTTTGGGAGGCCAAGGTGGACGGATCACCTGAGGTCAGGAGTTCAAGACCAGCCTGACCAACATGGAGAAACCCCATCTCTACTAAAAATACAAAATTAGCTGGACGTGGTGGCACATGCCTGTAATCCCAGCTACTCAGGAGGCTGAGGCAGGAGAATCGCTTGAACCCAGTAGGCGGAGGTTGCGGTGAGCCAAGATCGCACCATTGCACTCAGGCCTGGGCAACAAGAGTGAAACTCTGTGCCTTAAAAAAGAAAAAAAAAATAGAAATGTGGAGAATGGGGCTGGGCATTGTGGCTCATGCCTGTAATCCCGACACTTTGGGAGGCCGAGGTGGGCCAATCACTTGAGGTCAGGAATTCGAGACCAGCCTGGCCAACATGGTGAAACCCTGTCTCTACTAAAGATACAAAAATTAGCTGGGCATGATGGTGCACACCTGTAGTCCCAGCTACTCAGGAGGCTGAGGCATGAGAATCTTTTGAACCTGGGAGGCGGAGGTTGCAGTGAGCCAAGATTGTGCCACTGCACTCCAGCCTGGGTGACAGAGCAAGACTCAGTCTCAAAAAAAAAAAAAAAAAAAAAATGTGGAGAATAGGAGAAGATACCTGGAGGGAGGGTGCTAAAGACCTTGTCTTTCTTAGAAGGAGGATGAAGTTTGCTGTAAACAGAAAAAAAATATCAACTTAAGAATGTCTTGGCCAGGCACAGTGGACTCACACCTGTAATCCCAGGTGTGAGGAGGGAGAGGCAGGAGAATTGCTCAAGGCTAAGAGTTTGAGACCAGCTTGGGCAACATAGCAAGACCCCATCTCTTAAAAAAAAAAAGAAAAAGAAAAAGAATGTCTTAAAAATTAAGGGTCTCCACTAAAAGAATATAAATAGAAAGTGTTACTTCTGCCCCCTGACCGCACCTCGTCCACGTGACCTCCCAATACTGGGCTGGGCTGTGTTTATTTATTTACCTGTGGGCTCCTCTCCACCCTGAGGAGTTTAAGTTGTGTTTATCACTTTGGTCTCCCCACCCCTGCCCAGGGCCTGACACATACTAGGGCCTGAATAAATGCTGGTAGGTGAAGGGCTTAGAATTGGGGTTAGACTTTTCTACCCCAAAGACTTAGGCTCAAACTCTACCAAACTACCCCAGGGGTGGGCCTGACCCATTGCTCAGGTGGGAAAGTGGCTCTGGCTTCTGGCCTCTTCCTGACATAGGCCAGCTCCAGCAGCTATACTCCTCTAAGTTCTGTTTTTGGGAAAATTATGTTGTTTTTATCCCCAAGGAGCCACCTTGGTCCCCAAATCCTGATAGTACCTCCATCAGTAGAGTAACACATTTCATGGATGAGAAAGTCAAGCCTCAGAGAGGTTAAGAGACTTCCCCATGGACAACAAAGCAAGGTATTGACAGAGCCAGCCCAAGAACTCAGACCTCCTGGCCCCAGTCCAGCTCCACTACACACCCCATTGCCACTAATGCTGTCTCAGCCCCCAACCCCTAACACCCACCTCGGTAATGGAGCTGGGCTGGGTGGAGTTGGCTGCTGAGAGGCTGGAGGCTTGGCTTAGGCCAGTGGCTCCTGGAAATTGGGCCGTTTTCCTGGGGCGGAAATGAGAAGCAGATGTGGCTCAGAGCTGGAGTGCAGACTCATGCCGTGTCAGGGGGCTCAGGTTACATGGGAGGACACATGACCGAGGTTCCAAAAACAGCCTGAAACCCCCAAAGCCTACAATGGGATCCAGCCTGGGCCTGGGGAGCTCAGTCCCGCCCTGATCACCTCCTGATAGCGCCCGAGCGCCTCGAGGAGAGGGTGAAATGGAAGGCGATGGGGTGAGCGAGGCCCCGGGCCACTGTGGCTTCTCGCTCCAGCTCTGTGTGTAGGGTTGTTTGAGCCCCTGCACCAAGTCCCTGTCTTTAGAAAGACACCTAGGAAGGGCAAGACACCTTCTATTGGGGTTACCAGCAGCTTCCCTGCCCAGGGCTGGCTTGATGCCTATGCCCAGGCCACCAGAACACCTTTTGCAGTCAGGTTGCACCACTTTGCTTCAAATCTTTGGGGTGAGGGATTGATCCTGCTCACAGTTCATGCTTCTCTCGGAAACCATCAAGTTTTATGCAGTATTCAGGCAGCCTCTCTGGAGTGGAGATGAATATCAACCACTTCCAAACTGGCAGAGGGAACTGGACCCAAGGGGAAAGGGGTGAGGCAGGATTCTGGAGAGAGTGAGGTCCTGGCACAGGTGAGGAGTCCAGGAACAATCTGGCAATAATATCACTTGGCAGAGGGATCCTCTGATCTGCACAGCCCATAAGTCTCTCCCTTGACCAATGGAGCAGGCCCCATTCATTTATTTATTCAATAGATGGTTCTTGCATACCCACTGTGGCCAAGGCAGTGGCTAAGCCCTGAGGATCCAGAGGTGACTGAGCATGAACTCAGTCTCCAGGACCTCCCCAACTGCCGAGGGAGCCCCCACAAAAACCAATGAACAGCTTTAGTGGATGGATCGATTGCTTGAACATTAAGTGCACACTGTGTACCAGCACCCTGCTAGGCTCATAGGAGCCACCGGTGAACAGAATAGGTAAAGACCCTGCCCTAGTGAAGCTGACACTTTTTGCAAGGGAGATGGAGTATAAAAAAAATTAAAAATTGGTTAAATAATATGTTTAGAAGGTGACGCATGCTATGGAAAGAAAGAAAAGTGGGGCAGGGGGAGGAGGGCCAGGAAGTAGGGGCTGGTTGCAGTGGTGTCCAGGGCAGGGAGGGTGGGCTTCCCTGAGAAGGCAAGACTGCAGCAAAGACAGTCCCTGGCGAGGGAGATGAGCATGGTGTCTGGGGACGTGCCAAGGCCCAGAGAGAGGAGGGGCCTGCAGTGTTCAGGGCTTCAAGGAGGCTGGTGCAAGCTGGGGTGGAGAGAGAATGGAGGGTAGAAGTGAAGGTCCAAAGGGAAGGGGGACCAGAGAGGGAGGAGTCGGAGGCCACTGTGCAGTTTTAGCTTTGACCGTGAGTGAAATGGGAGGTGCTGGAGGGTTGTGAGCAGAGAGATGTGTATTGACTGGCATTTTCAAAGGACCATTTGGGCTGTTGGGTCCACAGCCGACTGGAAGGGGCAGGGGGCAAGGGCAAGGGGCAGTCAGGAGGCGACTTTGACAGTCCAGACCAGAGGTGAGGGTGCTGCAGCCAGGCAGAGGATGGGAGAATTGCCTTGGGAGAAACTTGAATATGGTTCCAGGGTAACTTGGAGAAGGGAATGATAAACTCTGACTAAGGATGCTTTCCCTAGGGAGGTGACTCAAGCAGGATCTTGAAAAATGAGTTCAGCAGGACTGCAAGGAGCTACAGCATTCCAACCCTGTGTGTGACAGGGGCCGAAGCCAGAGGGTGCCAGGCCCAGGAGGGGAACCCTGCAATGCTCACCTCGGCTGCAGCTGGGTGCGGGGCACTTGGGCCAGGCCAGGGAAGGATGGGGCTTACTGCTCTGCCCAAGGGTGTGATCCTGTGGGCGCTGGGGAGTTGGTGACAGGTTTTTCAACGTGAGGCTGCAAATCCATGAGACCCACTTTCCAATCAAGATAAGTCCCCCTGTTGCCGTGAGGGGGTTGGAGGCAGGTAGAAACAGGAGGACCAGGTGGGAAGAAGAAGATAAGCCCCTGCCCATCGCAGTGTTAGAGAGAGGGAGGGGTAGTTAGAATAGAGGGCCAGAGGATGAGGGATTGATGGAGAGAGGCCTGTCTCTGTCCTGGGGAAGAGGATGAGTCAGTTTGGGATGGCTGCATTGGAGATGCCTTTGGGAAATCAGACAGAGTCCTGGAGCAGCTGACCAAGGTGTCTGGCGCTCAGCAAAGGAGACTGAGCCCAGATACCCATCTAAGAGCCTGCAGGGACAGGAGGCAGTAGAAGCTATAGAAGTCCAGCTGGGCGCAGTGGCTCATGCCTATAATCCCAGCACTTAGGGAGGCCAAGGTGGGCAGATCACAAGGTCAGGAATTCAAGACCATCCTGGCTAACACGGTGAAACCCATTTCTACTAGAAATACAAAAATTAGCCGGGCGTGGTGGCGTACACCTGTAGTCCCAGATACTCAGGAGGCTGAGGCAGGATAATCACTTGAACCCGGGAGGTGGAGATTGCAGTGAGCCAAGATTGCGCCACTGCACTCCAGCCTGTGCAACAGAGCAAGACTCTATCTATCTATCTCAAAAAAAAAAAAAAAAAAAGAAGTAGTCCACCAGCCAGGGGCATCTCCAGTTGCTGATTTTTTTTTTATCCTGAGGAGGATCTGATTAGAGGTGGCGCTCCCTCCTCTTTGCCTCACTCCCAGGGCCTTTGAGAGAAGGGGTGAGAACAATCATCTTGAGAGTAAACAAGGGATCCCCCTGGAGGCTCCAGGAGCAGGTGGGTCCCCTTGGATGATACTGAGAAGTCACAGGCAAGGGTTCCCTGAGCAGGCCCCAGTTCAGCCCTAGGGTGTTTGTGGTGTGTCTCTAGTGTGTTTGGGGTCTTGGAATCAGCTTGTCTCTGGGTCTCTGCATGCAAGTGTGTGTGCTTCGGGTATGCATGTGTTATAGAAATAGCACTTATAAAATAGCAAAGGGATGTATTTTCACTTTCTATAATTCTCGTTCTCCTGTAGCCCTTCAGGGTGAAGGCTAAGGTGACGTTCATTGCCCGGGGAAGTAAGTGTAGGGTTGAATCGAAGCAAGTCATCCAGGACGGATGAGGTAGGACGGGATGGAGAGATACAGCTACTGAACAGCAGGACTCAAGGAAGAGAGAAGGTGAGAAGCAAAAAGCTCTGTCCCTCACCCCAGTGGACACTCAGAGGGCTGTGTGGGAGACACCCCAGCCACATTTGCAGCTAAATTTCACCGCACAAGGTAGGTGGAATTTGACTCTCAGATGACAGCTGTGGGGAATTTCAGTGAACTCCTTTAAGAAAGCAGTGATTGAGGAAGGTGTAACACATTATGGCGCTGCCCAGGAGGTAGTTTAGAAATGTCTAAAGAAGCAGTCTAGGAAGTGGCTCTCGGAACTCTGCCTCTTCTGGAGGGGTAGAATGCAGCCAGGCGGTCCTAGGTCCCAGGGAAAGGGTAGAAATCAAGGCCACAGGCCAGGTGTGGTGACTCACACCTGTAATCCCAGAACTTTGGGAGGCCGAGGCAGGTGGATCACCTGAGGTCGGGAGCTTGAGACGAGCCTAACCAACATGGAGAAGCCCCGTCTCTACTAAAAATACAAAATTAGCCAGGCATGGTGGCACATGCCTGTAATCCCAGCTACTTGGGAGGCTGAGGCAGGAGAATCACTTGAACCCGGGAGGCGGAGGTTGTGATGAGCTGAGATCACGCCATTGTACTCCAGCCTGGGCAAAAAGAGCAAAACTCTGTCTCAAAGAAAAAAAAAAAAAAAGAGAAATCAAGAACACAGAGGTAGGATCTGCACCACCAGCCTTGTGCGGGGACCACTCACTTCATCAGTACCCCTCTCCATCCCCAACCATCACCAATGCCACCAGGGATCCCAGGGACCAGGCCCGACCAGCCCTGTCCCATTGTGTGTGGGGAAGGTATGTGGGAAGAATGCAGAGAACTCCACACCGACCTTGAACTCCTCTTCCCACCACCATGAGGTCTGTAAATGTCTCCCTGCACCAGGAAGAGAGACATCTGGCTAGCAGAAGAGGGAATAGGGAGAAAACGATGAGTATTTTGCTGAAAGGAGATTTGCTTGAACATGCAGAAATAGAGAAACCTGTAGTGGGCAAGTTAAAGATTTCTTTTCTTTCTTTCTGTTTTGTTTCTTTCTTTTCTTTCTGTTTTGTTTCTTTTCTTTCTGTTTTGTTTCTTTTCTTTTTGTTTTGTTTTTGTCGTTCATTCATTTATTGCCTGTCAACAGCAGGAAGTATCTCATTAGATCTAGATGAGAAGAGTACAAGAAAAATTAAGAAAGACGCAGGTTTTACTCACTTGTGTGAGTCGTAGTGTGTGATTTTCAACTCCACCACATACATGTCTGCACAAGCTTGTCTGGCCAGCTTTGTACTTTCAATTCCACTTGTGAGACTTTTCTTTGAGACTTGTTGTGTGCTTTGCTTTGGCCAGGAGTTGAGAATCATAAAATCACCAAATTCTGTATTATCTATTGTAGCATAATAAATTACTCCAAAACATATCTTCTAAAAACAATATACTTGTTTTATCTCATAGTCTTTCTGTGGGCCAGGCATTGGTAAACAGAGTAGTTCCAGCTCAGGGTCTGTCGTGAGATTGCAGTTGAGATGACAGCCAAGGGTGCAGTTATCTGAAGGCTCGACTGGGGCTGGAGGCTCTGAATCCAAGACAGGCCTGCCAGGTTGTTCTTCCTGTTGACAGGAGGCCCCTGTTTCTCACCACATGGATCTCTCCACAGAACTGCTTGACTGTCCTCACGGCATGGCAGGTGTCTTCCTCCAGAATAAGTTATCTGAAAGAGCAAGACAGAAGCCTCAGTGTCTTTTATGACAACCTAGCATTGAAAGCCACACCTAAGGGCCAGCTGTGGTGGTTCACACCTTTAGTCCTAGCACTTTGGGAGGCGGAGGCTGAGGCAGGCAGATCACCTGAGGTCAGGAGTTTGAAACCAGCCTGGTCAGCATGGGGAAACCCCATCTCTACTAAAAATACAAAAATTGGCCAGGCGCCGTGCCTCACGTCTGTAATCCCAGCACTTTGGGAGGCCAAGGTGGGTGGATCACCTGAGGTCAGGAGTCCTAGACCAGCCTGGCCAACACGGTGAAACCCCACCTCTACTAAAAATACAAAAATTAGCTGGGCGTGGTGGCACTTGCCTGTAATCACAGCTACTCAGAAGGCTGCGTAGGAGAATCGCTTGAACCCGGGAGGTGGAGGTTGCAGTGAGCTGAGATTGTGTCACCGCACTCCAGCCTGGGTGGCAAGAGTGAAACTCCTTCTCAAAAAAAAAAAAAAAAAAAAATACAAAAATTAGCTGGGCATGGTGGTGCACACCTATAGTCCCAACTACTCGGGAGGCTGAGGCAGGAGAATCACTTGACCCCAGGATGTGGAGGTTGCAGTGAGCTGAGATTGTGCCACTGTACTCCAGCCTGGGTGACAGAGTGAGACTCTGTCTCAAAAAAAAAAAAAAAAAAAAAAGCCACACCTCCCCATGTGGTCCAGGCTTTCCAAAAGCTTATGGTATTGCAGGGTAGATGTAAAGTCCCTAGTGCAAAACAAGATGTCTGAGGTCCAAGCAAAGTGATTTGGGCTTTCTGAGGACAGAGTGAGCTACCCCAGTCAGGCAGCCAGGGAGGCTTCTGTGAGTGGGCAGAAGAGCCCCCGCCCCCCATCCTGCCCTGAGTGGCTCTTCCCTGGAGAAGGAGACTTGGTAACTGTAAACTGGTCAGATGGGGAAGCCTTTGGAGGCCTGGCCAAGTGAGGGGGCTGGTTTCTGTCTGCTGGGTGACAGGGGAGTGTGGCGTGGCTACAGAGAGGCTGCTAGGGAGCTCCCAGAGGGAAGGCAAGGTAGGGTCCCGGAGGGACTTAGAAGTGAGGCAGGAAGGGAGAGACAGGGCTCAGAGAGGGAGAGGGAAGGCAAGAAATCGAGGGCTGGACCAGTCTTCTACTTGGTCAGCATGCCATTTTTCTGGGCTGTCATCCCTGACCACAGATTCATTCATTCATTCATTCCTGTATGCCTGTCAGGTGCTGGGGTTACAGAGACAAAGGCCAGGTCCCTGTCCTCAGAGGTCACAGTTGAGTAAGGGATGATACCCAGTACAGGGGTGACATCTGTGAAGTGTGATGGGTGCATGGGGAGCATACATTGCTGGGAGAGGGCTGGGCTGGTCAGAAGGTGAGGCCTGGGCTGCTTCTTGCAGAGGTATGGCAGGCACGAGGTATCCCTGGTATGAGGTACCATCAGGCACAGGTGGGAGAGTGCTGAGAGATGGAGCTGGGAGGGCCAGAAGAAGCGTGGCTCTGCTAGTTGGGTGGGGTGGTTTGGATTTCTTCCAGAAGACAACAGAGAGATTATGCAGGAATTTAAGCAGTGGTGTGGAGGGATCAGCTCCATGGTTTAGAAAGATTAGCTGGGCAGTAGAGAGAAGGTTCTAGAAAGGGTGAGTCCAGGAGGAGACAGCAGTAACCCAGGCTATGCATGCAAAAAGTAGGGATAGGAAGAGGTGAAAAAGTTCCAGAAGTCTTTGGAAGGCCTGGCAGCCTCCAGTCATGCCTACAGGCTGAACCCAGCCCAGCTCATCTCAGATAAAGCATCTAATTCAAGTCCTACACGGAGCCCAGGCCTCTGCTCTGAAAAGTCTCTTGACCCCAGCATTCCAGCTCGGGACGGGCCCAGCGAATCCCAACCCCAATCTGCCGTCCTCATCCCAGAGGAATGCTCAGCCTACTGGACCTTGGCCTTTCTCTGGGGGACGGTGAGGCCTGTGACGGGGGAAGCCCTGGGGCGGAACTGGCAGTCGTGGGGAGGCCCCCCAGGACGCTGTGGCCACGGGGGCGGCTGGAGGAGAGGAGGCAGGGGGCTGGGGGAGTGAGCCAGTAGGGAGCCGGGCAGCACACTGGCCACCTGAGAGGTGTGATGGGGGAGACAAGAGGCGGTGATTCCTGGGGTGGGAGTTACCCCCTCCCCCAATTCTCAAACCCCCGACAGGAGTGAGCTGCGCTGCCCACTCCCCGCAGCAGGTGGCGCCGTCTTGCTGGGATTGGACTTGCGGGCCTGGCTGGGAAGCGCTCTGTGGAGAGGGACGCGACTGGAGCGGCTGGGGGGCAGCCGTCCTGCGCCTGGGACCCTCACGGGGCCTCCCTGCTCCAGTCACTCCCGCCCGCCTGCCAGCCTGTCCCCAGCTCTCCTGCGTCTCCACTCTGTCCCTGTTGCCCTTCCTGTCTTCCTCCAGCCCTCCAGTCCTGCTTTCGGCTGGGGTCCCCGGACAGGGTCTGGTCAGCTGGTTCACTCCGAAGCATCCCTACCGGATAAGGGAACTCTCAGCCCAGCCCAGCGGGCGTTTGGCCATGGCGTGGCACCGTGGGGGGCCTCTCTAAGCAGCCCCGACTCCCAGGGTTTGCCTACATTCTATGCCCTCAGGAGGTGTTCAGTGCCCCGAGCTGGGGCTTGGGGAGGAGGGGTTCCTAGGAACATATATATGAGAAAGTGTCTCACTCTGTCACCCAGGCTGGAGTGTAGTGGCGCGATCACGGCTCACTACAGCCTTCACCTCCCAGGCCCAAGCGATTCTCCTACTCTGTCTCTACAAAAAATACGAAATTACAAAACATACAAAAAAAAAAAAAAGAAAAAAAAACTCACAAAAATTAGCCGGCCGTTAGTGGCGCATGCCTGTAGTCCCAGCTACTCCGGAGGCTGAGGTGGGAGGATCACTTGCGCCCAGGAGGTGGAGGTTGCAGTGAGCCGAGATTTGCCCACTGCACTCCAGCCTGGGTGATGGAGTGAGACCTTGTCTCAAAAAAAAAAAAAAAAAAAAAAAATCTGTAACCCAGGCTGTGCATGCAGAGAAGTAGGGACAGGAAGAGGTGAACAAGTTCCAGAAGTCTTTGGAAGGCCTGGCAGGAAAAGAAAAAAAAGGAAGGAAGGAAGGAGAGAAGGAAGGAAGGGAAGAAAGGAAAAGAGGAACGGAAAGGAGGAAAGGAAGGAAGGAAAGAAAGAAACGGGGTCTTACCATGTTGCCCAGGCTGGTCTTGAACTCCTAGGCTCAAACGATCCTCTTGCCTCAGACTCCCAAAGTATTAGCATTACAGGCATAAGCCATGAGCCCAGCTCCTAGGAATCTTTGCTATGGCAAGGGGGCTTACTAATGAATGACAAAATAAATTACAACAGCTCTTGGGGAACATGCCTAGCACCTCTCAATCTCCCATCTTGCGTCAAGAGGGAAACCTGAGGGGCCCAGGGGACTCCCACTGGGCCTCCCGGCCCTGCTGGTTCCCCTTCTCTCCCCACTTCTTCTTGGGGCTGGGTTCCACACTTGTCACAAAGGAGGGGAGTGTCCCCCTTGCCAGTGGACAGATCTGTGTGGGCTGGTGATGGCAGAGCTGGCCTAGGTAGGGCACTGAGTTGGGGGTGGCTGGTGGGGGTAGTGGGGCGTGGAAACAGGATGTCCACCGCAGGCCCCTCTCTGAAGGAGCTGGTGAGGGCTGGAGCGCTCAGGAGGGAAACTTCCATAGTTTCTAGGGTAGAGTCCTAGGGGCAGAGGGAAGGAAAGGGTCTGGCTGGTGTGAGTGGTGGCTGATCCAGAGAGGCTGTCGCCCAGCCCAGGACCTGTGGCTCCCAGCCTGCCCTTCTCCCCAGGTCCTGCACTCCCTAAGGACAGCTGCCATCATTTGTAGACTCTAAACTGGTGTCATTGCTTTGGTAAGAATGAGGATATTTATGAGACAACAGAGCAGAATATTTGAGAGAAGGGCTGTCTGGTAGCACAGAGGTGTCTGTTCCCCTGGGACACCTGAACTCCGATACTACCTGCCCCCAAGTTGTCACTCATTTCCTCCCCTCAGCTGGGGTGGGTGGGAGGTTGTGTGGGTCCCTACATCTCAGTTCGATTTCAGCCTGAAATAAAAAGCCAACTTGTCACCCTTAGTCTTCCTAGGGATGGGATGCCTTCCTTGGAAAGAGCTTCTGGTTCTGCTTGAACTTTTAGGTGGTCAGTGTAGCATAGATGGTAGTGAGTTTATGTTGACTGTGAACTTTTGTTTCAAAGCACACCTGGGCAGAGACAGGTGGGTTGATGCCGAGAAGGCTGAGAGGGAGGAAGTGTGAGCCAAGGGAAGAGATGAACGTGTGTCTGAGAAGGGGGGGACCAGGGCAGCCCGGCAAGAAGAGGCCGTCACTGGCAGCCGCTCTGTCACTGCTGGGGAAAGAATGCCCAGGGCGCTCTGGCAGTGAGTGTGGGGCTGCCACAGGGAGGAAGGGCTGGGAGGCTGTGGGGAATGCACTTAAGGCTGGATCAGGAGGCAGTCAGAAACGTCCAAAACCTGGGGGCATGCTGGTGTGGGGGAGTGGTGGGCGGGGAGAGGAAGGGATGATGATGAGTTCTCAGACATCTTGGGCAGCCAGTTGGAGGGAAGCTGGGCTGGCAAGGCTGACTTTGGGAACTGCTTTGTATCTGGAATTTTCTGACCAGTGTAGAAGTTGTCTCCTGAGTTGCTGTTCTGTAAGAATGTATTATATAACTTCTTGCCTAATTTGTGGCTGAGGGTGGCATTGCTGATAAACCTACTAACATGGCCCCTTGAGCATGATAGGGGTAGGGAGTTGAGGCTCCCAGCCCACAAGGAGCTTCCCATGCAGCTGGTGAGGCAGCGCAAGTGCTCAATGAGATGCGAAGCTGCAGAGAAGCGTCCATGTGGGAGGTGCCAAGAGGATGGGATCAGGGAGGGCTCAAAGTGGACTTCTTGGAGGAGGAAGGAGATTCTCAGATGGAGAAAAAGGACAGGTTTCCAAGATTATGAGAACACTGTAAGCAAAGGCACCAAGGCGTGGAAAGTTTGGGGGATGGGGAGAGATGAAAGGACACTAAGCTTTGCATACAGAAGACACTCAAAGTAAGGAAGGAAGGGTAGGAGAGTGGGAAGAAGGAAGAGGGAGCTGAGAGCTGGTCTCAAAGGGATGCGGGCAGGTCTCTGGTTTGACCACCCCCCATGAGCCAAGTTACAAAAGCACCCTAGCTTGAGGAGCCCCACAGTGGACCCTCAGCTCACCAGCCTCTGTCTTAGGCTTACTCACAAACATGAAGCTGGAGCTAAGAAACAGGCATGTGACTGCCTGCCCACCCTTGTTTGTCCTCCTCTAGGGCCTAGTGTCACCAGTGCCTTGCTGGGTAGCAGCTGCTCTAGTTCCCTGATGGAGATGGGGCTGTTTGTCACTCTGGGGTGACTGAGGGGCCAGTAACCCTCCACCAAGATGGCAGCACAGCCAGACAGGAGGGCTTTTGTCTCATCTTGATCCTCCTGGGAGGCCTGGCCATGGCCCGAGTTTGCTCAGTGTTAATTATTGACCAGGTACCCAGGGACAGGGCCCCGCTGTCCAGCTGGATGGAGGGCACATGGGTCTGGGGCCTGGGCCTCCCAGTGGATGGAGGGCACATGGGTCTGGGGCCTGGGCCTCCCAGGGCATCAGGTGGGGCTCACCTGGGGCCAGGGGAATGGAGGGCGCCGGCCTTGAGTAAGGATCAAGGAGCCCCAAATGCCTCCCCCACTGCTCCCCAAGTCCAGGATTAAATGTGGTAGAAAGTGCCCAGGCCAGGGTGGCTGGAGATTCTGCATGGAGAACATCCTCATTCCTACCCTCAGAAGGACAGGGAGGAGGGGGAGAAACACCTTTACCCCAAAAAGGAAGGAGATGGAGGACAGAGAGAAGACCCCAGAATGAAGGTGTGAGGGTCCCTGAGCTGTGTGGAGCTGCATGCTTAGACCCGGAGTCCCCACCCGGAGCAGCACATGGCCACAGACACCCTCCTCAGGCCCTCTGATGGAAAATGCCAGCCCAAGAGGGTGTCAGGAGAGCTGATTCATTCTAGGCCAGAGGGAAGAGGGATGAGAGATCCCCCAGTCCTGGCGGGACCATGACCACCTCTGGTTTCTGGCCCTGTGTGAATATGGTCTTGTCCACCCCATCAGGGAGGCCTCAGCCAAGAGCAAGGAGGAAGGTCCACAAAGGGCTGTGTATCAAGAGGCAGGAGGAGAGGAGAGAGAGTGAGTGATGCTGTTTACAGCAGGACCAGCTCTAGTGCTTGTTATATGCGTACGTGATCCTGTTTGATCATCCTAAACAGTGATGAGAGCAGGGTGCTATTACTATGGCCATTTCATAAACGAGGAAACTGAGGCATAAATCGGGCCACTTGTCCAAGTCCTGGAGCTGGGAAACAGCAGAGCAGGGGCAGTCTGATTCCTGACCTGGGTCCGGTATAACTCTGTTATCTGCAGGGAGCAGGGCAGAGGGGCAATGCAGGAAGGGGAAGGGGCTCCATGCAGCTGCGGGTTGCAGAGAAGAGGCCCAGCGAGACCAGGCCTCTGGCTCAGGGCATGCCTTTGAGGTGGAGGTGGGGTGGGAATCTGGCTTCTTCTCGATAGGGAAGGAGAATGTGTGTGCTGGCCTCTGGGTGTCAGGCAAGTGTGTCCCAGGCTGGCTTGCTCCCACAGCCCCCACCTCCTCTTCCCCTGGGGCTTTACCGGTGAGAAGTCAATATTGATGTTTTATGACCCAAGATAAACACACATTTTTTTCCTCCCATGGAGGGTTTATCTGGTCTAGAGGGTTAATCAATGACCACTTGGAGGTGGGGGAAGCCTCTGAGAAGAAAGCAGCTATTCAATTCCAGCCCTTTACCCAGCCTCTCCCCTTCCCTCCTCCCCACTACCACCTCCCCTCCCACCCTCTAGTGGGGACTGACCTGGCCCTGCAAGTGGGTGGGGGCAGGACATTTGGGAATCTGAGGCTGGAGTCCATGTGGGTGCGTTCAGGGGACTGTTAAGTAGGATGCATCCAAGGAGAGTGTCCCTAGAGCTGTGTTTGCCCTGAGCACGGTGTTGGCAGGGCAGGTGGGCCCTGCATGTGGCTGTCATGGGACCAGCCTGGTTAGGAGTGGGAAAGAGAAAATAAGTCTCGTGTCACAGAGCACTCAGAGATGACACAAGATAATGCGGGTTGCTCCTCTTGAGAACAGGGGCACTGGAGCACAGTGTGGGGCCCGACCCTGCCTCTTACCTGCTGTATGGCCTTGGACAGGTGGCTTCACGTCTCTGGGCCTCAGGTGCCTCCTGTCTCCTCTAGGGTGGTTTTGAGAATCAAACGAGATCCTGTACTTGCAGAGGAGAGAACGCAAATGGACTGTCGCCTCCTCTGCCTTCCTTGGGAAGAGCATCATTCATCTCAGGGCTTGTTAGCCTTCTGCCTACAGAAACACAGTGATGGGTCAAGGGTTTAGAAAACTGAGGGCCCCTGAATATGTACGGCTGAGATGAAGCAAGAACTGAACAGATCTGCGTAATAAAGCGAAAGGAATGCTAATGCTGATGCTGTGAGGGCCGCTCAGGAACGCGGTCAAGGCACAAGAAATGGATGAGAACAGAGAGATACCTGGCATCAGGAGAGAGAGGGAGGCTTAGAGAATGTGGTGTGGGGCAGAGTAAGGACCGGCCAAGAAGCAATGCCAGGAAGAGATTCCCTGTGCTGGGGAGTGACCAACATGTTTTGAAGATGTGATATGTGTTCTTGAAGTTGTTTTTGACCTTGTGCTATAATCACCCCCCATTCCTCCCGAACTTGACCAAACGTTGGCCACACACAAGAGCCTTGGGTATGTGGTTCATTGGAAGGGATGAAAGAGAGATGGGCGTCAGCTTAGAGAGAGGCGGTTCAGAGAGCGGATAGCAGGCACAGGCTGACAGCCACAACAAGGAGCAAAGTGACCTTGGAGAGCCCATTGAATTGAAACGCTCACCCCAAAGAACCCTCAGGGATTTTGGAAAATGGAAGGTGATTCCACAAAACCGGAGAAGTTGAAGACATGAAAGCTAGAGGCACCTTAGTTAAATAGATAAAGGGTGCTTTAGACACAAGTTGCACTATAAATGCCCATTATGATGGAATTGAGTCATAGTCTGAGAAAATGGAACTTGAACATATGTGGTCACTTATGCTTCTGGGCACTTGGCTGGGCCTGTAAAGATGGTAAGATGTGGTCCTCGCCCCTCAAAGAGTTCTTTCAAGAGGAGACAGACTGTAGCAGGCATGACTGATTATCTCCCTACACCCCTGTTTCTCATTTGCTAGAATCCCCACGTTTTTAGCTGGGCACATGGCAGCCCAGAATAAGGACTACATTTCATGGTCTCCTTTGCAACTAAGAGTAGCCCTATGACCATGTTTTAGCCAGAGGGAGGTTGTCTTAGTCTGTTCCAGTTGCTATAACAAAACACCTAAGTCTGGGTAATTTATAAACAATAGAAATGTAATTTCTTACAGTTCTGGAGGCCAGGAAGTCCCACTGGCAGATGCAGTGTCTGGTAAGGGCTGCTCTCTGCTTTTTTTTTTTTTTTTTTTTTTTTTGAGATGATAGATAGAGTCTCGCTTTGTTGCCCAGGCTGGAGTGCAGTGGTGCGATCTTGGCTCACTGCAACCTCACCTCCCAGGTTCAAGTGATTCTCCTGCCTCAGCCTCCCAAGTAGCTGGATTACAGGCACCCACCATTATGCCTGGCTAATTTTTGTATTTTTAGTAGAGACGGGGTTTCTCCATGTTGGCCAGGCTGGTCTTGAACTCCTGACCTCAGGTGATCTGCCTGCCTTGGACTCCCAGAGTTCTAGGATTACAGGCATGAGCCGCTGTGCCCAGCCACTTTCTACTCTTAAGATGACACCTTCTTGCTGTGTCCTCAGACAGTGGAAGGGCAAAAGAAAGGGACTAGGGTGCTCCCTTCAACCTCTTTTATAAGGTCACTGTATTAGTCCATTTGTGTTGCTATAAAGGAATACCTGAGGCTGTGTAATTTATAAAGAAAAGAGGTTTATTTGGCTCACAGTTCTGCAGGCTGTACAGGCATGGCACCAGCATCTGTTCAGCTTCTGGCGAAGCCTCAGATAGCTTACAGTCAGAAAGCTTACGGGAAGGAAAAGGGGGAGCCAGTGTGTCCCATGAAAAGACAGGGAGCAAGAGAGAGGAGGACGTGCTAGGCTTCTTTAAAGAATGAGCACTCACCCCGTCTCTACTAAAAAAATACAAAAAATTAGCCGGGCACCGTGGCGGGCACCTGTAGTCCCAGCTACTCAGGTAGGCTGAGGCAGGAGAATGGCGTGAACCCGGGAGGCGGAGCTTGCAGTGAGCCGAGATCGCACCACTGCACTCCAGCCTGGGTGACAGAGCGAGACTCCGTCTCAACAACAACAACAACAAAAACAATCAGCTCTCACATGAACTTAACGGAGTAAGAACTTACTCATTAGCATAGGGAGGGTATCAAGCCATTCATGAGGGATCTGCCCCCATGACTCAAACACCTCTTATTAGGCCCACCCCAACAGTGGAGGTCTCATTTCAACATGAGATTTGGAGGAAACAAAATATCCAAACCATGTCAGTCACTAAGCCCATTCATGAGGGCTCTGCCCTTATGACTTAATCACCTCCCAAAGGCTTCACTTTTAATACAATCACACTGGCAATTAAGTTTCAACACATTAATTTTGGGGGACACATTCGGACCATAGCAGAGGTGAACAGAAGGAATGTATACAACTATTAAATTGCACATTGCCCTGCATCTTCCGCCCTTCCTGTTCACTGGAATGGGAATTTGGGGGTCAATCATGTTGGACCCTGTGGCTGAGGACAACATTCTGGATGGTGGAGGTTCAAGACAAAAGAAGCTCAGAGCCCTGATGACTTTGTACAGCAGAACCATCACACCAGCTCAGCTCTCTCATGGCAGAGAAATAAAATTCTCTCTTGTTTAAGCTGCTCTCATGTGTGGTCTTCTAGTTATAGCTGCCAAAATCTATTCCATAACTAATTCAGTATATCTGAAAGGAGAGTACTGTCATAAAAGAGTCTCATAGACATGACACTGGCTTCGTAGTGCACAGGAAAAATAAAATTCTAAGGCCCCTCAACCAGCTGCATAGACCCCTACTCTCAGCCAAGGGCATTCCAAAGCTCACCTGAAAAGCTAGTTCAGGCCATGAGGGGAAGGAGAAGCCAGATGTGTCTCATTAACCTCCTCTCTTTTGGAATTACTGCTAGGACAGACTCTTCAAGTTTGATAAGAAACATTTACAATCTATTCTCTCCGAAGCCTGTGGTGAAGCTGTGGGGAGGCTTCACCTGCATGGTAAAACCTTGGTTTCCACAACCCCTTATTGAAACCCAGACATTCCTTTCTATTGATAACTCTTTCAACCAATTGTCAATCAGAAAATCTTTAAATCTACCTATGACGTAGAAGCCCCTCCACCTCAAATTGACCCGCCTTTCCAGACCAAACCAATGTACACATTACAGATATCGATGGATGTCTTATGTCTCCCTAAAATATGTAAAAGCGAGCTGTGCCACGACCACCTTGGGTACATATTGTCAGGAACTCCTGAGGCTGTGTCATGGGTGCATCCTTAACTTTGGCAAAATAAACCTTTTAGATGGATTGAGACCTGTCTCAGATATTTTTGGCTTACAAAAGTCAGGTGGAGAAGACATCAATATTGCAGACTGGCAAGTGGGTGACCCTCATTGTGCTCTGGCAAAAGACTCAGGAAAACTGTCATCTGTGGTCCTTTGGCAGGGAGACCACATGATCTCTGAGCCTGTAACTCTAGGACAACTTGAGAATCAGTGAGTATCGACGACTTGCTGCTTTCAGCAAATTCCTGGAAAAGAGAGGTGAATGCAGTGGGGTTAAACCTGGCGAGTCTGCAAGAAGAGAGGGAAGGGAATATAGTTTGGCCAAGAGAACCCACTGCCTGCTGCCTGTCATCTAAGTTGACTGGGAGTCTCAGAATTTGGAGCTTTGAAGAGTTAGGAGACCCAAGCGCCTTCTAGATCCCAAATGGAAGCAGCGACCTAAGTTGGTGCTGCGGAGACAGCCGTAGTGGGAGGTAAGATGATGGCCCTGAGCCATTCTCAGGCTTTACCAGTTAAGAATTCTCTACCAGACAATGGGAGTAAGCCGGCAGCCAAGATCAGATTAAGGGTGTTCCCTTTCCACCCAAGCCTATTGTCTCAGATGGCCTGAAGATAACAGCCATTCAGCTGAGAGAGGGGTCTGGGGAGAGCACAGATGCCAGTAAAAACAGAACCAGAGTTTTCAGGCTGGCAAACTCTGTCAAGACAAGACCTTTGGCTGGAGTTACCTGCACATGGAACTGACTAGAAGCAAATAGTTCGGAAGCCTGAAAGAAGTATGTTCTCCAATGCCCACTTCAGATGTAGGATGATAACCCAATGAGAGCCCCCCCCAGAGGGCAAAACCAGGGGCCAAAGAAAACACTGGACAAGGGAGTGACTTCCAGAAAATGGAAGAGCAAAGAGTCTTTATAATTTCTGACTGGCATTATTTGGTAATTGCTATAGACTGGGGCCATCTGTGCAGTTCCCATTGTTTGATTTTCCGAAAGAGATGTTTTTTAATTGTGGTATGTGGTTCCTGTTCCATCATTCCATCCCACGATATTCCATCATTATGTGTTAGGGGAGGGTGGGGGCAGATGACGTGTCTTTCAGTGTTCTGGTCTCCAGGCCACAGGTAGCCACGTCCGGGCCTGACTGAGGTGTGGGGCACAGGACAGTGTGGGACTTGAGATGGTTTTCCTCCAAAGGTAGCGTTTGTCTTTTGTATGTGAAAATAAAAGTGATACCTGGGTGGCTAAATTGGTGAACTGTGGCAGAGACTGATAATGTACCCCAAGATTCACTTTTCCCTTGCCTCTCATAATAGTCCAGCATCTGACTTTTAGTGAAACGCATGGACCCCTGGATAAAATGCATTCTCCTGTCTCCTTTGCAGTTATATGTGGCTGTAACTAAGTTCTAGCCAATGGGATGTGAATCAAGTGCTGGTACAAGTCTAGATCATGCCATAAAAAGGCAGGAGACGCTGTCCCCTTCCCCTGTCCTGATGGCTGGAAGGTGGACTGTTGGAGAGGCACGCTTGACTGTGGAAGGAGCTTGGATCTCAACAACATTGTAGAGCTGAACAAGCATGCCAGTTAGGACTTGGATGCGAGAGAGAAATGAACTTGGTTAGACCACTGGTATTTGGGGATTTTCTTGTTACAGCAGCGGAGCATTAAACCTAATGTAGTTGCACCTTAATTACTACAATACAATGGAATAAGTGCACTAGTATGGGCATGTGCAAGGCGTCATGGGAGTGCAGTGAAAATGGTGATTAATTAACTCTGTCTGGGAGAAATCTGGGAAGCCTTCCAATAGGGGGTGATATTTGAAATTAGTCTTGAAGGGTAGGAGAATTTCCCAGATGCACAAGTAATGTGAAAGGGGAGCAGGTACTTGACAGTTGGGCAGTTTGAGCAAAAGCTTGAAATGATGTAAGCACCTGGTGAAAGGTCCAGAGTCATAAAGAGGGGGACAGGGTCCTGGGAGACAGGACCGTGAGGGAGATGGGGTGGTTGTGAGGGAGCTTGAATGTCCTGTTACAGAGTTTAGACTTTATCATTTGGAACCACTCAGGGGCTTGATGAGGAAGGAACGCAATCTGATTTTTTTCTTTTTTTGAGATGGAGTCTCACTCTGTCACCCAGGCCGGAGTGAGTTCCCCAATCATAGCTCACTGCAGCCTCTACCTCCTGGCCTCAAGCGATCCTCCTACCTTAGCCTCTCAAGTAGCTGGGGCTATAGGCATACACCACCATACCCAGCTAATTTTTAAAAATGTTTGTAGAGACAGGGCTCGCTATGTTGCCCAGGCTGCTCTTGAACTCCTAGTCTCGAGTGATCCTCCCACCTTGGCCTCCCAAAGTGCTGGGATTACAGGTATGAGCCACACCACTTGGTCTGATTTCTTTAAAAAAGGTAGGTCTGGGCCGGGCATGGTGGCTCATGCCTGTAATCCCAGCACTTTGGGAGGCCGAGGCAGGTGGATCATGAGGTCAGGAGATCGAGACCATCTGGGCTAACATGGTGAAACGCCATCTCTACTAAAAACACAAAAAATTAGCCGGGCGTGGTGGCGGGTGCCTATAGTCCCAGCTACTTGAGAGGCTGAGGCAGGAGAATGGCATGAACCCAGGAGGCGGAGCTTGCAGTGAGCCAAGATCGCACCACTGCACTCCAGACTGGGAGAGAGAGCGAGACTGTGTCTCAAAAAAAAAAAAAAAAAAAAAAAAAGAAAGGTAGGCCTGGCAACAGTGTGTGAGATGGATTTGAGAAGAGGAGGCCCAGGGCAGAAGGAGGGAACTATGTAAATATCACATAAGCCAATTCTGATTTCCCACAGAAACAATATATTAATAAAGGATTATGTTCCTGGCCATGGAACTGATATACAAAATTTTATAGAACTGACCACAAAATCAAACTCAGGCAGCTATCAAGGGTACACCCATAATCTGTACATCACAAAATTTTCTAACTAGTATATGAATAATTAAGCAGGGCCACACAGTAATGAAATATTACAATGCATGATGTAATACAATATCCTTAGTCTCATATTTCTGCCTTACAAAAGCAATCAGTTATTTTTTAACAGCTTTATTGAGGTATACTTGACTTATGATAAACTGCACATATTTCAAGTGTACCTAATGTGATAAGTTTTGACATGTTTATACACCCTTGAAACCATCACCACAATCAAGTAAATGAATTTTTCATCACCCGAAAAGTTTCCTCCTATGCAATCCTTCCTTCTACCTCTTTCCCATTCCCCCCATCCCCAGGAAATCACTGATCTGCTTTTTGTCACTATAGTTTGCATTTTTTAGAGTTTTATATAAATGGACTCAAACAGCAGGTATTCTTTTTTGCCTAGCTTCTTTCTTTCAGCATTATTATTTTGAGAATCATCCCTGTTGCAGTATGTATCAATACTTCATTCTTTACAATGCTGAGTAATATTCCATTGTATAGATATAACACAGTTTGTTTATCCATTCATCTGTTAATGGACATTTTGGTCGTTTCCAGTTTTAGGCTATTACAAATAAAGCTGGTATGAGCATTGATGAATAAGTCTTTGTATGGACACTTTTATTGCTCTGGACAAATACCTAGGAGTGGAATGGCTGGATTGCACAATTGTGTATGTTTAACATTTATTTTTTTTTTTTGAGATGGAGTTTCACTCTTGCTGCCCAGGCTGGAGTACAATGGCATGATCTTGGCTCACCGCAACCTCCTCCCGGATTCAAGCAATTCTCCTGACTCAGCCTCCTGAGTAGCTGGATTACAGGCATGTGCCACCACGCCCGGCTAATTTTGTATTTTTAGTAGAGATGGGGTTTCTCCATGGTGGTCAGGCTGGTCTTGAACTCCCAACCTCAGGTGATCTGCCTGGCTCAGCCTCCCAGAGTATTGGGATTACAGGTGTGAGCCACCGCACCAGGCCACAGTATGCGTATGTTTAACTTTTTAAGAAATTGTCCAAATGTTTTCCTAAGTGTTTGGTGGTTGTACCATTTAAGTTCTCATTAGCTGTGTATGAAAATTCCAGTTCCTCCACATCCCTGCCAGCACTTCGTATAGTCAGTCTTTTTTATTTTAGCTATTCTAATAGTTAGTGGAATGAGAGATCTTGTATCCATTTTTTTAGGCTGCTTTCTTCTTATTAAATTAAAAAAAAATTTTAGAGACAGGGTCTCTTTCTGTCACCTATGCTGGAATGCAGTGGCAAGATCATGGCCCACTGCAGTCTCAAACTCCTGGGCTGAAGCGATCCCCCTGCCTTAGCCTTCCTAGTAGCTAGGGCTACCAGCATGCACCACCACACTCAGCTAATTTTTTAAAAATGTTTGTAGAGAAGGGGTCTTGGTATGTTGCCCAAGTTGGTCTTGACCTCCTGGATTTAAGTGATCCTCCCATCTCAGCCTCCCAATTAGCTGGGACTACAGGTACATACCACTATGCCCAGCTAATTTTTAATTTACTTTTTAATTTTTTGTAGAGATGGGGTCTTGCTATGTTGCCCAGGCTGGTCTCAAACTTCTGGCTTCAAAGGATCATCCTGCCTTGGCCTCGGAAATTTCTGGGATTACAGGTGTGAGCTACTGCACCTGGCATTATTAAGTTTTTTTGTTTGTTTGTTTTGAGACGGAGTTTTGCTCTTGTTGCCCTGGCAGGAGTGCAGTGGCATGATCTTGGCTCACTGCAGCCTCTGCCTCCCGGTTTCAAGTGATTCTCGTGCTTCAGCCTCCCAAGTAGCTGGGATTACAGGCATGTGCCACCATGTCTGGCTAATTTTGTATTTTTAGTACAGATGGGGTTTCACTGTGTTGGACAACCTACCAATTTGTTTCATTATGGATCATGCTTTTGGTGTTATATCTAAGAAATTTTTGCCTACTCCATGGTCAAAAAGGCTTTCTTCTAGATGTTTCACAGTTTTAGATTTTACATTTAGGTCTAGAGTCCACTTGAAGTTATATTTTACGTATGGTGCAAAGTATAGTTTACTTTTCTGCTTATGGATATGTTCCAGTACCATTTGTTGAAAAAGACTATCATTTTTGTTTTGTTTTGTTTTTCGAGGCAGTGTCTTGCTTTGTCACTCAGGCTGGAGGCTGGAGTGCAGTAGCACAAACATGGCTCACTGCAGCCTTGACCTCCCAGGCTCAAGTGATCCACCTCAGCCTTCCAAGTAGCTGGGACTATAGGCATGTACCAGCACACCCGGCTAATTTTTGTATTTTTGTGGAGACTGGGTTTCCCCATGTTACCCAGGCTGGTCTTGAACTCCTGAGCTCAAGCAGTCCTCCTGGCTCAGCCTCCCAAAGTGCTGGGATTACAGGTGTGAGCCACTGCGACTGGCCAAGACTATCCTTTCTTGTACTGCATTGCCTTTATGCCTTTGTTAGAAATCACTTGTCCATTTAAATATGGGTCTATTTCTGGACTTTCAATTCTGTTCCATTGATCTGTTTGTCTGTCTTTATACCAATATCACACTGTCTTGATTACTGCACTTTATAATAAGTGTTAAAATCAGATGGTGTTTGTCTTTCAACTTTATGCTTCTTCAAAAGTTGTTGTGATTATTCATTTCTTTGCACTTCCATATGAGTTTTAGAATTAGTTTCTCAATTTATATATATATTTTAAACTATTTTATATACAGAAAACACAAAGAAGGAATTAAAAATTATAATAATCTTGCCACTTAGAGATAATTCCTGGTAATATTTTGGGTGTATACATCGTTAATTGTTCTATGCTTTGAAATATTTGCGGGGAGGAGCCAAGATGGCCGAATAGGAACAGCTCCGGTCTACAGCTCCCAGCGTGAGCGACGCAGAAGACGGTGATTTCTGCATTTCCATCTGAGGTACCGGGTTCATCTCACTAGGGAGTGCCAGACAGTGGGCGCAAGTCAGTCGGTGTGCGCACCGTGCGCGAGCCGAAGCAGGGCGAGGCATTGCCTCACTCGGGAAGCGCAAGGGGTCAGGGAGTTCCCTTTCCGAGTCAAAGAAAGGGGTGACGGACGCACCTGGAAAATCGGGTCACTCCCACCCGAATATTGCGCTTTTCAGACCGGCTTAAAAAACGGCGCACCACGAGATTATATCCTGCACCTGGCTCAGAGGGTCGTACGCCCACAGAGTCTCACTGATTGCTAGCACAGCAGTCTGAGATCAAACTGCAAGGCCGCAGCGAGGCTGGGGGAGGGGTGCCCACCATTGCCCGGGCTTGCTTAGGTAAACAAAGCAGCCGGGAAGCTCGAACTGGGTGGAGCCCACCACAGCTCAAGGAGGCCTGCCTGCGTCTGTAGGCTCCACCTCTGGGGGCAGGGCACAGACAAACAAAAAGACAGCAGTAACCTCTGCAGACTTAAATGTCCCTGTCTGACAGCTTTGAAGAGAGCAGTGGCTCTCCCAGTATGCAGCTGGAGATCTGAGAACGGGCAGACTGCCTCCTCAAGTGGGTCCCTGACCCCGGACCCCCGAGCAGCCTAACTGGGAGGCACCCTCCCGCAGGGGCACACTGACACCTCACACTGCAGGGTACTCCAACAGACCTGCAGCTGAGGGTCCTGTCTGTTAGAAGGAAAACTAACAAACAGAAAGGACATCCACACCAAAAACCCATCTGTACATCACCATCATCAAAGACCAAAAGTAGATAAAACCAAAAAGATGGGGAAGAAACAGAACAGAAAAACCGGAAACTCTAAAAATCAGAGCGCCTCTCCTCCTCCAAAGGAACGCAGCTCCTCACCAGCAACGGAACAAAGCTGGATGGAGAATGACTTTGATGAGCTGAGAGAAGAAGGCTTCAGACGATCAAATTACTCTGAGCTATGGGAGGACATTCAAACCAAAGGCAAAGAAGGTGAAAACTTTGAAAAAAATTTAGAAGAATGTATAACTAGAATAACCAATACAGAGAAGTGCTTAAAGGAGCTGATGGAGCTGAAAACCAAGGCTCGAAAACTACATGAAGAATGCAGAAGCCTCAGGAGCCGATGTGATCAACTGGAAGAAAGGGTATCAGCAATGGAAGATGAAATGAATGAAAAGAAGTAAGAAGGAAAGTTTAGAGAAAACAGAATAAAAAGAAATGAGCAAAGCCTCCAACAAATATGGGACTATGTGAAAAGACCAAATCTACATCTGATTGGTGTACCTGAAAGTGATGGGGAGAATGGAACCAAGTTGGAAAACACTCTGCAGGATATTATCCAGGAGAATTTCCCCAATCTAGCAAGGCAGGCCAACGTTGAGATTCAGGAAATACAGAGAACGCCACAAAGATACTCCTCGAGAAGAGCAACTCCAAGACACATAATTGTCAGATTCACCAAATTTGAAATGAAGGAAAAAATGTTAAGGGCAGCCAGAGAGAAAGGTCGGGTTACCCTCAAAGGGAAGCCCATCAGACTAACAGCGGATCTCTCAGCAGAAACCCTACAAGCCAGAAGAGAGTGGGGGCCAATATTCAACATTCTTAAAGAAAAGAATTTTCAACCCAGAATTTCATATCCAGCCAAACTAAGCTTCATAAGTGAAGGAGAAATAAAATACTTTACAGACAAGCAAATGCTGAGAGATTTTGTCACCACCAGGCCTGCCCTAAAAGAGCTCCTGAAGGAAGCACTAAACATGGAAAGGAACAACCGGTACCAGCCACTGCAAAATCATGCCAAAATGTAAAGACCATCAAGACTAGGAAGAAACTGCATCAACTAATGAGCAAAATAACCAGCTAGCATCATAATGACAGGATCAAATTCACACATAACAATATTAACTTTAAATGTAAATGGACTAAATGCTCCAATTAAAAGACACAGACTGGCAAATTGGATAAAGAGTCAAGACCCATCAGTGTGCTGTATTCAGGAAACCCATCTCACGTGCAGAGACACACACAGGCTCAAAATAAAAGGATGGAGGAAGATCTACCAAGTCAATGGAAAACAAAAAAAGGCAGGGGTTGCAATCCTAGTCTCTGATAAAACAGACTTTAAACCAACAAAGATCAAAAGAGACAAAGAAGGCCATTACATAATGGTAAAGGGATCAATTCCACAAGAAGAGCTAACTATCCTAAATATATATGCACCCAATACAGGAGCACCCAGATTCATAAAGCAAGTCCTGAGTGACCTACAAAGAGACTTAGACTCCCACACATTAATAATGGGAGACTTTAACACCCCACTGTCAACATTAGACAGATCAACGAGACAGAAAGTCAACAAGGATACCCAGGAATTGAACTCAGCTCTGCACCAAGCGGACCTAATGGACATCTACAGAACTCTCCACCCCAAATCAACAGAATATACATTTTTTTCAGCACCACACCACACCTATTCCAAAATTGACCACATACTTGCAAGTAAAGCTCTCCTCAGCAAATGTAAAAGAACAGAAATTATAACAAACTATCTCTCAGACCACAGTGCAATCAAACTAGAACTCAGGATTAAGAATCTCACTCAAAACCGCTCAACTGCATGGAAACTGAACAACCTGCTCCTGAATGACTACTGGGTACATAACGAAATGAAGGCAGAAATAAAGATGTTCTTTGGAACCAATGAGAACAAAGACACAACATACCAGAATCTCTGGGACGCATTCAAAACAGTGTGTAGAGGGAAATTTATAGCACTAAATGCCCACAAGAGAAAGCGGGAAAGATCCAAAATTGACACCCTAACATCACAATTAAAAGAACTAGAAAAGCAAGAGCAAACACATTCAAAAGCTAGCAGAAGGCAAGAAATAACTAAGATCAGAGCAGAACTGAAGGAAATACAGACACAAAAAACCCTTCAAAAAATTAATGAATCCAGGAGCTGGTTTTTTGAAAGAATCAACAAAATTGATAGACCGCTAGCAAGACTAATAAAGAAAAAAAGATAGAAGAATCTAATAGATGCAATAAAAAATGATAAAGGGGATATCACCACTGATCCCACAGAAATACAAACTACCATCAGAGAATACTACAAACACCTCTATGCAAATAAACTAGAAAATCTAGAAGAAATGGATAAATTCCTTGACACATACACTCTCCCAAGACTAAACCAGGAAGAAGTTGAATCTCTGAATAGACCAATAACAGGATCTGAAATTGTGGCAATAATCAATAGCTTACCAACCAAAAAGAGTCCAGGACCAGATGGATTCACAGCTGAATTCTACCAGAGGTACAAGGAGGAACTGGTACCATTCCTTCTGAAACTATTCCAATCAATAGAAAAAGAGGGAATCCTCCCTAACTCATTTTATGAGGCCAGCATCATTCTGATACCAAAGCCAGGCAGAGACACAACCAAAAAAGAGAATTTTAGACCAATATCCTTGATGAACATTGATGTAAAAATCCTCAATAAAATGCTGGCAAATCGAATCCAGCAGCACATCAAAAAGCTTATCCACCATGATCAAGTGGGCTTCATCCCTGGGATGCAAGGCTGGTTCAATATATGCAAATCAATAAATGTAATCCAGCATATAAACAGAGCCAAAGACAAAAACCACATGATTATCTCAATAGATGCAGAAAAAGCCTTTGACAAAATTCAACAACCCTTCATGCTAAAAACTCTCAATAAATTAGGTATTGATGGGACGTATTTCAAAATAATAAGAGCTATCTATGACAAACCCACAGCCAATATCATACTGAATGGGCAAAAACTGGAAGCATTCCCTTTGAAAACTGGCACAAGACAGGGATGCCCTCTCTCACCGCTCCTATTCAACACAGTGTTGGAAGTTCTGGCCAGGGCAATTAGGCAGGAGAAGGAAATAAAGGGTATTCAATTAGGAAAAGAGGAAGTCAAATTGTCCCTGTTTGCAGATGACATGATTGTATATCTAGAAAACCCCATTGTCTCAGCCCAAAATCTCCTTAAGCTGATAAGCAACTTCAGCAAAGTCTCAGGATACAAAATCAATGTACAAAAATCACAAGCATTCTTATACACCAATAACAGACAAACAGAGAGCCAAATCATGAGTGAACTCCCATTCACAATTGCTTCAAAGAGAATAAAATACCTAGGAATCCAACTTACAAGGGATGTGAAGGACCTCTTCAAGGAGAACTACAAACCACTGCTCAAGGAAATAAAAGAGGATACAAACAAATGGAAGAACATTCCATGCTCATGGGTAGGAAGACTCAATATCGTGAAAATGGCCATACTGCCCAAGGTAATTTACAGATTCAATGCCATCCCCATCAAGCTACCAATGCCTTTCTTCACAGAATTGGAAAAAACTACTTTAAAGTTCATATGGAACCAAAAAAGAGCCCGCATCGCCAAGTCAATCCTAAGCCAAAAGAACAAAGCTGGAGGCATCACACTACCTGACTGCAAACTATACTACAAGGCTGCAGTCACCAAAACAGCAGGGTACTGGTACCAAAACAGAGATATAGATCAATGGAACAGAACAGAGCCCTCAGAAATGACGCCGCATATCTACAACTATCTGATCTTTGACAAACCTGAGAAAAACAAGCAATGGGGAAAGGATTCCCTATTTAATAAATGGTGCTGGGAAAACTGGCTAGCCATATGCAGAAAGCTGAAACTGGATCCCTTCCTTACACCTTATACAAAAATCAATTCAAGATGGATTAAAGACTTAAACGTTAGACCTAAAACCATAAAAACCCCAGAAGAAAACCTAGGCATTACCATTCAGGACATAGGCATGGGCAAGGACTTCATGTCTAAAACACCAAAAGCAATGGCAACAAAAGCCAAATTGACAAATGGGATCTAATTAAACTAAAGAGCTTCTGCACAGCAAAAGAAACTACCATCAGAGTGAACAGGCAACCTACACAATGGGAGAAAATTTTCGCAACCTACTCATCTGACAAAGGGCTAATATCCAGAATCTACAATGAACTCAAACAAATTTACAAGAAAAAAACAAACAACCCCATCAAAAAGTGGGCAAAGGACATGAACAGACACTTCTCAAAAGAAGACATTTATGCAGCCAAAAAACACATGAAAAAATGCTCATCATCACTGGCCATCAGAGAAATGCAAATCAAAACCACAGTGAGATACCATCTCACACCAGTTAGAATGGCAATCATTAAAAAGTCAGGAAACAACAGGTGCTGGAGAGGATGTGGAGAAATAGGAACACTTTTACACTGTTGGTGGGACTGTAAACTAGTTCACCCATCGTGGAAGTCAGTGTGGCGATTCCTCAGGGATCTAGAACTGGAAATACCATTTGACCCAGCCATCCCATTACTGGGTATATACCCAAAGGACTATAAATCATGCTGCTATAAAGACACATGCACACGTATGTTTATTGCGGCACTATTCACAATAGCAAAGACTTGGAACCAACCCAAATGTCCAACAATGATAGACTGGATTAAGAAAATGTGGCACATATACACCATGGAATACTATGCAGCCATAAAAAAATGATGAGTTCATGTCCTTTGTAGGGACATGGATGAAATTGGAAAACATCATTCTCAGTAAACTATCGCAAGAACAAAAAACCAAACACCACATATTCTCACTCATAGGTGGGAATTGAACAATGAGAACACATGGACACAGGAAGGGGAATATCACACTGGGGACTGTTGTGGGGTGGGGGGAGGGGGGAGGGATAGCATTGGGAGATATACCTAATGCTAGATGACAAGTTAGTGGGTGCAGTGCACCAGCATGGCACATGTATACATATGTAACTAACCTGCACAATGTGCACATGTACCCTAAAACTTAAAGTATAATAAAAAATAAAAATAAAAAAAATATTTGCTTTATTAAATGTTTATGTAGCACTTATGATGTGCTAAGCATTGTTTATTCCATCAGGTTTACTGAAATATAATTTACATACAATAAAATTCACCCTTATCAAGTGTACAGCTTAGTGAGTTTTGGCAAATATGTATAGGTATGTAACCACCATCACGATCAAAATACAAAATAGATTCATCTCTCCAAGAAGTCCCCTCATTCCCTTTTACAATTATTCCCCTCTTCCTACCCCCAGGAATCTCTGGTCTGATTTCCATCCCTATACTTTTGCCTTTTTCCAGAATGACACATATGTGGAATCACAGTATGTAATCTTTTTGTGTCTGGCTTCTTTCAGTTGACATTGCTTTTGAGATTCACCCACATTGTGTATATGAGTACTTTGTTCCCTTTTAGTGTTAAGCAGTATTCCATTGTATGGACATACCACAGTATGTTTATCCATTCACCGGTTGATGGACATTTGGGTTGTTTCCAGTTTGGGGCAATTGTGAATAAAGCTGCTATAAACATTTGTGTGTATTTGTGTGTACATGTGTTTTCATTTCTCTTCCCTAAGTATCAAGAAGTAGGATTGCTGAATTATTTGATATGTGGATATTTAACTTTATAAGAAACAAAGTGTTTTCCTAGGTGCTGTACCATTCTATATTTCCACCAGCAATGAATGAAAGTTCCAGTTGCTCTGAGTCTTCCTCAGCACTTGGTATTGTCTGTTTTTTTAATTTTAGCCATTCTGGTTGGTGTGTAATGCTGTTGCCTTGTGGTTTTCATTTGTGTTTCCCTAATAACTAATGAGGTTAAATATCTTTTATGTATTTTTTTAAATCTGTGTATCTTTTTTGGTGAAATGTCTGTTTAAATTTTGGGGCTATATTTTAATTAGGTATATTCTTTCTATTGAGGTGTAGGAGTTCATTCATATATATATATATGTAATTTTGTATGTGTGTACATATATATATATTTTGTAGAGTACTATTTTAAGTGCTTTACAAATATTAATCTTCTTAAAACCCCTATGAAGTAAGCACTGTTATTTTCCTTATTTTACAGAAGGAGAAACTGCAGTAGAAGAAGGTTGAGTAACTAGCCCATCACTCAGCTAGAACTGGCCACCAGCATGGATCCCAGATAGCCCTACTCCAGAGTTGCCCATGCTATTAGCCGTGACGCCATGCTGGCTGTCCACACCCATGCCTTTTTCCTGCCTTAATCTTGCAATGATTCATAAGGTGAGGGAGCACCCACACTGGGGTGGCAGCATATAGATGTCTTCTGTTGGAGAGATTTTCAAGGAAACTTGTTTTTTTGTTGTTGTTTTTGTTTTTTTGTTTTGTTTTGTTTTGTTTTTGAGACGGAGTCTTGCTCTGTCACCCAGGCTGGATTACAGTGGCGCAATCTGGGCTCACTATAGCCTCCGCCTCCCGGGTTCAAGCGATTCTCGTGCCTCAGTCTTCTGAGTAGCTGGGATAATAGGCGCCTGCCACCATGCCCAGCAACTTTTTGTATTTTTGCTAGAGACGGGGTTTCACTGTGTTAGCCAGACTGGTCTTGAATTCCTGACCTCAGGTGATCCACCCGGCTTGACCTCCCAAAGTGCTGGGATTACAGGTGTGAGCCACCTCGCCCTGCCTTTGGTTCAGTTTATTTTGAGTCTTAGTATTCATAATGGCCATTGCTATAAGACAGACCTTACCAAATGATAGAAGTGCATCATTCGCTGCACTCACTATTTCATGGCATTTATATTTCACTCACGATGCAATCAAATTGACATTTAGCTGGTAAATTTCCATCTTTCCCAATTTCAAACAGTTGTTCTTTTGTTTTTTTTTTTTTTTGAGACGGAGTCTTGCTGTGTCGCCCACGATGGAGTGCGGTGGCATGATCTTAGCTCACTGCAAGCTCCGCCTCCTGGGTTCACGCCATTCTCCTGCCTCAGTCTCCTGAGTAGCTGGAACTACACGCGCCTGCCACCACGCCTGGCAAATTTTTTTGTATTTTTAGTAGAGACAGGGTTTCACCATGTTGGTCAGGATGGTCTCGATCTCTTGGCCTCGTGATCTGCCCGCCTCGGCCTCCCAAAGTGCTGGGATTACAGGCGTGAGCCACTGTGCCCGGCCCCCAGTTGTTCTTGAAAAATAATTGGAAGGTTTTGTTTTTATAATTTTAGCAAACTGATTCAAAATTCCCTTAAACTCTTTATTTGAAAAATTTTCCAATCTTCTTCTTCTTCTTCTTCTTCTTTTTTAGATAGAGTCTTGCTCTGTCACCCAGGGTGGAGTGCAGTGGCACGATCTTGGCTCACTGCAAGCTCCGCCTCCCACGTTCAGGCCATTCTCCTGCCTCAGCCTGCCGAGTAGCTGGGACTACAGGCGCCTGCCACCACGCCCGGCTAATTTTTTGTATTTTTAGTAGAGACAGGGTTTCACCATGTTGGTCAGGATGGTCTCGATCTCTTGGCCTCGTGATCCGCCCGCCTCGGCCTCCCAAAGTGCTGGGATTACAGGCGTGAGCCACCGTGCCCGGCCCCCGGTTGTTCTTGAAAAATAATTGGAAGGTTTTGTTTTTATAATTTTAGCAAACTGATTCAAAATTCTGTTAAACTCTTTATTTGAAAAATTTTCCAAGCTTATTATTATTATTATTATTATTGAGATGGAGTCTTGCTCTGTCACCCAGGGTGGAGTGCAGTGGCAGGATCTCGGCTCACTGCAAACTCCGCCTCCTGGGTTCACGCCATTCTCCTGCCTCAGCCTCCAGAGTAGCTGGGACTACAGGTGCCCGCCACCACGCCTGGCTAATTTTTTTGTATTTTTTTTTTTTTAGTAGAGATGGGGTTTCACCGTGTTAACCAGGATGGTCTCAATCTCCTGACCTCATGATCCACCCACCTCGGCCTCCCAAAGTGCTGGGATTACAGGCGTGAGCCACCGCACCCAGCCCCGAGCTTGTTTTTTTAATTGTGTAGATAGAGTTTTTAATAACTGACATATTTACATCGTTTTCAGAACTAAGATCACCTTATGATGGCAACATTTCCAAATAACCATTTTCAAAATGTTCTCTCCCTAGCATATGTTTCATTTGAAAGCTGTTTCTCTCTCTTATTGTTGAAATGTTCACTATAATATGGTAAGACGGACTGTTTTTGTCTGAAATACCCACCGAGGTCACACACTGCTCATAGCCACTTGTAGAAAAGGTCAGTGATCTAGAACCTACTCACCTTTTTGTCAAAGAAAACTGCACAAATTGTCCTCAGATTTGATACCCACAGAACCTATTGTCTAAGGAAGAGCTTTCTGCTTTACCTCTCTCATTCATGAAGTATGGGCCCATTCTGTTTCAGGCATCATTTTTCTAAAACCAGCCACACTGGCGACGCGCTGGGGCGCTTACACAGTTATAACGAAGCCGTTCGCTGAAAGAGAGTCAGAACCGGACGGTGCCCCCCAACACATCCCACACTGAGGAACCCACCTTTGTCCCCGGAATTCCTACAGAAACTTTTGGGGACTCAGGACAGTCTGAAACTGGGACTAAGAGGGGGCATTGTGTCAATCCATTTATTAAATATTTGGCAAGTCATTCTTAAATTTCCAGATGGAAAAAACAAACTGACTCACAATATTTTTACACCTAACCCAAAGGGTCATAAGGCGCATTTCCCTTGGAGACCAAGATAGAGGGAGGGAGCTTCCATCTTTTCCCATGGGATAAGCTGGGAGATGCCTGCCCATTTTCAAAAGCCCCAGAGTCCCACCTGCTGGGTGGGACTCTGAAGGCAGAGGAGCCGTCTTTGTGGAGAGTAATATAATCAGAAGGAAACCCAAGCTTCTGAGTTCCTCAGCATCTTGCACCATCTCCTAAAGGGCGCAGGGGATACGGCAACCCCTGGAGGGGCGAGGGGGGAACCAGTGCAGTAGGCATTATCCCTGAGAGGCTCCTCCATGCATCCCTCATGGACAGGGCCTCTAATCATGGCCAGTGGGCAGGGGTGTGGGTGCTGGGTGCAGGCAGCAGCTGTGGGTGTCCGTAGGGAGCAAAGCCGTAGGGAAGGCCTTGTTGTCTTGAACCTGGAGTCATCCCAGGAGGCAGGGCCCAGAAAAGGGCCTCTCCCTGCCCCTCCCAGCTTTACAGAACCTACTGCTTAGAAGATCCTCTGTAAATATTTGTTGGATTTAGTTGAATGGAGTTGAAATCTCATTTCCTGATTCTGGTAAGGCTGGAAGTGCAGGCTGAGTGGGTGGGATCCAATTCACTGGGGGTTGGGGTGGGAGGGATGCAAGGCCATACTAGGCAGCTCAGCTCTTGGGGCATGTCCTGAACCTGGAAGACCACAGCCATTCCTGCCCTTCTACCCCACCACTACTTGTGTGAGGGTCCCCAACCCGAAAGAGGTTCCTGATCGTTCAGGACGCTAGGAAGCAGAAAGGAAGCCAAGGCCAGAGACAAGGAGAGGCTAAGTGAAGGAGGCAGCCACACCCAAAACCCCAGGAGCATCTGGGCGGCCCTCACCCCACAGGAGAACCCACCCCCCCTCCACTGCCCCACCCCGCCCTGCCCTCTAACACTGTACCAGGCAGAATGCAGCATCTCCACTGTGTGTGTGTGCGTGTGTGTGTGTGCATGTGTGTGTGCACAGCCTGAGTCTCCCTTGGACAGAGCCTTGGTCCCAATCTTGGTACTTTTTTTCCCAAGAAAGCTCGGCAGCCAGTTCTGCCGTTTTTGGCCAGGCTCTTGGGGAAGGCGGCCTGTTTGGGCACATGGGCTCCCACGTGCGCAGAAGCATCACCTGCCCTCCATGTGATGCGCACACTCACAGACCCACATGCTTACGTACTTGCAGACTCGCCCAGGCACACGTGTATCGCCACATGCAGACACGCAAGCATACACTTGCTGCACTCAGACCTCCTGGTGTGAACACACGGTGTGCACCGTCGGAGATAGCCAGTGGCCCCACGTACATGCCATCCCTCAGGCACAGAGAACCAGCCCACAGGTCCCACTTGGAGGGACATGAAGCAGACAGGGTCCCCAGGCTGTATGCTTCTCCTAGGCCGGTGTCCACCACAGTCAGCCACATACATCTGCTGCCATGACACAGGCTCCCTTTGTGCTGCCAGGCCCAGGGGGACAATGGGGGTCTGTTTCCTCCCCGGAGCTCAACACCATCCCTCTCCCCACAACACTGCCTGGCAGCCTGGGGCCTGGGAGCCCAGCCGCATGTTTCAGAGGGTTCAGAGGGTTCGGGAAACTCCCCAAGGCCACGTTCTGCATGCGGAGCTCCAGGGGAAGCCCAGTCTGGTGGGGGCTTCCAGGGGCCCCAAGGGAACTGTGGCTCCCTCTGCTCTGTGATGGGGAGGGGAGAACCGGGGTCTGCACTTATTGTGATCCTCTGGCATCCAGTCAGGCCAAGGTTGACAGTGGAGGTCCCGCTAGAGGGGGTGGCTGTGCCTGTGGGCCTGGGAAGGCCTCTCGAGCCTGGGCTGCCCTGTCCACTGCTGAACTGCACCTGCGCCGAGGCAGGCACAGACCCCTACAATGCCCGGGAGGAGAGTCTTGATTTCTCATAAGGACATGGCCACTCTGTGAATCTGAGTTTTGGGGACTTGGAGGCTGCAGCCTGCTGGTCACTTGACTCCCTCAAATGTCCCATGACCAAAGCCACTGTCGCCACCACACCCTCCATTTCTGTTTTGACATCCTTGCTACTTTTTCTGGCATTCAACACCACCTCCCTCCTGCAAAATATTCATTCAGTCTCTCAGTCACTACTGATGGAGTACTCACTGGGTACGAGGAACTGCTCTGGGCACGGGCTACTGGATTTTTCTCATTTTACTCTCTGTGACATCTTTGGACAAGTCTTAGGTTCCAGGCCAGTTGATTTTTCTTGCTTTCTTCCACATATACTGCTGTTTCTTTTTCTGTGCTGTTTGCTCATTCACCTATGAATTAATGCAATCCACATTTATTGGGCATTGGGTTGACAGATAAAATAATGCAATATTTCTATTCATTGTTATTATTTTATTATTACTATTCATTGTTTATCTGAAATTCAGAATTAACTGGGCATCTTGTATTTTTATTTGTTAAATTTGGTAGCCCTAACTGAGCACCTACTGTGAGCTGTCCTCCACAAATACAAGGACAGCAGACCCAGTGCCTGCCCCTCAGAGAGCTCCCAGTCTAGTAGGAGAGGTCCTACTATAGGCAAGAAAGGAGATCCATACCTCAAGGAAGGGTGGGGGCTCTTACAAGTGGATTCAGGGTACCATGGGTGCTCAGGGAAGGGGAACCCAACCTGGCCTTGAGTGGGAGGTGAGAAGGCTTCCTGAAGAAATTAACTTAAGTCTTAAAAATTAAGTAGGGAGTCAGGCACAATGAACAGTGGAATGGGGGCAACAGGGTGCCATTCAGTGCATTGATGCAGGGAGCCCCACAGTGAAATGGCTGCCTGCTGGGTGGGGTCAACTGGCACAGGGCTGAAGGTGTGTAAAGGAGCTGCTATCAAGGCCAGCTTGCAAGATTGGGCAGACAGAGACAAAGGACCCAGAAACTGTGTGTAGCCTCTACTTTCTATAAAAGGATGAGGCAAAGAAGGATTCATGATTGGAGGTTGAGAGCTTGGTGTTCAGAAGGAGAAGAAGCAGATGTCATATTGACCTCGTGCTGGGATCACGTGGACATTCTCCAGCTGGGACCTACGTAGCCAACCTGTGGCTGCATGTGAGCAAGGGGGATATGGCAGGCACAGACCTGTGTGTACACATGTGTGAGCACTACACATGAGGTACATGTGAGCATGTAGGGCCGTGTAAAGGGGCTGGGTGCTTGTGTGCACAGCATTTGTTATGGCCTCAATGTTCTGGGTATGCAAAATCAGGGTAGCAATGAATGTAATGAACACAGGCATCAGCATGAGAAATCCCGGAGTATGAATCCTGACTCTATCACTTAGTAGCTGGAGAACTTTCAGAGTCACATCACCTCTCTGAGCCTCAGTTTCCCTCTTTGTAAAAATGGAGGAAATTTCATCTAACCTTTCCCTAAAACAAACAAGCCAACAAATAAATACATAGGACTAATGCTAATTTTGCATGGCTGTTATTAAGATTAAATGAGATGATGTATACAAAATAACAGGCAGGTAAGCTGCCTAAAAGTTTATTTTTCTTCCCCCTCAAACACTCTGCCTGCTCTTCACTCAGCCATCACCACATGAGTAACAATATATAAAGTGAACAATATACTACGCATATGTTGTATATACATAATGAAAATAATAATATACAATGAATAACATTATAATGTGAACCAACCAGTTAAGATTTTCTAAGGTATTCATAATTAGGAAATGGAAGATAGTATTCTTTGTCTACCCTAGCATGCTTTTTCTGTAATTACTTTTTTCCCTTAAACTAAGAAGCATAAAGACTTGCTATCCACCAATGGTTAGGATTTAAAGAAACGCAAACACTTGGGCATGGCCAGTTATTGCCATTACTAAGTTTCTGCTTAGTAGAAATTAATAACTGCAGAAGCTAACTCTGTTTCTTACTGATTTAAGAATTTCTCCAGCAACTGTTCTCAGGGCTCTAGGGAGCAATGGGCCCCTTGTAGCTAGCTCCTCTTGTGCTGTCAGCCATAACTGCCTCGGGAGGAAGATAGTATCTGTGAGTCTGTTCTAATCCCAGGAAAGGTCTTAACTCCTTGCACACTACGTTCTCATCTCTACTTTGCACACCAAAGAAGGCCTCTGTTATGGACTGAATGTTTGTGCCCCTCCAAAATTCATGTCACAGCCCTAACCCCTCAGTGTGGCTGTATTTGGAAATGGGGCTTCTAAGGAAGTAATTAAGGTGAAATGCAACCAGAAGGGTGGGGCCCTAGTCCCATAGGACTGGTGTCCCTATAACAAGAGGAAGAGATATGAGAGATCTCTATTCTCTTTTTTTTTTTTTTTTCTTTTGAGACAGAGTCTCGCTCTGTCGCCCAGGCTGGAGTACAATGGTGCGATCTCAGCTCACTGCAACTTCCGCCTCCCAGGTTTAAGTGATTCTCCTGCCTCACTCAGCCTCCCGACTAGCTGGGACTACCGGCGCATGCCACCACGCCCAGCTAATTTTTTGTATTTTTAGTAGAGATGGATTTTCACCATGTTAGCCAGGATGGTCTCGACCTCCTGACCTCATGATCCACCTGCCTCAGCCTTCCAAAGTGCTGGGATTACAGCCATGAGCCACTGTGCCCAGCCAAGAGATCTCTCTTCTACTACATACAGGAAAGGCCATATGAGGACACAGCTAGAAGGCAGCCATCTGCAAGCCAGGACAAGAGTACTCACCAGGAACCAAATTGGCAGCACCTTGATCTTGGACTTCTCAGCCCCCAGAACTGTGAGAAATAAATGTCTGTTGTCGAAGCCACCCAGTCTGGTATTTTGTTATGGCAGCCTAAGCAGACTAACACAACCTCTTTCTCCCCTGCCTTGTCTGCCCAGGGCAGCTTTGTTGCAGACCTACAGTAGTGCATGACTTGCATGCACAAGACAGGAGGTCACCCTGTGGCTCTTTCTCATCAGTGGGTCTCCAAACTGACACATTTTCTTTCTTTTCTTTTCCTTTTTCTTTTTTTCTTTCTTTTTTTTTTTTTTTTTTTTTTTTTTTTGAGACTGAGTCTCACTCTGTCACCCAGGCTGGAGTGCAGTAGTGCAATCTTGGTTTACAGAAACTTCTGCCTCCTGAGTTCAAGCAATTTTCCTGTCGCAGCCTCCTGAGTAGTTGGGATTACAGGCACCTGCCACCATGCCCGGCTAATTTTTGTATTTTTAGGAGAGATAGGGTTTCGCCATGTTGGCCAGGCTGGTCTTGAATTCCTGACCTCAGGTGATCCACTCACCTCGGCCTCCCAAAGTGCTGGGATTATAGGTGTGAGCCACCTCGTCCGGCCCAAACTGACATTTTATAGGGATTTTTCATCCTTAAAGTGATCTACTCAGCTCATTTCTTCCAAATCTGTATTTTACAGCACACTTTAAACTGGTGTCGCAGAGTTTTTGAGTGGTGATGGCAGCTGCCCTCTATGTCTGTGGTGTGCCGGCCCCTCATGCTGGGGAAAGAGGGGACGTGACCCTACCCTCACAGCAGGCTGGCCTCCTTTCTCTCCCAGAGCTGCCGTCCCTGCTCTGTGCTAACTAGCCCAATCCTAGCCTACAGCACCAGCTTGGGGTCTAGCCCACGTTTACCACACTTTAGCTCCCAGCTTGGATGACCAGCTGCCTGTGATTTACCCATTTGTGATACTGATTTCCAGAGGGGCCACCTGTGCTCAGTACCTGCATGACTTCTCTCCTCCAATCCTCTATTTAACCACCTTAAGTAGTTTCTCCTGTCTTCCTCATTTTATAGATTGCGGCTCAGTCAGACAAAATTCCTCTCTCAGAATCCGCTGGTGGAGAAGGAGCTGGGATTCACACCCAGCCTCCTGGTAATAATCTGCATTTCTCCTTCAGCCTTCAGGGCCTTGCCTGTCTACCCAAGAGTGATCCCCGCCTTCCCTCTGTCTCACTCGCCCTGTCCCCCCAGCTAAGTGCAGATGTTCACAGCTCTCTATTTTTAAGCACATTCCACTAGAAGTTCAGCAACTTGAATCCCCCCAGCACCTACGACAGAGCCTGCATATTTAGGTGAATAAATGAACTATTCTTGTCCTAACTAGACTTCAAGTCCTAGGAAGCAGAATGGCTATGCCTGGTTTCCACTCCCGCACCATAGTACCCAGCATAGCACCAGAACCGTGGGGCCTCTTCCCCAGCCCTTGACACTCCCAACCCTGCCTTCAGCTGCCGGAACTGACTTTTCCCATGATTGCTAATATTTCTTCCTTTTTTTTTTTCTCTAAATCAACATTAGCTTTGCTAGCTCCCTACCTTCCACCTGATAAGAATGGGGTACGGGATCTGTACGAACTTGGGGTGTGCTTTTCTCGCCTTGTCAAAACAGCAGCTCCTATCTGGCTGGCGATGGGCTGGGAGCCAGACCCCAACAATGGAGCCTTGTGAGCCGGCCCCGGGGGTGTGCTGGGAGCCCACGGTTGAGCACACACACAACCCTTCCTGGTGCCACCTTCTTATCTCCTGCCACCAAGCCCTTGCCAGTGGTGGGACTGTAACCCAACCCCCTGTAATTGCATGTCCCAGATAGAACATTCCTGGGCTCAGGCCACGGTTAAACATTGACTTAGGGTGCTGGGGGCAGTCATCACAGACTGTAGGTGCTCCTGATGGGGGAGGCGCTAGCTGGGTGTCCACCACTCCCCTCCCAGTGGTCCTGGACTAACTGAGAAAGCCACGGCACAGAGCAGGCAGGCTCAGCTGCCCACATCTTTGAGTCAGTGTGCTGGAGGAGCCGCGGGCCTGTTCAAAAAGAATCATTTCTTTTCTCCTGCCTGCCCTCTGCCTACCTCCCACTCTCCCTAGCTGCCTCTTCGGATTTCTCCAACCTTCTCATTTCTGCTTCTCCTTCTTGTCTTCCTCTCTCCTATCTTCGATCTCAGGTCCTCTCCCTCCTTGGGCCTGGCCTGTCTCTTCTCGTCTTCCCTTGTCCTGGGGCCCTTTCCCATGTAGTGAGCCCAGATGTGCCCAGGCAAAGGGGCTCTGCTCTCTCTTCTGCACCCCTCTGCCTCTGGCCTCTCTGGGAAATGGAAGGTGGGGTGGAGGAAGCAGGTGGCTTTAAGACCAGTGCCTCCCTCTGACAGGGCGGGGGGTCAGCTCAGCCGGGGCTGGTGGGGCCGCCCCTCTTCCTGTGCTTGTGTGGGGTGAGGTGCTGGCCCTGCCCTCCTCCCCAATCACTAGGGTCAGACGGTCGATTCTTCTTCCTGCCACCTTATGCACAGGGAGGCATGGCGCTGTTCCCCAGGTCTCACAGGGAGTACAGCAGGACATGCCCGGGATGCTTGTGTCTCATACCTCGGTGGGGCCTCTTTGCATTGGCACCCTGGCTGCCCAACCCACTCCCCAGCCCACTCTCAACCTAGGAGACCCTGTCATGGGTGGGGACTTTGTGGATGCTCTGCCGCGCCATGGGGTATCTCCTGCCCCCAGCACAGAAATCCTTTGCAGGCCTCCCAAAGCTATGCCCAGGGTGCCCCATAGCCTGCTGCCCTCAAGGAGTATGGGCTGCAGGGCCCAGGGCACCCCCACTCCCTGGGACACCCCTGGGGAGGGTTCTGATGCCAGGGCTCCTTTGCAAGGGGTTGGCACCTTTGCAGAATCTCCCAAAGAAGGAGGCTTCAAGCTTTGAAACTCCTCACTACAAGGCCAGGTTGGGCTGACCATATACACAGCTCCCTCAGCTGATGCCCTGCTTCCATTCCCACGCAGACCTTTTGTGCTTCAGGTTAAGGGTCACAGGCAGAAGGACAGGCCCAGGGGCATACAGAAAGGGCCTTGCCTTGCAGCACCTACAGTGAGCCTGAGAGGCCCCCAGAGTTAGGAAAAGGAGAATATCCAGCAGGTGCAGGAGCCAGGGAGCCAAGGAGGAAGGGAGCAGGCCAGAAGGGTGCTGAGGCAGCCTTAGGCCTCTGGGCAGCCATGGCTCCAGCCACTCAACTAACTCCGGGGTTGGGATAAGGTGGGCCTCAGAGCCAGGGCTTCTGTGGTGCGCAACAGGAGGCCCCATGGAGGACCCACACTGCTTTCTAGGCCACTTGTATAGAGCCTGTGGAGTCAGACTATTCAGATTCAAATCCTGGCCCTGCACTTATTAGCTGGGTGGGTTTTGGCAAGCCACTTTCTTAACATCCCAGAGTCTCAGTTTTCTCATCTGTAAAATGGATATAATAAAAGCACGTGTACACTGGGTTTTACATAAGAGTGCAAGAGACAATGCAGAAGTACTTGTTCATCATGCTTCAGAGGGCAGGTAGCTCTTCTGATTGTCATTATGGTTAGTAGTATCAGTAATAGAGTTGTGTCGTGGTTATATTACTGAGAGGGCTCACAGACTATTGTGTTGCTTCCTTGACCTGCAGTGCTTTCTCTTTTAATCACCCTAGTGTTTCCAAGCCCCCCAGGAGCTCTAGGACCCTGCCCAAGGACTCCCTGTATCCTGCCCTGAGTTGTTTTCCTGGTGTCCTATACCAGGGCTACTTGCTCTAGGCCCTAGACCACCCCCACCAGATCCCACACCAACCCTCATGGTCCCCAGATGGACTTAGGATGACTCTTTCTCCCCAGATGCACAGTTAGCTCCATGGAAAGGGCTTCTCCCTCTTTGTTGCCTCTAGTGCAGGTTTGGGGACTCAGCCTGTGCTATGGGTTAGGGGAGTGACTCAGTGTATTGAGTACCTCTCACTGTGTAACAAATTTCCTCAAAACTTAGCAGCTTAAAACAACAATAAATATGTATCATCTTGCACTGTTTCTGGGAGTCATAAATTTGGGAGAAGCTTAGCCAGAGGGTCTGCTCAAGGTCTGTCATGAGGTTGTAGTTAAGATGTCAGCTGGGGCTGCAGTCATCTGAAGGCTCAACTGGGGCTGGAAGAGCTGCTTGCAAGATGGCGCACTCACATGCCTGCCACTAGTGCTGGTTGCCGGCAGGAGGCCTCTGCTCCTGGTCACATGGAACTTTCTGTAGGACTGCTTGAGCATCCTTATGACATGGCAGCTGGCTTCCCCTGAACTAGTGATCTGAGAGACAAGGTAGGAGCTGCAATGTTTTTTATTATGACCTTGCCTTGGAAGTCACACATGGTCATTTCCAGAATATTCCAACGTTTCAACAGGGCAACCCTATTCAGTGTGGGAGGGAACTATACAGGAGCATGAATACCTGCAGACATCATATCAGGGAAAAGATGTTGAAGAGAAATGAAAGGAAATACAACTTCAGTTCTGAGAGATGGCAAACTGAGGGTGCTGGGGGGCAGGAGGACATGGAGGTAGGCATCTGCCACCCTGAATAGTACACAGACGTGGCTCTGACAGCTTCCCACATGGCCCTGGGTGGCACTGCCTGTGTCTGCCAGCCCCACCACTGGCCAGCGACAGATTTGGAACTAATTATGTAGAATTACATTTGATGGGGACATGGGCCATCGTTACCAGCTGGGCAGTGGGCCAAACTGTGGACAGAGCCCCATCATTGTGGGTTTCAGTTAGAGGGAGAGGAAGGTGAGCCTGATGCATGACGGCCTCTTTGCAAGGATCCCAGAGGAAAGAGCTGTCTCCCAAAGAGTGGAGCTGGTGGTCATGGAAAACAAAGTTGAGCAGTGATTGTATCCATCTATCCATTAATTAATTAATTAATTCACCCATTCATTCATTCATGCACACATTCATTCTCCAAGTAGTTATTGAGTGCCTCATCCATTCATTCATTCATGCACACATTCATTCTCCAAGTAGTTATTGAGTGCCTACTATGTGCTAGGTTTTATTAGTAAGAATAGAAATGAATGCAAAATGTGTTGAGGCCCCTGACAGTTTGTGTCTTTGGGCCGTACACTGCATATTCAAAGGGCAGCTCACCTCCTTACTCTCTGGGGGAAGGCAGAAGCTTGGATGCAGAGTAGGGGTGCTGTAGGGAAGAGGAGAGAGTAGAAAGAGCTATCTACCAGGTTGACTGGGTTGCCCCAACCATGGAGTGCTGGATATGAAAGGTGAGCTGAATATGGGAGCCATGTTGTTGTCCCAGTGGGGAAGCTGGGGACTGGGGGGACCTTGGCTCCTGTGGTTCCATGATGTCACCCCATCCTGCTCCTGGATCATTTGGGACATGACCCCATCTCAGCATCTTGATATCCAGTGCTGCCATATCCCCGTTGTGCAGCTGGGGAAGAACCAAAACTAAACCCCAGCAGCCCTGGCTTTGTATCAGGACCCATGGAAACTATATAACCATCTTCCACTTTCGTCACCTAAAGCAGGGGTTCCCAAACTCCGGGCCATGGACTGGTTCTGGTCCATGGCCTGTTAGGAACTGGACTGTGGCTTGTTAGGAACTCACAGCAGGAGGTGACTGGTGGGTAAGTGAGCGAAGCTACATCTGTATTTACAGCTGCTCTCCATTGCTTGCATTACCGCCTGAGCTCTGCCTCCTGTCAGATCAGCAAAGGCATCAGATTCTCATGGGAGCACGAACCCTATTGTGAAATGCACATACAAGGGATCTTGGTTGTGCACTCCTTATGAGAATCTAATGCCTCATGTTCTGTCACTGTCCCACATCACCCTCATATTGGACCATCTAGTGGCAGGAAAGCAAGCTCAGGGCTCCCACTGATTCTGTATTATGGTGAGGGGGCTCCCTGCCCCCGCCAGGTTCTGAGGAGGAATGGACAACTGGAGCAATGGCTGGAGATGGACATGGAAGCAAAGAACACAGGCATAGGCTCCCAAAAGTCTTCACTTTTGCTTTTGTTCTTGAGCCTTTAGCTGAGCACATGGCTCTTCCAGGTCATTGAGATAGCGTGGCTAACTCTGGCCAATGAGACATGAGTGGAAGTGCTGTGGGGGCTTTCCACCTCCCACCGGATGGATAAACCTCATGGTAGGAATCACAGCAGCTCTGGGGGACCCTGTGGTGTACTCCCCCATACCCCATTCAAAATAAGCGCTCCTTCCCCCAACTGCTAAGAGTATTGTCAGCTCACAGCTCAGCTGAATCTTTCCCCAGAAACTTGTCTCCCAAATGTAGGCCTCCTTCCTGGAGGTACCACACGGAGCCTAAATACAATGACTGCTGGGGTAATAAGCTCAGCACCTTGCCTTCACTGAGACAACTTTCAAGACCACCCCAGCTGCAGAGCTCCTGTGGGTGGCCAAGGCCTGTGTTGTGACTTTGTCACAGCTCAACTCTCCCCTGTACCCAGCCCTGTTTCTCTCATGCCTTTCCCTCATTCCATGAGGGATGACCCCAACAGATCTCCCAATAAAACCCCTGTCTGCAAATCTCTGTCTCTGAGGCAGTTCCCTGAGAAATCCAACCTATGAAAGATGCTGTCTTTCTTAGACTCTGCGATGGAAGTAACATACTGAGAATCATGAATTAATATGATATGAAAAGCCTGAGTCCTCCAAAACCACCAAACCACGGTATCAGCCCTAGACCATCAACTTACATGGTAGAAAAACAAACTTCTACTTTGTTTAAGCCAATGTAGTTTGAGGTCTTTTTGTGACAGCAGTCTAAACCATATTCTAATTAACAATGAATCGTGTATCTAGAAGTAGAGTGGTGGTGTGGCAAAATTCTAAATATGAGGAATGAGGGATATTGTCAGACAGTGGGCAGGTATTTCAGGTTGGAAGGCTGGTGACTCATATTACGCAAAGCATTTGGTAACACTATCTCTTATGATATCTTGGAAGGCAGTTCACATGCCTACTGAGCTTCCAGCTCTGGGCGAGGTAGCTAGAAAAGGTCCAATTTTTGGTAGGTATTGGCTTCTTTCCACTTGGTACAGGGCTCTGTAAGACAAAGAAACTCAGAATAGAGCCAGGAGTTTGCAAGCAGAGATGAAAGTGAATGCAGCCTTGCTGATGGAGCTCTTCCTGCCTGTGGCCAATCATCTAAGTTGACTGAGAGTCCTGTATTTTGAGCTTCCACATGTTGAAAAAGCCAACTGCTTTTGTGCTGTGAACTGAAGCAGTGGTCTCAAGTGGCTCCAAAGAGGCAGCTGTACCAGGAAATAAGACTATGGACCTAAGCCTTCCCCAATCAGCTCAGTTAAGAATTCCCTGACAGACAATGGGCGTTAGCCCAGCAGTCAAGATCAGATTGACAGTGTTGCTTTTTCACTCAGACCTACTGTGACAGATAACCTCAGAAACTATCATTAAGTCAAGCAGTGTGAGATGGACAGAGCACAGAGTATAGAGATGGCCAAACCAGTAAATAATATGCATATATGTGTCTGCAGACTTCAGAACTGTGTCTACCAGCTTTTTGGCTGAGTTAGTTGCTCATGGAACAGATTGGAAACCAAAAGAGTAGAAGTATACTGTACTGTTTAAAAAAAAAAAAAAACTATAGTGACATATAGTTCACATACAATAAAGCTCATACTTATTTTACACACTCTTAAAGTATACAATTTAGTTGTTTTTAGTACATTCACAGTTGTGCAACCATCACTGCTACATAGTTCCAGAACATTTTCATTGCCACACAAAGAAATCCTGTACCTTTTAGTAGTCAGTCCCAATTCCCTTCCCTCCACTCCTCCAGCCCCTGGCAAGCACTAATCTACTTTCAGTCTCTTTGGCTCTGCCTATTATGGACATTTCATATAAATGGAATTATATAACATATGGCCTTTTGTGTCTAGTTTCTTTCACTTAGCACAATGTTTTCAAGATTCATCCATGTTGTAGCATGTATCATTATTTCATTCCTTTTTATAGCTGAATAATATTCCATTGTATGGACAGACCACAACTTGTTTATCTGATCATCAGCTGATGAACATTTGGGTTGTTTCCACTTTTGGCCTCTATAAATAATGTTGCTATAAATATTCATATGTAAGTTTTTGTGTGGATATGTGTCTTCACTTCTTTTGGATATATATATGCCTAGGAGTGAAAGCACAGAGTTATAAGGTAATTTTATGTTTATCCCCTTGAGGAACTGCCAAACTGTTTTCCAGAATGGCTGCACCATTTGACATTACTACCAGCAGTGTGTGAAGGTTCCAGTTTTTCCTCACTCTCTTCAACACTTGTAATTATTTGCCTTTTTTATTACTGCCATCCTACTGGGTGTGGGGTACTTTCTCATTATGGTTTTAATTTGCATTTCCCTGATGGCTAATGATGTTGAGCATCTTTTCATGTATTTACTGGCCATTTGTTTATCTTCTTTGGTGAAATGTCTTTTCAAATCCTTTGCACACTTTATTTTATTGAGACAGGGTCTTGTTCTGTTACCCAGGCTGGAGTGCAGTAGCACTCATGGTTTACTGCGGCCTCAGCCTCCCAGGCTCAAGTGATCCTCCCACCTTAGCCTCCCTAGTAGCTGGGACTACAGGCATGTGCCGCCACATCTGGCTAATATATATATATATATATATATATGTATATTTTTTTTTTTTTTTTTTTTTTTTTTTTTTTTTTTTTGGTAGAGATGGGATTTTGCCATGTTGCCCAGGCTGGTCTCGAACTCCTGGACTCAAGTGATCTGCCAGCCTCAGCCTCCCAAAGTGCTGGGATTATAGGTGTGAGCCACCACACCTGGCCCCTTTGCATATTTTTAAAATTGGATTTTTTGTCTCACTGTTGAATTATAAGAGTTATTTTTATATTCTGGATACAAGTTCCTTATCAGACACAGGATTTGCAAACATTTTCTCCCATTCTGTAGGTCATATTTCTTACTTTCTTGCTGCTGTTCTTTGAAGCACAAAAGTTTTTTACCTGATGAAATCCAAAGTATCTAGTTTTTCTTTTTTTGCTTGTGCTTTTGGTGTCATATCTAAGAAACCAATGTTTCATCTTAGGTCATGAAGTATTCTAGTTTTAGCTCTTACGTTTAGTTCTAGGATCCATTTTCTTTTTACTTTTGGATCCATTTTCATTTACTTTTCTTTTTACTTTACTTTTATTTTTCTTTACTTTTTACTTTCTTTTTACTTTACTTTTATTTTTCTTTACTTTTTACTTTCTTTTTACTTTTTACTTTCATTTACTTTTTACATTTAATAACTATGTTATGGCATTTTTTCCTCTTATGAGCCATTTTGAGTTAGTTTTTATATGATGTGAGGTAAGGATTCAATAATACTTTTTGAATGTGAATATCCAGTTGTCCCAGCGCTATTCTTTCCTCCATTGAATTGTATTGACACCCTTGCTGAACATCCAGTTAACCATATATGTAAGGGTTCATTTTTAGAGCTCAATTCTGTTCCACTGATCTATATGTGCAGGCATATCCTTATACCAGTACCACACTGTCTTGATTACTATAGCTTAGTAATAAGTTTTGAAAGAGAGAAGTGTGAGTCTCCCTACTTCGTTCTTTCTTTTCAGGATTGTTTTTGCTATTCTAGGGATCAGCTTTCAGTTTCTGCAAAAAAAAGGCAGCTAGATTTTAATAGGGATTGCATAGACCCTGTAGATCATTTCCAGGAATATTGCCATTTTAACAATATTAAGTCTTCCAATCCATGAACACAGGGTGTCTTTCCTTTACTTAGGTCTTCTTTAATTTCTTTTAATGATGTTTGATGTTTTATAGTTTCCAATGTACAAGTCTTGAACTTCTTTTGTTAAATTTATTCCTAAGGATTTTGTGTTTTTCAATATGATCATAAATAAAATCATTCTTTTAAATTTAATTTTTGTATTGTTATACTAAGTTTTTGAAGAAGATTAATTAATGAAAGTCTGGAAGCCTGGCCTGCACAACTATGGGATTGCTCAACCCCTAAAGCAAGCCCTGAGCTTTCAAACCTGCACCAGCAGGAAATGGGCTATAAAACCCATACTCTCGCCACCCTAGCACACCATGTTCTCCAGTGGCCTCTTCAGATGTGGCCTTGGAGGACAACAAACAAGGAAGGACCTCCCAAAAGGCAGAGCCAGGAGCCACAGAGAATAATGGATAAAGGAAATGTTTCCCAGGAATTAGTACTAAGGAACTTAGTTCCCTGGGAGGCAGGGAATCTTTGGAATTCTTGCCCGGTGGGATTTACTTTATGCTTTGTGCCTGCTATGGGTTCTCCATTCGTCCCTTTCCAAATGGCAGTTTTAATTGTGGTTATCCTGTTTCTACATCTCTTGTATATTGCGTATGTGTTGTTGGCTGGTGGAGGGGGACAAATACATGACTTATCTTTTAGTTTATTCATCACTAGGCTAATATCTGAACTTCATATAAAGATCAGACAATTACCAAGAAAGCCTGGACCTTGAGACAGTTGCAGTAACGGACAGGACCTGTGGGCTTCATGCTTGGGTAGGGGGGATTAGCATGTTCCATGTTTGGGAAGAGAATGTGCATTTATTTGGGTAAACAAAGGTGCAGAGTATAGTGGAGATTGCTAGCTTTTTGTCAATATCCATTCTCCTCTTCTTCAATAGTGGTGGAATACTCATCTGAACACATTTAACAGCCAGCTAGAAACTCTATTTCCTAACTTCCCTCACAATTAGGTATGTCTCATGACCAAGTCTGAGGCAATGGAATGTGAGCGGACATGATGTGTGCAACTTCCAGGCCATGCTCTTCAAAGGAAGAAGGTATATCCTCTTCCTCTTTTTCCCTTTCCATCTGGCTGGAAGGTGGAAGTGCTGTCAGTGGCTAGAGCAACCACCTTGGAGGGAAACCTCAAGTTAAGGGTGGGAGAGCAACAGAAAGAAGCAGCTGTCTTATCACTCTGGTTCTGCCTTCCCAGACTCCTGCAGGAGCTAACCTTCTGCCTGTTTGCAACACTGTCTTTTGGGGTCTCTTTGTTACAGCAGGCTAATTTTTGTTTATTTATTGATTGATTGATTGATTGATTTGTTTGAGACAGAGTCTCCGTATGTTGCCCAGGCTGACGTGCAGCAGTGCAATGTCAGCTCACTGCAACCTCCACCTCCACTGCTCAAGTGATTCTCCTGTCTCAACATGCCAGTACCCGAGATTACAGACGCGCATCACCATGCCCGGCTAATTTTTGTATTTTTAGTAGAAATGGTGTTTTGCCATGTTGCCAGGCTGATCTCAAACTCCAAGCCTCAGGTGATCCACCCGCCTTGGCCTCCCAAAGTGCTGGGATTACAGGCATGAGCCACCATGCCTGGCCTGCAGCCTCACTTCTGCTCTAATAAAAATTTGTTTCTCAGATGGGAGAGACTGGAGCATGTTTGTGTGCTGATGGAAATAATCCATGAGAGAGGGAGAGATTGAGAAGACAGAGCGAGGGGATAACCAAAGGAACAAAGTCCTTGAGAAGACAAGAAAAGATGGGACTCAGGAAATAAGACATGGAATTTTTCTTTGACTGAAGAAACTAGGATGCTTCTTCCATTGTGATTGAAAGAATGAGAAAAGATTGGTACAGACGAAGGGAGATTGTGGATTCTGTGGAGAGACAATGAGGAAGGATCAGTGTATTTGCAAGAGAGTAATGTAATGATAACCTATGGAATCTTTATTTTGTTGGACTCCCCACACCTACCCACAGCACTGGTTCCCTGATACACTCATCATTGACCCATGCATGGTTTACTTTTATTTAATTAGCTATTAATTTTTTCTTTTTATTTTTAGAGACAGGGTCTTGCTCTGTCGCCCAGGCTGAAGAGCAGTAATGTGACTATTGCTCACTGCAGCCTAGAACTCCTGGGCTTAAGCGATCCTCCTGCCTCAGCCTCCAGAATAGCTAGGACTACAGACAAGTACCACCATGCCTAGCTAATTAAAAATTTAAAAAATTGGGGGTTGGGGCAGGGCATGGTGGCTCACGCCTGTAATCCCAGCACCTCCAAGCCTGTCTGCTTCCTGGCCTGGGTTCCCTGCCACAGCTCTCTGTCCTCATGGAGCTCTCCAGTCCATTGGTACCTTCACTCCTTCTCCATCCATCAACCCCTCCTGCTTTTACTTCTCTCCTTTCCCACTAAGATTCTGTGGCTCATGAATGAATCAACTGGCAATATTCACGCAACAGAATATCTTAAGCAGGCTAAACACATGAAACAATGTGGATGAATCTTAGCAAGATACAATTAAGCCAAATTGTATCTTCCAATTGGCTTTCCAACTGGAAGGCCGAGGTGGGTGAATCACTTGAGGTCAGGAGTTCCAGACCAGCCTGGCCAACATGGGAAAACCCTGCCTCTACTAAAAATACAAAAAGATTACCTGGGCATGGGGACACATGCCAGCTTCTGGGAGGCTGAGGCACGAGAATTGCTTGAACCCGGGAGGCAGAGGTTGCAATGAGCCAAGATCGTGCCACTGCACTCCAGCCTGGGTAACAGAGCAAGACTCTGTCTCAAAATATATATAAACTTTTCTGATATAGTTTGGATGTTTATACCCTCCAAACTGCACATTGAAATGTGATCCCCAAAGCTGGAGGTGGGACCTAATGGGAGGTATTTGTGTCAAGGGTGCAGATCCCGCATGAATGGCTTTGAGTGTAATGAGTGGTAAGTAGTTCACGTGAGATCTGGTTTTTAAGAAAAGCCTGGCACCTTCTCCCTTCTCTCTTGCTTCCCTTCTTGCCATGTGACACACTTGCTCCCCACTCTGACTTCCACCATGAGTAAAAGCTTCCTGAGGCCTCGGCAGAAGCTGAGCAGATGCTGATGCCATTCTTGTAAAGACTGTAGAGCTGTGAGCCAAATAAGCCTCTTTTCTTTATAAATTACCCAGTCTCAGGTATTCCTTTATAGCAATACAAAGGGACAAACACAGACAGGGTCTTGCTGTGTTGCCCAGGCTGGTCACAAACTCCTGACCTTAAGCAATCCTCCCACCTGGGCCTCCCAAAGTGATGGAATTGCAGGCGTGAGCCACTATATCCAACCTAATTTGTTATTTTTAAAGATGTAATAGGCACCTGCAAAACCACCACCCAAACAAAACTTCTGACAGTGACCCCCATTTCACCATATTGTTCCCCTTCCCCTACCCATCCCCTTGCCTCTCTCCACTCAAAGTGGTCATCATCCTGAATTCTGTGTACAAGGTGCAACCGTGCTTTCCTTTTTATATGGTTTTATTGCATCTCTCTATATTTTCTTTTTCTTTTTTTTTCTTTTTTTTCTTTTTTTCTGAGACGGAGTCTCGCTCTGTCGCCCAGGCTGGAGTGCAGTGGCATGATCTCGGCTCAGTGCAAGCTCCGCCTCCCGGGTTCACGCCATTCTCCTGCCTCAGCTTCCGAGTAGCTGGGACTACAGGCACCCACCACCAAGCCCGGATAACTTTTTTGCATTTTTAATAGAGACAGGGTTTCACCGTGTTGGCCAGGATGGTCTCGATCTCCTGACCTCGTGATCTGCCCACCCCGGCCTCCCAAAGTGCTAGGATTACAGGCGTGAACCACAGCGCCCAGCCCGCATCTCTCTATATTTTCAAAAATTATAGACATATTTTTATATTAGCTGTCTTTACCTTCATTAAAAGGGTATCATTCTCTACATAACCTTTTGGGACTTAAGTTTTTGGCTTAATTGTATCTTGCTAAGATTCATCGACATTGTTTCAGTTGCTGTGGCTCATGTGCTTAGCCTGCTTAGGATATTCTGTTGTGTGAATATTGCCATTGATTCATTCATGAGCCATGGAATCTTAGTGGGAAAGGAGAGAAGTAAAGGCAGGAGGGGTTGATGGATGGAGAAGGAGTGAAGGTACCAACGGACTGGAGAGCTCCATGAGGACAGAGAGCTGTGGCAGGGCACCCAGGCCAGGAAGCAAATGGGCTTGGGGGTGATATATAGTCGAAGGAGAGAATTTCTGATTTCAGAAGGAGTGAGGCTTTCTGGTGACTGTAAAGTTTTCAGGGATAAACGAATAGCTAAGGCCAGAATTCTTTGAGATGAGGGTGAAGGAAGCCAGAGGTCAGAGTGCGGACATAGGTCCCTCCATTTTTCTAGGATACTGGCAGGAGGTGGAGTGGAGAAGAGGAGGTTGGAGCTGGAGTTTCCAGTGCATGGGAGCTGGGAGCTGACAGGGAGAGGAGGGAGGGCAACATAGCAGGAGGCAGGAGTGTCAGTGGCGCAGGGTTTTATAAGAGGTTGGGAGTAATGTGCTGGAAATGACAATGAGGAATAATAAGGCCAAAACTCCACATCTTTTAGCCCTGAGGTGCAGAGAATGTGAGATTAAACAGCCTCCACTTGGAGGTGGTGGTTCAAGGCCTGGAGGAGGAGGCAACATTCCAAAAAGAGCTTGAAGATACAGGGGAGTGTGCTGACCGTGGCGCAAGAGCTCCAGCATGCATTGTGCAAGAGCAGAGGGGAGGGGCAGAGCCGATGGGGCAAGCAGCACATCAGGACTCAGCTTCGGCAGAGAAGGAAGTCAGTCGGGCTGTCCTGGGAGGGGAGGTGACCCCAGGTCTCATGGGTGGTCAGTCTTGGCTACACCTCACAAGCTACAAGTGGCTGCATGTTTTCACAGTGGCATGGGTGTGGAGGGGTCAGCTGTCAGCATCTCGCCCCCATGCTATCATGTCACCAGCCCCATTTGTCCCTCGGGCTTAATGTACCCCACTGGAGAGAGAATCAAAAAGTCACTGCTCCTTCCTTGGCTACAATGCTGGTGTCAGGGGAAACCAGTGTGGAGAATTGTTTTGGTTAGCGGTGGGGACAAAGGCCTAGCCTGGAAACCGAACACTGTCTTCCTGCTGGCTCAGGTGGGGCTTGTGGGCTCCTGTGGCCCTGGGACTCCCTGGGACTTCTGACTCCGGTCTGAGGATAGAGGCACCATTTTGGCTCTTAGGGAGCCCCCAACTAAGGGAGGAGGCTTGAAGGAAAGAAGAAGGGGTGAAGCCAGCCACTTGGGAGCCAAGGAAGGCTCTAAGAGAAACGTGGGCCTGCTTGCCATTGTTCTTCAACACAATCAGCACAGAAAGAAAGGAAGAGCCCAGCCCAGCCTCAGCCTGTTTTTGTGGTCCTGAGGCAACGTTTCCTTCTGGATTTTCCCAATTGGGCTCCACTCAATTATGCTTCTTTAATTATGAAAGCTTGGAATGAGGGTGGGGCATTGTTAGACACAGAACCATTCGATGACTTTCTGTGCCCCGTCTCTTACACTGGCCTATAGCACGTCACAGATACTGCCTCTCCCCAATCTCAGGAGCCCAGGACCTATCACACTAGTGTTCTTTTGCCCTCTGGCCCTTTCTTTTTCTAATTATATATTTTAAAAACTGTTTTAAAAATAACAGAGACGAGGTCTCCCTATGTTGCCCAGGCTAGTCTCGAACTCCTGGGCTAAAGGGATCCTCCTGACTGGGTCTCCCAAAGTGCTAGGATTACAGACATGAGCCACCACACCTGGCCCTCTGGCCCTTTCTTTTTCCTCCCTTAGGCCACAGAGGATCTGGGTGGGATCCTAGGGCTGGAACATTCCCAGGTACCAGGAGAAGAGCAGTTCTTCCTGAATGTTCCATTGCTCAGCTCTCGGTAACTGGGCCTCTAGTTCCCTGTCTCAGGGGGAGACGGGCTGTTTGCTGCGCTAGCCCTTACGTTAATGCGAGGAGCACCACTCCCATACTCAGTGGAGGAGGGAGCGATACCTTCACATTTCTCCATGGCTCCAGCACTCAGGACCCCCAGCAGATGAGAGGGCCATGACCTCCACTCCATAGCAGCTCCTGAGCTGAAGCAAAGGCTGCTCTAACCCGTATGCAAAATCCTTTGAACATACCAGTGGCATGGAGTCAGGATAGAGGGGGAAAAATGAAATTAACTTCTCAGGTTAGGGTGAGCAGATCTGGCCCTGTTAGGTGTCTTGCCACACTCTCAGCAGAGGGGAGGCTGGCCACAGGCAGAATTTTTCTGGATTTGGATGCAGGGAACAAAATTAGTCCTCACACAAGAGATAGAGTTTCAGCCCACAGCAATGTGTACCAAGAGAAGGTCCCAAGATGTATTAATTAGGATATAGACTTGGCTGATATAACAGAGATCCAAAATAAGAGTGGCTCAAACAAGATCGCTGTTTCTTTCCTCTTGTGCAACAGTCCAGGCATAGACAGTTTGGGATCAAAATAGTATCAGGCACTTGTACTTCTTCTAACTCACTTACTGATGTGCCATCCCTCTGGTCCTGCCCTCACCCATAGGATCCAAGATGACACTCCATCACATAGGCTTCTAGCCTGCACGAAGTTGGGGAGAGAGGGCCCCAGAAGCAGGTTCTCTCCTTTTAAGGACACCATCTGGAAGTCACAGACAATGCTTTTGCTCATATCCCATTGGCCAGAACTGTTAGACATGTAGCTATACTTAGCTGCAAGGGAGCCTGGAAAATGTAGTTTTTATTCCAGTAAACACCTTTTGGTCTATGAGAGAAAAGGGAAAATTGTTCTGGGGGCCAACTAGCAGTTCTGCCACATGAGACCCCAAGTACACAGCAAGAAGGTTCTTGGATTTGTCTGCCATGTGCCCCACTCCCCCTGGCCACAGGGGCAGGCAAGGGACTCAATCTGGGAAAATGACCTCTGACCACAGCAATTGCCCAGAACTGGACACATGATTCAAGTGGATCCAATCAGGGTTCTTCCTCAGGCCTTTTGCTTTTCTTTTCTTTTTTTCAAAAAAGTTGAAGGCTGGGCATGGTGGTTCACACCTGTGATCCCAGCACTTTGGGAGGCCAAGACGGTGGATCACCTGAGGTCAGGAGTTTGAGACCAGTCTGGCCAACGTGGCAAAACCCCATCTCCACAAAAAATACAAAAATTAGCCGGGTGTGGTGGTGCACCTATAATCCCAGCTACTCGGGAGGCTGAGGTGGGAGAATCGCTGGAACGTGGGAGCCAGGGGTTGCAGTGAGCCGAGATTGAGATTGCACCACTGCACTCCAGCCTGGACGACAGAGCAACACTCCATCTCAAAAAAAAAAAAAAAAAAAGTTGAGACAGGGTCTTGCTCTGTTGCCCAGGCTGGAGTGCAGTGGCATGATCATGGCTCACTGCAACCTTGAACTGGGCTCAAGCAATCCTCCCACCTCAGCCTCTGGAGTAGATGGGACTACAGGCACGCACGACCACATCCGGCTAACTTAAAAAAAAAAAAAATTCATAGAGACGGGGTCTCACTATGTTGCCCAGGACGGTCTCAAACTCCCCTCAGGACTTTTTCTAAGCAAGCCTGGTAGCAGACAGTACAATTTCCTTTCTGGTCATGAGACTGTGAGGATGTAATGCTGAACCGACCACAGGCATTATTCCTGCAGGGGAAGGAGGGTGCACAAAGCCCATTTGCGGAAGAAAGGGTGTTGCTCACCTCTGAGAGACAGAGAGAGAAGAGACAGGAGGTGATAGTCTGGTGGGTGAGTAGGCCTCATTCTGGCCTCTTCAGGGCCTGCTCTGTCTTTGCCCTGCTTGAGCCAATAGTCAACATCCCCCTCTCACCAAGCTGATTCAAGTCAAGTTTGAGCCATTCGCAACCCTTAGTACTGCAAGCCGCGTTTTTTTTTTTTTTTTTTTTTTTTTTTTTTTTATCCCTGGGGAAATGAGTGAATGGCTGGGGGACACAGCTGAGATGGAAAATCTGGAAGGAAAGTGCTCCAACCACGCCGTCTCTCTCCCCTGCACATGTGCCCTGTGGCACCTCAAAGTTCCCTTCACCGCGGAGGCTGCTGGGTTTCTCCGCATTTTCCCATCCAGCCCCGCCGCCGCCTGCCATCCAGCCCTCCTCCCAGGCTTGCTGCAGCCGGCCCAGCTGCGAGGGGGCCCGAGGACGGCACTGCACAAAGGCCCCATTCTCAGCTGGCGGGGGCTGTTATCAGCCCAGCCTAAACTGTGAATCACCTGCATCTGTGGGCAGCCCTGTGGGTGGGGCTGCTTGATTTCCCCTCTGGGCCTCCCTTGGCCAGAACCTGTGAGTGGGGGCGGACTCTCAATAAAGGTTCATTGTTTTCCATCCCCTCTGCTATCGGGTTCTGTGACTGCCTTCCCGAGCCCCTTCCTCTGCTCCTCATTCAGCCTCTTCTCCCTGGACCCTGGCCCTCTGAGCACCATTCCACACCCCACCTCACCTTGATTATCAGCAGAATCCCTTCAGGAGAGCCCAGGTGGTGACCCGGGAAAGCAGGAGAAGGGCATTGGCTGGCTTTGCCTCCAGGGCAGTCAGAATGAAGGCGGATCTGAACCGCTGGCTGGCTCCCCAACTTACTTGAGGTCCCCCACTGACTGCAGACAGCAACCAAGCTGTCCTGGGCCTGTGGTGTCACCTGGTGGTCAGCCTTGGAACTTGTCTGGGAGGTTGGGGGGGGGGGGGGCGGTCACACATGTTCCGTAATCTCTCTATTCTTCCCTGTTTTTTGTTTTTGTTTTAAACTGTAATGGGTTCAGTTCTGCTCATTCTTCCTCAGGCCATCTTTAAAACAGAAATTCCAAATCCCAGAGCCTACTTCGGTCATCTCCCTTTCTTCCGACCTTACCCCAATTACCTCAAGAGGTCCTTTTCCCACTGTATGTTCAGTCTACCCAGCCAACGTGCTGACTGAGACAGGGCAGGCCCACCCCCAAGTCAAGAAAAAGGCAGACTGAAAGTCAGAGAGATAACTAGAATGATGAAGAATAGAAGTTTTCGACTTCAAAAGCCCTTGAAAACTTTCCTTCAGAATGCCACACCCATCTGCCCATCCTCCTGTTAAGAACCCTGCTTTCCTTCAAGCATCAGTTTTCAAGAGAAAATAGGTTGACTTTTCCAGATCCGCATTGTGATTTTTCCATTTCTACTACAGGTCTTGCAACAGTAGGGTTTTCTGTCCTTCCCGTGTAGCTGAATGGCAGCCCAGCTTTGAGATGGGTTTAATGGGCATTTATTATGCCCCAACCTGGAAAACTGAGCCCCATTCATAACCCTGAGTTCTCGACTTTCTATTGGCTCATTGTGTGAAATGCCAAACCACTTCATAGAAACATTTTGAAATCTAACCCATTGGAAAGTCGGGACAGCCTGACGAAGATATTTAAAGGAAAGGTCATGAGATGCTTTCTGAGCAGGATGGTGGCTGCTGCTTCTTGTTCCTGTTGCCATTTCAAACAGGCTAGTATATGAGAACTATCTGATTTCCCCAAAATGGAAATCCTGATCCTTGAAGAAGTCTTGAGGCTTCCGAAATGGGTTGTGCCAGTGGCCTAAGGTTGGGGGAACGAGGTGTGGAGTGATGAGTTAAGTAGCGATGTGAGCACAGAGACTAGGCAGAGAGGATGTGAGGAGGCCGGGTTGAGTGGAGGATCTGGAGAGAGTTTTAGTGCCAAGACTGGAGACAGACCCAACTGACTTCTACCTGACAAGAAGGGCCCAGTGGAAACACATGGAGACTCCAGGCAGGTGAATAATTTCATATCCTACCAAAGCCATATTCTTTTACTATGTTCCACTTTAGTGTAGCAGAAACTGATCTGTGCTTGGAGGAATGAGGGAGTAGACAGAGAAGAGGGTCCCCGTTACCAAGTAGGCAGAGAAGAGGGTCCCTGTTAGCAACACTCCATCTCCTCTGAGCGGTTCAGCTCTCACCCCAATGAGACAAAAACTCTGCAGAGACCTTCCCCACCTTCCTTAGAGACTGACTGCTATTATACTAGCCTGCTCTTTTGGGGGTATCCCTAATCACCCTATTGCAAACCACTCATTAAAACATGCAACTGTCCCATAGAGGAGTTGCAGATATGGTTTTCTTGGTCTCCTTTTATTTCCAGTGATGTTGGAGTGCCTCCGAAAGATGGCACCCTGGGAAGCTTCTGGGTGCTGGGCACTGAGCATGTTATCTCATTTCATCTCCCTGCCAGGGCACTATCATAAGCTCCATTCCACCTGGTGCAACTGAGGCTGAGGGCAGTTAGGTTAGCTGCCCAAGAGGTTAAGAGCTGCTGAGAGCTGTTGAGAGCTGCCATCCTACCTTGGAGCTGAGATCTGAATTCAGCTTCATCCATCTTAGTCTGAAGATCTTCACTTCCTCCCCTTCCTGCAGGACAAAATGGAAAGAAAAAGCCCTTGAGAACAGGAGGGTAGGACCTATGAGGGGCCATAGGGGGTGGAGGTTCGAACAGGGAGCTACGAGCCCACTCAGATATCCAGTGGGCAGCAGGGAGGAAGACTGCCTGCCCAGGACGGCCACAAAACAGCCCTGGGGGGGTGAGGGGGGTGTGAGGAGCCAGCATGGGAAAGTGAAGGAGCCTTGTTCTGTAGAGGGAAACCCCCTCCTCCGCAGCAGAAACACTAGAAGTGTCCACTGATAGAACAGGGTGGGCCTGGGTCAGCAAAAAGCCCAAGAGAGATCTTTGCAGGAGAAATCTCTCCTTCGGTGCTGGAATTGGAGAGTGAATAAAGTCCTTTGGGCCAGGTGGAGTCAGCAGTGCCGAAAGCCTGGGAGGTGGCCCTGGTTGGTCCCTCTTTTCCCATCTCCCCTCCTTCAGCTCCAGAGCCAAGGAGGGGCTGGCCGTCCGTTCCTGGCCTCACCAGCAGAGGTCTCCAGAGCAGGGAGCAGAGGGCTTGGGGTGGGGGAGGGAATGGAAGGATGCCCTGCACCTTCCGCCCTGCTCACAGATGTCCAGGGGTCCACTGCATGGGTGGTCTTGACTCATGCATAGGTGTGTCTGTATTTGTGTGCATCCGTGTGGGGGTATGTAAGTGCGGGAAGTGGGTGTATGTGCATTTATGGGTGTGTAGGTGTCTGTGGGTGCATGCATGTTTGTAAGTGTGCTGGGTGGTGTCTCTGCGTGTATGTTTGCCCATTCCATCTTCGCACATGTTGGCACTGCTTGTGGCCCTGCGTATATCTGTGTGCAAGTGAGTCCTGCATCATTTGTGCATAGTTGTCTATGCTTGGGCTTGTAAGGAGAGAGGAGAAAAATAAGTGACCTGGGGAAGGGGATGCTTTGACATCTCAACATTCTAGGAGGCAGGGATGTGGGGTCGTCTGTACTGTCCCATGTCCACACACACTGACCCAACCTGGCCACCTCCTGCCCCTTCCTTAGCACAGACCCTGAATTTGTTTGTTAAAACCTCATTTACAGCAGGTGTTGCTGACAACCAGTTCCCAGGAAGCAAGGCCTTCCAGAGCGCTCTCTCGCTCGCTCTCGCGCTCTCTCTCTCTCTCTCTCTCTCTCTCTCTCTCTCTCTCTCCCTCTCCCTCTCTCTCTGTAGCTGGTAAACATTATTCTCATTGTTGCGGGGGGCAGTGGAGCCACAGAGTATGGTGGGAGGCAGAGAGCTGCAGTGGGGGAACCACATGCCCATGGCTGACTCACCCATGGGTGAGCAAAGGCAGTGGCCATGAGGGAAAGTGCAAGGAAAAGCCCTGGACAAGGCCTAGCTCTGCTCCTGGCCTGAGGCCCTGCACTGGAGCTCAGTCAGTGCTGGGGGGCAGGCAGAAGGGAGGCCCCTTACCCATGTCACGCTGAAAATCCTTGCCGCAGGGAGTAGGGCAGAGTCTGGAGCCTACCACATGATGGGAAGGTGTGTTTACTTCCCACTGCTGCTGTAACAAATCGCCACCAACTTAGCGGCTTAAAGCAACACAAATTTATACAGCTCTGGAGGCCAGAAGGGCAAAATCAGCATCTTTGGGCTAAAAACAAGGTGTTGGCAGGGCTGCTCTCCTTCTGGAGGATCTAGGGGAGAACCCATTTCCTTGCCTTTCCCACTTCTAGAGGCCACCTGCATTCCTTGGCTTGGGGCCCCTGCCTCCATCTTCAAAGTCAGCTGAGCCTGGGCAGTATAGTGAGACCCCATCTCTACAAAAATTTTAAAAATTAGCCAGTGTGGTGGTACACGCCTGTAGTTCCAGCTACTCAGGAAGCTAAAGTGGGAGGATCACTTGAGCCCAGGAGGCAGAGGTTGCAGTGAACCGAGATCACACCACTGCACTCCAGCCTTGGCAACAGTGCCAGTCCCTGTTTCTAAACAAAAACAAACAAATGAAATCAGCTGCACGTGATATCTTCAAGTCTCCCTTCTGTCTGCTCGCACATGCCTTTTCACTGCCTTTGACCTTCCTGCCTCCCTCTTATGTGGACCCTTGTGATGATGTTGGGCCTTCCCAGATAATCCATGATAATCTCCCCATCTTAAGACCCTTAACAGAATTACATCTACAAGTCCCTTTTGCCTTTGAGGTGACATTCACAGGTTCTAGGGATTAGGATGTGGACATCTTCAGGGGGCCATTATTCTAACAAAGAGGACAATCACAGACAGACTGGCAAAAAGGGGTGACATTCCTATTCCCCCCATGGTTTCACCCATTGAGGACCCGCATTCCTGCTGAAGAGCCCGCTGGCCCTGGAGGGCTTTCCCCTGTGCTTTCCCTCATGGCCACTGCCTTTCTCCCCGACACGGGTGAGCCAGCCATGGGCATGCATTTCCCCCACTGCAGCTCTCTACCTGCCTCCCACAATACTGGCCCTGGAGTGAGCAGCTCTTGGCACCAGGAACTAGGGCTCACTGGCTGGGTAAAGGGTCATTGTCCTCGCTTCCTACCCTCCCAGCAGCCCGTGGCCAGGCACCAGCTATGACCCCAGCTCACACCAAGCCCTTGAGCCCCTAAACCCCTGAGCCTCCCTCATCCCCACCCAACCGGCTCCACATCTAGCCCCCGCCAGACCTCAGGCTTGTGTCCACTCTCCCTGAACGCTCCTCTCTGGCTCTCCCTCAGTCCCCTTACCCCTCTGGATTCCCGTCCTGTCACGGCCCCCACTCCTGGCCCCAGAGGCTGTCTGTCTCTTCCTGACTGTGGGGCTCCACCCTGCTGGCTTCAGGCCCCCCAGCCCTCTCCACATGTGCGAAAACCACATGCATGGGCTCTCTTCGGCTCGCCACAGAAAGCCCAACAGCAGGACCCAGAGTGAGGAGGATCACGCACGTTAGCCCAGCCGGGCCAGTGCTGGGGGGCCTGAGGGCACTGCCAGCCCCCCAGATGCCTTACAAAGCCAAACTCCCATCGTGGTCAGCCTCACATCTGGGATAAGGCTGGAAATTCCAATGGCTCTCGGCTGCTAAGAAATGTGTTGAATCTTCCCAGAGATTTGGTGGAAGTGGGAAGCATTGTGTGGTAGGGGTGGGGCCACTCCCGCCATAGGACTCCCAGAGCTCTGGGGAAGTCCAGATGGCACAATGTGTCCACAGTGGCTGTGTTGGTTCCCCCCACCCCCTCTGCCTAGCTCCCCGCCCGCTGAAGATGAAAGGTGCCCAGGGCCAGGGTGCAGCTCATTTCTCGCTGGCACCCACAAGTCTGTCTACTGGTGTGCATGTGAAACTCTGACGTTTCTGATAGAGACTTGAGTTATTTTTTCCTGGAGAGAAAAATGTTGACATGACTTTGGAGGATTGTCTGCCTAGAAAATCCCCAATGCACGAAGAAGACAAGTTCCTCCCCTTCTCACACACGCACCCCTGCGCACTCACGCACATTCCCTGGAGGCCCTGGTCTGTGGGCCTCCTTGGGGCCTCACCTCCGCCTCTAGCCCACGTCCATCCCGTGTGCGACAGGATTCCATAGAGCTGGGGCCTGCAGGGTCCCGGAGCAGGATCGGCCGCTGGCTAGTTCTGCGTCTCTAGGTGGAACCTATACTTATTAGGTTTCTGCAGCTGCTGTAGCAAATCGCTACTAACCAAGGGCCTTAAACAACACACGTTTATTCTCTTACAATTCTGGAGGCCAGCAGCCCTTAAATCAGTCTCAATGGGCTAATGTCAAGGTGTCGGCAGAGCTGGTTCCTTCTGGAGGCTCCAGGGGAGAATCCACTTCCTTGCCTTTTTCAGTGTCTAGTGGCCACCTCTATTTCTCAGCTTGTGGTCCCTTCCTCCATCTTCAAAGAGCATCACTCTAATTTCGGATTCCTTCATCGTGTCACCTTCTTCTCTGATTCTGACTCCTTCTGCATCCCTCTTCCAAGGACACTGAGATTAGGTTGGGCACACCTGGGTTATCCCCATCTGGAGATCCTTGATTGCACGCGCTAAGTCCCTGTTGCCCTGTTAAGAGAACATATTCACAGGCTCTGGGGATAAGGATGTGAACGTGTTTGGGGGCCATTGTTCAACCTTCCATAGCCAGTGTCCCTCTCAGGGCCTCAAGCTTCAAGGGACAGTCTCCCTGGGCCTCTTCCAGCTCTGATGCTAAAACAAGAGTCTCTTGCCTTATCGGACGTCTGGTCAAATGGGCACGGCCCCTCCCCTCTCTACTCAGTGCTGAGTCCTGGGACTCGTCAGAATGGAGGTCCTCTCTACCCTGCAAGCAGCCCCAGGAGTCTGATGCCCTGATCTGGGGCCCTCAGCCCTCAGCCCGTGCTGAAGGAGATCCTCCATCTGTGAAGAGTTAACCCCAGCCCAACTTAGTTTAGGATCTTAATTTCAACCTTCCCTAAGGCAGAGTCCTCCTCTGCCCACCTGTGATGTGGGGAGAAGAATCCTAGACCCTACGCAAGGCTGCTGGGTAGGGAGTGGAGATCTCTGAATGGGAGAGGCAGGGCTATGAAACTCACTCCTAACAATAATCCACGTTGGCTTAAACTCCCAGAGCTCAGGCCACCCAGGCACAGCCTGGCCTCCCCAGCAGTGTGCTGGGCTCTGGTCCCTGAAGTGCCCAAGAGCCCTTTGGAAGCCATGTGAGGCTGTTTACTATGGCAGAAGGGCTTCCTAGGGCAGATGGTACTGTGCTTTATGCCCAGAAACAGTAAAATGCTGAGTCTACCTACACATACCTATGGGAAGATGCAGCCACAGTTTGGTTCATGTTTTTCCACTGCTTAACATTTTTTCACTCTTCTCTCCTGGATAGCTCTCAGGCATCACCTCCTCCAGAAAGTCTTCCTTGAAGTCTGCGGAAACTAAATTCCCTCCTTGATGCTCCCTAAATCCCACAGACAGGTTCATTGTGTCCAGGTGAGGAACGGATTTTGTCCTCTAGACAAGAGAAAGCCACTCACTGCCTTGGAGGTGCTGAGAGTAGGAGAAGAGCAGTGTCTGCTGAGATGGTGCTGGGCTCTGCCAAGCCTGCCCTCCCGGAGGACCCTCACCCCACCTCACCTCTCCCGCAACAGGAGGACCCAAGGCCAGGAGGGAAGACTTTATGATCTTGAAGAGTCAAAGCTTCTTGTCCCTGGGAGTAGGTCAAATCGCCTTCTCTTATCACCCAGATGTTGCTGCCAAACTGCTACAGGACCCAGACCTAGGTGGGTGGCCACCTCACCCCCAGAGTGAGGTACCAGGTACCAGTGGGTCTACCCTGTATGCCAGACTGAAGGTCAGGACAAAGCTGGAACCAGCTGTGTGCAGCTGGAGGTAGGGCAAGTGTGCCTAGCTCTCTGGAATCTTTGCTTTCTCTGGTCAGATTATCCCAGCAGGGCTCCAGATCTCACCAGAACCCTTTAGTGGCTCCCTCTGCATTTCCTCTATCCACTGCTCACCAAAATAACCTTTCCTTGCAGAGGAAGGCAATAATAGCGTTTCAAGGATTTCCCATTGCACTAAGGACAAAGGTAAAAATTCTTGCTATAAAACTCTGATGGCTGGCGGGGCATGGTGGCTCACACCTGTAATCCCAGCACTTTGGGAGGCTGAGGTGGGTGGATCACTTGAGGTCAGGAGTTCGAGACCGGCCTGGGCTACATGGAGAAATCCCGCCTCTGCTAAAAATATAAAAATTAGCCGGGCATGGTGGCGGGTGCTTGTAATCCCAGCTACTCGGGAGGCTGAGGCGGGAGAATTGCTTGAAACCAGGAGGTGGAAGTTGCAGTGAGCCGAGATCGCGCTGCTGCACTCCAGCCTGAGGGACAGAAAAACAAACAAACAAACAAACAAACACAAGACCCTGATGGTCTGACCTTGGCCATCTTCAATATCAGTTGCTGCTCCTGAGCCCCTCCTGCCAGCTCAGTCCCTGCAGCCACACTGGCCCTCATTGGGTTCCCTGGTGTCCATCCTCCCCACCTCAGGGCCTTTGCAACTCCTGCTCCCTTCGCCCAAAACACTGTCCCCACTCCCACCTTACCTCCAGTTTCCATATGGCTCTTATTCATCCTTCGGGTCTCAGGTTAAATGTTTCTAATGCCTCTGTCTAAATTAGAACTCCCCCCAATCCCATTCTTAAACTATCCTATTATTTTTCTTCCTAGCACTGACCACAATTGTAATCGATTCATGGTGTTTTCTATCTTTCTCCCCTACGAGGCTATAAACTCCGTAGAGGTAGGGCCCTCTCTGAATTCCTAGTATTTTAGTCCAGGGTCTGCGGTTATCAATAGTGCCTAATGCATAATTGCTGATTATCCATGAAGGGTCACCCCACTGAACGCCTACCATGTACCAGAAACTCCTGGGTGCTGGAAGGAGCCAAAGAGGCAAGAAGCCACAGCTCATCAGCCTTGCAGGGCAGATGTGTCAGCAAGGGCCACGTGCTGGAGTGGCGGGGGGGGTGCCAGGGCAGTCAGGTGATCAGACTCTGCTTTTTAAGAGTGGATGGACCCCCAGAGACCACCCAATCTAGTCCATCTAAAAGGGTGTTGGGGCCCCTTTCAGAGCTCTGGGTGGTGGCACTGGAACCAGAAGCCCTCTCTCCTGGTTGTAGCTCATGCCCTTTCCATGAACCCCCTGCCTTGATGATGGCCATGTCTCAGCCACCTCTGTGTCCCCAGCTACACAGTGACTGATGTGAGGGGAGTGAGCAGGGGGCAGCTGAAGCCCTGAGACAGAGAGAGCCCACCAGAGAAGTGTCCAGAAGGCAGCTTGTGCTGGCATGACAGTTGGGTCATGTGCTGGCCTGACTCCGGAGCTGGGGCCAGGTTTTCTCATGATCCCTTCCACGGCAGAGGAGTCAAGAGAAAGATCTGGGCCTGAGTCCTGGCTCTGCCTCTTATTAGCTGTGTGTGTGGCCACTTTGAGCTCCCATTTTCTCACCAGCAAAATGGAAACAATTGGGCACACCTCATAGGTTTGTTTTGAAGACTCAACACGATGATGTATGAGGAGTCTACAGTTCTGCAGCTGGCCCCCGGCGCTCTGTAATGAATGGTGGCTGCAGGCGCAAGTTTTCATCATCCCAGCCCCCTCGCCCTTCCATCTTCTCACTCCTGTTCTATGGGCTCAACCGTCTGGAATCAGGAAAGCAATCTGATTAGTCAGATTTCGCACTGATTCCAGCCCAAGCCTACCCAAAGAGATTCTGATTGATTCCGTCTAGGATGAGTTCTAAAACTCTTTATTTTTATTAATCTTTTTTTTTTTTTTTTTGAGACAAGAGTCTCGCACTGTCACCCAGGCTGGAGTGCAGTGCAGTGGCGCTATCTCGACTCACTGCCACCTTTGCCTCCCAAGTTCAAGCAATTCTCCTGCCTCTGCCTCCGAGTAGCTGGGGTTACAGGTATGCACCACCACACCCAGCTAATTTTTGTATTTTTAGTAGAGACAGCATTTCCCCATGTTGGCCAGGCTGGTCTCGAATTCTTGACCTCAAGTGATCTGCCCGCCTGGGCCTCCCAAAGTGCTAGGATTACAGGCGTGAGCCACTGCACCCGGCCATAATCTTTATTTTTTAACAAACATCCTGGGTGATCCTGATGTTTAGCCAAGTTTGGGAGCCACTGGAATAAGTGATGATGAAATTTTATTTTAATAAAAGCCAACTTGTGCCCTTGAAAATAGGGGTTTGCCTCTTCCCATGGTCCCTGGAACCAACCACAGCAAGTAGGGCCCCCTCACTCCCCATGGGGAGGGTGGCATTCCTTCACAGCAGCTCTAATGGACGGAGTAGGGGTGGCACCAGCTGTGTCCCCTCCTGCAGCTGTTTCAATGCCATGGCCCAGTGGAAATCACTGCGAAAGTCATTCTCCACATCTCCCAAAGCTGGACCAGGTGGCAACTGGCTGGAGGAGCTGATCCCACCAGACAAGAGGCCTCTGTGAGCCAAGGAAATACACCCACCCACCTCCACTCAGCACAGGGCTCCCCCAGATCCTGCCTTCCTCAGCCAACAACTGCCTTTTGTCCCAAATCAGTTCATCCCCCTTGACTGGGAGATGTCTTTGCTCTGCATCAGGAACAGCTCTTGCTTCTCTGCACGCTCACTCAGGGCTGTTGGCTTTGGGAGGTGGTCAGGGCTGGATTCCATCTCGGCCCAGGGACACCCCCGGGCCTGGAACAGAGCTGCTCTGGGAAAACACGGGTGGAGGGGGATAGGGAAGCTGTGCATTGCGGCCTCTGCAGACTCCACTCCTCCCTGAGAATGACAGTGGGTGGGGCTTTCCCTGCCTCAGGTAATTCAGCTTTTTATGAGCTGCAGGGAGACGCAAAGCAGGGATTTGGCCCAGGAAGAGAGGAAAGGCACTGAATGAGAGAACAGTCCTTCGCCAAGGACACAGGACTGTTGACGTGGGAGAGATGGGCGCAGCCTCTGGACCTGCGCCACGACGAGGAGGAAATGGTTTTCACTGAAAAACAAAGTTGAAAAACAGTTTACTGAAGGGAAGAGAAAGAGGAAAGGAAAAAAAAAAAAACCACCTCAAACTGTCTGATCATCAAAATCACCTGGGCAGCTTGTTAAAAATACAGATTCCAAAACTCATTCCAAGTCAATAAAATATTATTCTTGGTAGCTCTGGGCTTCTTTTCCTTGTGGTTAAAAAATGCAGGTTCCAACTCAGCCAGCTGGAAGACCCTTGGGCGAGTCGGTGTCTGGGTTGAGGGGAAGCAAGACCTATGGAGTCAACACAACAGATTATGTTTCTAGTTTTCTAGTTGGATTTGGGGGAGAAAGGAGGGAAGGAGACACAACAGGCTCAGGAAAAAACTCCTAAAAGCCACTTCCCTCCAGGCAGGACGGTCTTCCACTGGCTGAGCCTGTCCAATCCGTGTCTCCTTTCTCGGGCCAGTCTCCTGGTGAATCCTCACTCTCCCGTTTCCTCCTCTTCTCCCCTCCCACCATGGGGCCCTTGTCACCCGTGGAAGTCTGAGTGATGCCCCCACAGATGTTCATGTCTTTAGGCCCAGAATCTGTCCATGACACCTCGTATAGGGCTTTCACCTGTGATTAGATTAAGCCTCTTGAGACGGGGACATTATCCTGCGTGATCTGGGTGGACCTCATGGAATCACAAGGGTCCTTCTGAAAGGGATGTAGGAGTCAGGCAGAAGGTGACCTGATGGAGGAGCAGATTGGAGTGGTGCTCTTTGAAGATGGAGGAAGGAGCCACAAGCCGAGAAACTGAGCCAGAAAAGGCAAGAAAACAGATTCTTTTCTGGAGCCTCCAGAAGGAACCAGCCCGACTGACACCTTCACGTTAGCCCAGCGAGACTGATTTTGGGCTTCTGGCCTCCAGAACTGTAAGAGAATAATGTGTGTTGTTTAAGCCCCTCAGTTTGAAGTGGTTTGTTACCATGACAGCCGCAGGAATCAAATGCCCCCGACCTCTATCCTGTCCACTTTACCAGCCCGGCCCCTGCCAGGGTCTCCCGGGACCAAATGCTTGCCGGCCCTGGGCCCTCCTTAGAGCCTGTCTCTCTTGGCCTCCCATCAATATGTGATATTTTCTCCGTTGGTCGTTCTTAAATCTTGTGACAGCCCACTCCACTGGTGTTCCTCATGCCTTGATGCTCCTCCTTAGCCCCCTTCCAGCACTTTCCAGCCCCACCTCTTACCCCACCTTCAACATGGCCATGTGGCCCAGGGTCCTCTTCTGAACCCTCTTCTCACTCTCTGCTTTCTCTACTTCCCAGTGATAATCCCAGATCAAGGCCATGGGTCCACACCCTAATAACGATGGGTCCCTTATGCTCTTCTCAGCAAACAGGTATTAATATATTCCCTGCCTGTTGAAATCCAATTCACCTGTTCATCCCTCAATGCCCCACTCAAATGTCACCTCCTCCAGGAAGCCTCCCCTATCTGTCATGCCATATGCTTGTTAACAGTGTCCATCCGTCGACCCCATGGGATTGTGTGCCTAATTTATAAATTGAACTTAGAAGCTAGGATCTACAATATTTTGAGACATAGAGAGAAAAACTATGCTCACATAACTTTCATTGCAGCATATTGTTATAATTGATCTATTTTATTATTGTTGTTGTTCATCTCTTACTGTGCCGAATTTATAAAATCAACTTAGAAGCAGAGTCATGACCTAGTCAGCCCTGGACTCTCAGCACCCGGCACAGTGGAACCCAGCTCTGGGACATGCTCTCCCTCCTCACTGCCATAAACACCTGAGCAGGTGTTGGAGCTGTGGAAGCTGCCCTCTGCCATTCTGCTGCCTTCTGGCCTAGGCCAGGCTGTCACAGTGGGGTTCACTTCCCTTAAAGAATCATAAGAATAGATGTCAAGTTTCCATTCTGGCCACACTGGCCTCCTGACTCCTACTCCAACAGGCCATCCCCTGATGTCCCACCTGGGACATGAATCATTCCTCTCTCCAGCGTATCCATGCTGTGGCTGCCACCCACCTGCGTGTCCCTTAGGGGCCATCTGTCAAGGTATCATGGTGCTTGTGTTCAAGTAACCCTTGTTTTACCTTGTAATGGCCCCAAAGCACAAGAGTAGCAATGCTGGAAATTTGGATGTGCCAAAGAGAAGCCGTGAAGTGCTTCCTTTAAATTAAAAGGTGGAAGTTCTTGACTTAATAAGGAAAGAAAAAAAGTGTATATTGTGCCAAACAATGAGATACTATGCAGCCATTAAAAATTGTATTTTCAGGCTGGGCATTGTGGCTCACACCTGCAATCCCAGCAATTTGGGAGGTCAAGGTGGGCAGATCGCTGGAACTCAGGAGTTCAAGACCAGCATGGGCTACAGGGAGAAACCCCCGTCTCTACAGAAAACACAAAAATTAGCCATGCACGGTGGTGCACACCTGTGGTCCCAGCTACTTGTGGGGCTGAGGCTGGAGGATCACTTGACCCTGGGAGGTCGAGGTTGCAGTGAACCACGATTGCCCTGCTGCACGCCGGCCTGGGTGACAAAGTGAGAGACCCTGTCTCAAAAAATATACATAAATAAATCAAATAAAATTGTATTTTCAAAGACTATTTTAATGACCCAGGAAAATTCTTATGATATAATTTATATGGAAAAAAAAATCAAGATTTTAGATCTCAGATCTTAGCTCAGGTAGCTAGGATCTACAATATAACATTTTGAGACACATGGAGAAAGACCATACTCACATTACTTTTCTTGCAGCATATTGTTATAATTGATCTATTTTATTATTGTTGTTAATCTTTTACTGTGCCTAATTTATAAATTAAACTTTATCATAGGTATGTATGTATAGGAAAAAACATAGTGTATACAGGGTTCAATACTAACTACAATTTCAGACACCCACTGCGGGGCTTGGGCCATGTCCCCTGAAGATAAGAGGGGACTACGGTAACACAATTTATCAAAAACACATTGCTCCCAGACACCAAGAACTTTGCAGGGATTCACATCCTTTTACTTCATAATCCCACTTCTAGGACTTTATCCTAAAGAAATAATCAGAGGCTGGGCACGGTGGCTCACGCCTGTAATCCCAGCACTTTGGGAGGCTGAGGCGGGCAGATCACCTGAGGTCGGGAGTTCAAGACCACCCTGACCAACATGGAGAAACCCCGTCTCTACCAAAAATACAAAATTAGCTGGGTGTGGTGGCACATGCCTGTAATCCCAGCTACTCGAGAGGCTGAGGCAGGAGAATCACTTGAACCCAGGAGGCAGAGGTTGTGGTGAGCCGAGATCATGCCATTGCACTCCAGCCTGGGCAACAAGAGCGAAACTCCATCCCCCCCGCCCAAAAAAAAAGAGAGAAAGAAATAATCAGAGATGTATGCAAAGATGTATGTGTAAGAATGTTTATTAAATTATTATTTAAAATAATGAACAATTTTGAAACAGTTCACATGCCTAACACTAGGAAATTGGCTTAGTAACCACTGTACCGTACAATAGGATACTATGCAGCCATTTTACATCGTATTTTCAAAGAATATTTTAATGACCCAAGAAAATTCTTATGATGTAATTGATATGGAAAAAGATCAGGATTTTATATATACTATGTGTGTATGCACATGGTATTACCTCAGTTTCATTTAAATGTGTATGTGTATAGCAATAATGGTTATCTCCATTTAGTGTGATTATTATGGAGTATTTTCATTTTATTTCTTATACTTTTTCAGATTTTCCATATTTTTTACAATTAGCCTATATTTAGATTACAGTTTTTAATGCTATTAGTTTATTTTAATGGGGAAATAATTCATTGATTACTTGTCTGTTTTTCACTGAGGCAGGTGGAGTGGTGTGAAGGAAAGCTTGGGGCTGCCAAGCCAATGTATCTGCTCTTGGAGCCTGGGAGCTTCTTGGGTCCTGAGAGGCCTTTTATGTGTGTGAGGTGCCAGTTCTCTGAAATGAGTGCTGTGGCTTGGGGGTGCGCTGGAATATTTTTTATCAGGAGCCTGGACCAAGGGCTAGATCACTCTCCATATGTCATGGTGGGTCCTACCTGAAAGGGGAGGTCGTTTTCAAGATCAGGTACCTGAGGAAGAAGCGGGTCTTCAAAATAGAAGGTGAACCTGAAAAGAAGGTGATAAAAATTATGATGGGACAAAGGACTTGGTGGGGTCTCTGTCCCCTCATAAACCTCCACATAGGATGGACAGGAGTTGGGAGCCTCCAGAGGGTAACTGGTTAAGGTAGGACTAGGACACCCCTGCCTTGGGAAGCTGGATTGGGTTTACAGTTCTTCTGGGCACCATGTTTACGTCCTGTTGCCTTCCCTTCAGTGCCCTTATTAGTGCCATCTGGTCTGATCTTCCCAGGTTTCTTAGCTGTGCTTGTTAAAAGAAGCGAAAGACTGGGTTTCGGCCAGGTGTGGTGGCTCGCGCCTGTAATCCCAGCACTTTGGGAAGCCAAGATGGGCAGGTCACTTGAAGCCAGGAGTTCAAGACCAGCCTGGCCAACCCAGTAAAAATACAAAAAATTAGCCTGGTGTCGTGGCACATACCTGTAATCCCAGCTACTCAGGAGGCTGAAGCATAAGAATTGTTTGAACCTGGGAGGTGGAGATTGCAGTGAGCCGAGATCACGCCACTGTACTCCAGCCTGGGTGACAGAGTGAGACTCGGTCTCAAACAACCACCAAGGCTGGGTTTCTAGCTATGTTTGGCCCACAGAATTAAAAAAGTGGTGGCATCCCTGGGGCCCAGCCAGAAAGAAGCCGTGGGAATGAAGAAAAGTGACCCAAAGAGGAGAGTGCACAGAGGGAGGTGGAGTGAGGGCTGACTGAGCCAGCTGTCTCTCCTACCCAGGAATTCTTCCTGAGCTAAATCTCGGAGATTCTGGTTTGTAAAGTAATAGCTCTCCTTATATTTGTCTATTGTGTAAGTGCATGATTATGCTAAAAAAATTAAAAATTCAAATAAGGAAAACCAAAATAAAAACAAAGAAAAAGAAGCAATCTAAAATTACCCCTTAGCTCACCACTCGTCAATGTTTTATTGTATATCCTTCCAACGTTTTTCATAAATCAATGCTTTATTATTTATTTATTTATTTTTTTGAGACGGAGTTTCACTATTGCCCAGGCTGGAGTGCAATGGTGCAATCTCGGCTCACTGCAACCTCCGCCTCCCGGGTTCAAGCAACTATCCTGCCTTAGCCTCCTGAGTAGCTGGGATTACAGGCATGTGCCACCACGCCTGGCTAATTTTGTATTTTTCAGTAGAGATGAGGTTTCTCCATATTGGTCAGGCTGGTCTCGAATTCCCTACCTCAGGTGATCTGCCTGCCTCGGCCTCCGAAAGTACTGGGATTACAGGCATGAGCCACTGCGCCCAGCCCAATCAATGATTTAAAAATCAGATTATTTTATATACATCTCAGCTTTGTATTATTCTGTTCGTTATGCTATCTGCTTATTTCTATGTCATTAGATGCTCTTCTACATCATTTTTAAAGGCTCAATTGTGTTTTGTTTTCTGGATGTTTCACAATGTATTTAACCCATGCCCCATTTTTGGACATTTAGGTTGCTTCCGGTTTTTCAGGCTTAGAAGTCACAGTGAAGGACAACTTTGTGGCTAAATCTTTGAATGACCACCTATGTATATTCCCTGGAATAAGTCCCAGAAATAGACTCCCTGAAAGAAAGGACACTAGGGTTCGTTTCCATCCCTGGGCAGATCCCGAGGAAGGCTGGGTTGTTCTGGAGGTCTTGGCGCTGGGCCCTGCACTCCAAGCTTCAGGGCCTCCCAGACCCTTAGTGCACGTTCCACTACACTAAATCACCCCGCCCCTCCTCTCCCCACTCTGCCCCAGGCTTTGGACTCACCCAGGAGAATGAATTACACCTCCCAGCCGGACGTGAGGCCATTTGTCTTGTGCTCTGGAATCCTGATTAGATAAAATCTGAACAGAGCACATTTACTTATTTAGTGTATTTCTGGGTGGGTGGGTCCTAGCCCTTGGGGATCACCTTCTCCAGATCAGGGTGAAGAGTTTACAGAAGGGAGGAGCAGGTCACATATCCAGAGCAACCAGCTCAGGCATTCACCCTGCGGGGTCACAGGAACCCCACCGTCCCCAGCTCAGGCCCACTCCACTCCAGCTCCAATCTCCCCAGTCCTGCCTCCCCGCCTCCAGCTCAGGAAGCTTTAGGCGTTGGTTGCTCATCATATGGCTGAGGCTGGCAGAAAGAAGGACTAGGTGCCCAGTGATGTGGCCACATCGCACCTCTGGCGGGAAGTGGACTCTCTCCGACCCCCCTTGGGGGCTCTGGTGGCCTCTGCGGGACCTCGGGTTGTCTGAGCACACGCACCCTCGCCCTCTCTGGGACCTGATGCCTCGATTTAGGCTCAGACCCTGTAAATGCCCCTTGAGAGCCCTCAAGGATCCAGGGTTCTCTTGTCCTCAAAGAAGCAGAACATACCTGCTCACCAGCCTGCAGCTTGTCCTGTGTGTCCCGTCTCCTCAAGTACGGAGAGGCCAGGGCTTCCTGAATCTCATCAGATCCGAATCTCCCCAGATCTCATCAGGGCCTCTTCCCAGGAGACACCAACTCTCAAGGTCTGGAGACACACCTGGAACCTGTATTTTCCCAAATGGTCCTCCTGGCTCTTCCCACAGAACTGTCTTCTTGTCCCTGGTCTCCACTGATGGGGAACAAGGCATGTGACCCCCTGGGTCGGGCAGGCCCAAGGCAGGCGAGGCAGTGAGAAGCAGGCGAGGGGATAGGGCTGCTTGCTCAGGTAACTTGGGTTCAGGAGGTTTGGCAGCCGAGCTGCCTCTCCTGGCAGCGGGGCTTGGCCAAGGGCAATGTGCAGCCACACAAAGCCATCCTCACAAAGCCACCCTCACAGCCTCTCTGGCCGAGAGTCCCTGGGCGCTCACTTGCCGGGATGCACAGGCACGCCTCTGGCCAGGCCGGGCTGCGGGGGTTTGTGGCCTGGAGAATCAAAGAGCCGCCCTCAGCTCGGAGAACACTTCCTCTAGAAGGCTCTGGTAACAGCACACCGGGTCTGAGGAGAAAGAGCCTCTGTGGGCCACGGTGGGTCTTTGCCCACAGAGGCTCACACACCACCCCTCCTGTTCCAACACCACCCCCTGCCCGGCCCCAGTTCTCCTACCAGCCCAGGGGACTCAGGTGGGCCAGACCTTTTCACACTGCCCCTCCCACACACACCACAGCAAGAGGGTGAGCCTCCCTCTTTCTCTGCCGGGGTCTCTGGGGCCTCCCACGACGGGGGTGGGTGGTGCCATAAGCCCTGGGTGCCTGTGGGCGGTGGTCCCACGGATGCCCTGCTCAGTTCCAGACATAGTTGTTATTTGGACTTTTCACATCAAAGTAATTAATTAAATATGCAATAGAATACATTCTCTTCCTCAGTCAGTGGCAACCCCATCCCTTCATTCACTGAGGCCGAAACCTTGGATAGCCGTCCTGGAGTTTTTCAGACCCATGTCCAAACCACTGGAGCATCTTGTCAGCAGGATTCCAACTTCTTCCAGAGCCCACCCGCCTCTCACCACCTCTCTGTCATTTCCCACCTGGATGATTACAACAGTCCCTGTCGAGGCCCTGGCCCCACCACGCCACCAGTGGGGAGAATGCTTCCTCTAGAAGGCTCTGGTGGATTTGGGTGATGAGGGGGAGAGGGGTAGTCCCGGGCCAAGCCACACCAGTGACCCCACGTGTGTTCAGAACCCTCCTGTCTACATTTGATTTCATCTTGGCTACTCTTGTCAAGACATGCAGTTTGTTAGTCTTGAGCAAGTAAGAGTCCTTATTTGTATGCCCTCACATGTTATCACAAATCCCCCAGATTCTTTTTCAGATCTCATGCCCTAATTTGGGGTTTATGAAATCTACCATGCTGATAGGGATTCCTGTCTGTCATGGGGACTTTGAGCCATGACTCAGAACAAGACACTTATCAATCTGGGGCCTCTCCGAAGATGCTGAGACCAGGGCCAGTCTCAGCTGCAACGCCCTGCTTGGAAGCCACTATGGGATGATTCTGCAACAGATATCATGATGCAACAGATGCCCATGAATGACATGGGAAAGCTGGGCCCCATCGCCCAGGGGGACACTCCTGCTGTGCTCTGTCAGCAGGAGGGAGCCTCCTAGGAACTTCATCAGGACCCATTCTTTCTCTTTTTCTTTTCTTTTTTTTTTTTTTTTTTTGTGAGACGGAGTCTCACTCTGTCACCCAGGCTGGAGTGCAGTGGCTCAATCTTGGCTTACTGCAACGTCCGCCTCCTGGGTTCAAGCGATTCTTTTGACTCAGCCTCCTGAGTAGCTGGGATTACAGGCATGCACTGCCATGCCTGGCTAATTTTTGTATTTTTAGTAGAGACAAGGTTTCACCATGTCGGCCAGGCTGGTCTCAAACTCCTGACTTCAAGTTGTCCTCCCACCTTGGCCTCCCAAAGTGCTGGGATTACAGGCGTGAACCACTGCGCTTGGCCAGGACCCATCTTTGTGTGGGATCCCTGGCTCAGTGCTAGGACAGAAACAGGTTTTCCTTGGACTCTGTGGTGTGTGCTTGAGTGTATGTGGGTGAGTGTGTGTGTGATAACGCACCCTGCCCTGCCTTTCCCTCCCCACTCCTCCAACCTGGAGGTGACAGTCACAGGGCCCAGCCCCTCCCTGCCACCTTCCTGCCCCAGCCCCATCTCCATTCAGGGGCAAGTCCTGCTGTGGTGCTTAGAGTGCAGCTCTTTCAGGCTTTCCTTTCGCTTAGCCTTGATTTCCAGGCCACCATGATCAGACTGGGCTCCCAGGCAGCATCGGAGCATCCCCAAATCCAGGGCTGGGAGGAGCCAGGCCATCTTGTCCAAGTAAGGACTTGAAGTTCAGAGAGGAGAAGGCACCAAGCTTGTGTCACCCGCAGGTCCATGCAGAAGGGAGATTAGAACCCAGATCTGCTTTTCAGCCCAGGCCAGGCCTGCTACAAAAGGGCGGGAGGGGGCACCCAGGCTGAGGTGCTGGAATTAGCAGTTCTCTTTACCCTCAAATTAGCCCTGAGGCTGGCCCAAGCCCCTCCCTGCCAGCGTGCCCCTCTGTCTTCAGGAGCCCCCAGTGCCTGCCAGGGGCTTCTCCCCTTTTGCCAGCTTGCATCCATCCCCCACGGTTCCGTCTCTTGGCTGCTGCTTTTACAGGCTCCAAGCAGTGGGGAGGCTGATGGGGAGAGGGGGTCTGTGTTGGACTCAGCCAGACTTACTTCCAGCCAGTCCTCTTGCCCTCCCCTCCACAGACTGCCTAGAGACCAGGGAGCTCTCCCAACCCCACCCCTCGCCCCACTGCCACAGCTCTGACTCAGCCCATAAATTACCTAGGAATGGTCCGCTGACTCAGCCAGGAAGCCCAGAGCCCCCTTCCCCACCCTCAGGCCTCAACCCCACAGCTGGCTTTCATTCCAGAGTACTTGGCCCCCTCCCCTCAGGAAATTCCTGGAAAATATCAGGCTTCTTGGAGGGGAGATCTAACCACAGCCCCGGCAGGGAGCAAAGCCGCTGCAGCCTCATCCATCATTCTGCCCCTGCCCCTCCTCCAGCAGCTTGTGTGTTGCATGGGACTGAGCATGGAAGTGTCAGACCCCATAAAGTGATGGGTGCATGGCTCTGAGGGGAACTCCGGGGAGGGAGGAGAGAGGTGAGGCTGGCATGGGGTAGGGCAGTCAGGGCAGGCTGCTGGGAGGTGGAGGACTTTGTTTTGGGCCAGAAACGATGATAAAAACTGCTAAGTGCAGAAATGGAAAGCGTGCTTCAGGCCCAGGGGATGGCATAAGAAAAGGCTAGAGGTAGAAACCAACCGGTGTGTAGGGGGATGGGGAGGAAATTTGAGAATAAGCAGGGCTAGGCCAGTCGCGGTGGCTCATGCTTGTAATCCCAGCACTTTGGGAGGCCGAGGCAGGTGGATCACCTGAGGTCAGGAGTTCGAGACCAGCCTGGCCTACATGGCAAAACCCTGTCTCTTCTAAAAATACAAAAATTAGCCGGGCGTGGTGGCACACGCTTGTAATCCCAGCTGCTTGGGAGGCTGAGGCAGGAGAATTGCTTGAACCGGGGAAGCGGAGGTTGCAGTGAGCCGAGATTGTGCCACTGCACTCCAGCCTGGGTGACACAGCAAGACTCTGTCTAAAAACAAAACAAAACAAACAAACAAACAAAAAACAAAAACAGAATAAGGTCTAGAGGAGTGGCCGGACCGGAGAACCTGGGCTGATCAGGCCAGAGGGCCGGGGCCGGGGCCAGGCTGTGGAATTTGCAGGAAGTCTCCAAAGCAAAGGCCCAAGAGACTCTGGGAGACCTGGGAGCAAAGGAGAGCGTTTGGGGGCGGGGAGATGAATCTTGGACTAAAAGAACCTTGGCCAAGGAACACTGGTCCCTGCAACATCCTTGGACCACCTTGGGATCCCAGTGCCTGCTTCGACCTGAGGGGTGGGGCGGGGCATCTGATCATCACACTCCAGTCGGGGCAGAGGCAGGGCTCCGACTCTCAAGCAGCTCAGACTGAGGGACATGGCTGTGGCCTCAAAGAGCCCCCATTCTGAGGTGGGAACACAGCCCCTTCCTCAGGGAGCCCCCAGTTAAAGGGAGACACAGAACTCCCAGGCCCTTCCTGCCCCCCAGGCCTTAGTGTCCCCTCAAATCCGTTCCTCAGAAACCCCATTGGCTTTTGAGGGAAAGCCAAGTCCAATTCTCTGATAAAACTTTTCTTTTTTGGCTGCTTCCCCTCAGACAATACAAACTTATAAATGTACAAAAATTCCTGGCCAACCTCCCCCAGGAAGGATGGCTGGGTGATGGGCTGTGGCCTCAGTAATGGAGTCACCGAGAAGGGAAGCTGGCTGAGCAAAGGTACGGCCAGGGTAGGGGGGCTGTCCCTCCTGCCATCCATGGCAGAGGGGTGGACACCAAGCCAGGGTACTGTGGGGAAAGGTCTGCTGCGTCTCCAGCGTTTACCTACCCTTCCTGGGAACAGCAATTCTGCCATGGCCTGGCAGGAGTCAGGGAGGGGTGTGATGGATTCAGAGAGAAAGGTAGGGGCGCAGCCAGTCCGACGAAATGAAAGCAGAGAAAGAGGTGGAGAGGAGGAGGACACGGAGCAGAAACTCCTTGAAAGCAAGGTTTCCTCGTGGATTCTAGGCCCAGAAGCCAGGGAAGCTTCTTCATAAATGGGCGTCCCCAGGAAGGCCTCCTCATTCCCAGACTGGAGCTTTTGAGGCTCTAGTGTCTGTCAAAGCCCTCAAAACATTATATCGACATTCCCAGGTTACATGTGGGACCCCCCCTGACCTCATCCTGAGCCCCAGAGACAGAGCTGCCTTGGTCACTGGTGCATCCCAGCACCTGGTGTGTGTTGGGGGGTGGGGGGTCCTTCCCCCCCGCTGTCTGTCCCAGTGCAAAAAAGAAAGAGGGAAAGACTGGGCCACCGGAGGCCAGACAGGCCCAGCACGGATGTGGCCTCTGGGAAATGGCCCAGGGGCTTGCCCTCCTTCCCAGCTGGCTCTGGGAGCCTGAGCAGGGGCTGGCCCGCCCTCCCCTTTGTGACAGGGCAGGAGGGGGTTAGCCAGGTTACCTCTGTGGGCCCCAGCCCCTGAGGGGTGGTGGGTCTCTCAGCCAGGCTGGTCTGGGGAGCGGGGAGGGCATCCTGCCTCATTGTCACTGGCCCAGCGCATTTCCAGAAATTCTTCCCATCGGTAAGAAGAGGAAAGAGAGGCCAGGGCAGCCTCACAGGCCAAGTGGGAACCAGGTTTCCCGGAGCTCTCACGGCCCAGCCCGAGCTTGGGGCCTCCTGTCTGGGCCAAAGGGTCAGCTCAGCCCTGGGACGGGGATATGTCAGGAATAACTGGCCGGTGGACCCAGGACTCACCTTATCCATGCTGGGCCAGGCCGTGTTTGTGTTTGCAGGACAGAGACAGGAGGAAAGAGGCCTGGAAATGCCTGGGCTTCCCACAGGACTTATTTAACTCTAGCGTCAGGGAAGACTAAAGCTTATATTCATTCCACAGTATATACTGCCTCCCCTCTACCCTCATTTTAGTAGGTAGGTATAGTGTGAATGTGTGCAGGACATGTGTGCATCGTGTGTGTGCACGTAACCCGTGACATGTGTATTTTGGGCTAGTATAGATAGGTCTTGAGGGAAAGACAGAGGGCAATGTTTTTTCTTTCTCTTTTTTTTTGAGACAGGGTTTTGTTCTGTCACCCAGGCTGGAATGCAGTGGTAGGATCATGGCTCACTGTAGCCTCCAACTCTTGGGCTCAGGTGATCCTCTTGCCTCAGCCTCCTTGAGTAGCTGGAACTAGAGGCACACACCACCACATCTGGCTAATTAAAAAAAAAAAAAATTTGTAGAGGCAAAATATTGCTTTGTTGCCCAGGCTGGTCTGGAACTCCTGGCTTCAAGCAATCCTCCTGCCTTGGCCTCCCGAAAATTATTATTACTATTCTCCAGTAAAAAACATTTCCCTAGTGTGTTCTGCCTAGCACCATCCTACAGGGATGGCCCTCAATAAAACAGGTAGGTTCACAGGACCCTACACACCAACCACCCTAAGACTCCCAGTACACAATGTAAATATTCAAGTCTCTAAGAAATCCTGAAGAGACCCAACTCACTTTGGTTAATCCAGTGTTTCTCAAACTAATTTGACCACAGAACCCACCCCCGCCCCCAACTTTCTTTTTCCTTTGAGACAGGGTCTCGCTCTGTTGCCCAGGCTGGAGTGCAGTGGCAAAATCTCAGCTCATTGCAAACTTTGCTTCCCAGGCTCCAGTGATTCTCCAAACTCAGCCTCCTGAGTAGCTGGGATTACAAGCATGTGCCATCACACTTGGCTAATTTATATATATATATATATATATATATATATATATATATATTTTTTTTTTTTTTTTTTTTTTTTTTTTTTTTTTGGAGAGATGGGGTTTCGCCATGTTGGCCAGGCTGGTCTCGAACTCCTGACATTAAGTGATCCACCTGCCTCAGCCTCCCAAAGTGCTGGGATTACAGGTGTGAGCCACCAGACCTAGCCAGAACCCTTTTTTCATGGGACACATAGTCATAAAACAGATTTTCTAGAAATACATTTTGGGGAAAGCTACAATCAAGCTTTTGGGGTGGTTTTCTATCTTTGCTCCAGCCAAGGTGCCTCGAGGGGCATAAAGAAAAACGGGGAAATTAATCAGCTGGGCTCTGTGTCTTCATCCCACCCTCACCCACCCCAACTCAACCAGCAGGGCCTTTATTCTACTTTCAGTTTTCCACAATATATTTTTATTTTATGAAAGGGCTCTGTTGCTAAGTCTGAGAGTTGCTATGGTGTGCATGTTGGTGTCCCTGCCAAAATCATTATGATCATCATTTTTCTGTCACCTTTCAGTGTGACCGTGGGAACATCCCTGTTCCTCTCTAAACCCTGGTTTCCTCACCTGAGGCTGTACCCCTCAGATGCATTTGACATCCGGTTCCTTTCCTCCTCAATCCCTGAAGCTTTCATTCCCCCACAGTCTGCCTTCTCTTTCCCCTTTTCCTGATCCAATGAAGGGTCTGGGCTGGCAGAGACCTGGGCCCAGATAACAGCCAAACAATGGCAGCAGAAGCCTCCGAGCCGGGGTGTGGGAACCACCCAAGGTTATGGGGAGAGGGCCGGAAAGAGGAGGAGGAAACGGGGCAGCTGGACCGGCAGACATGTTGCCCCCAGCCCTGCCCTGGAAGCCCCGCTCCGAGGTTGGTGGAAATCAGCCTGTTTCTCTTGGATGGTCCCTGCTGGGCCACTCATTCATTCAACAGTTATTTACTGGACACCTACTTGGTGCCAGGCCCTGTGCCAGGAACAACCTTGCCCCTGGGGACTGTCCCTTCTACTCTGCAAAAACATTCATGGCTGCTGCCTCTGCACTCGCCCCGCCGTCCTGTGTGGCAGGAAGGGCTGAGGTCACCAGTCCCCCCGGACACATCAGAAGCTGAGGCTCAGCAAGCCGCCATGACTTCTGCAGGGCACATGGAGAGCAGCCTGCACTCCTGCTCTCTCCGCCCCACACCCAGCCTGGGGCCCTCTGCAGGGGAATAAAATCCTCTGGACATCTTGCCTGCAGGCAGTTAAAACAGATTGTTTTGCATCTCTCTCTCTCTCTCTCTCTCTCTCTCTCTCTCTCTCTCTCTCTCTCTCTCTCTCTCTCTCTCTCGCTCTCTCGCTCTCTCTCTCGCTCTCATTTTGTGGTCTTCGATGTACTAATGTGCTGGGCGAAGCAACCTTTACTGAGAACAGTTGTTATGGAAGCTCCAGTTGTCTGTCAGTTAATTATTACTTTTCTTAAGCCTTTGCTATCACCAGTGAAGCGCTCCAAATCTATCATGGAAATTGCTCTACTTCCCAGTGAAAACCCATTGGGAACTTTTCCCATCTTTGCTGAAGGGGTGAAAAGGTCTGGAAAGGTTGATGAGCAATTTTTCTTGGAAACTGGAAACCGCAAGCTTTTTTTTTAAAGAATTTTTTTTATTACAATAGCTTTTGAGGTACAAGTGGTTTTTGGTTACATGGATGAGTTGTACGGTGGTGAAGTCTGAGATTTTAGTGCACCCGTCACCCGAGTAGTGTACGTTGTACCCAAAATGTAGTTTTTCACCCCTCACCTTCCGCCCCTCCCACTTTCCGGGTCTCCAGGGTCCGTCCTACCACTCTGTATGCCTTAAGCTGCAAGATTTTTCATCAGGCACCATGAGCTGGCAGCAAGGTTTCCACAGGACCCCAGTCGCTTTCTGCATGTCTGGATTTCGCAGGGTGTGGGAAGCAGACCCCTACAATTCCTCACTTCCTCCTGGAGGGGCAAGCCCCGGGAAAGTCACAGGCCTCTTCTCTTTCATTTCTCCATGCAGCTCCACCGGGAGCTGTTTCAGACTGATGTTACTTCACGTCATTGCTGGGCCCTGCTCAAGGCCAGTGCGTCACAGAGCAAGGACACCTTATACTAGCCCGAAATACACATGTCACGGGTTACGTGCACACACACAATGCACACATATCCTGCACACATTCACACTATACCTACCTTTTCTATGTTCGTTGCATACAATAGGCATACTGCATGTACCCACACCAAACACATGTAAACATACCTACTGCATACCACCCACACACTAAATACACATTCACATCACATTTATACATGAACCTATGCCTTGTGTATCAACAGTCTACACACATATGCTACATTTACAAACACACATCGACAGACACACAAAATACACGCATTTCACAAAACTGTTCTTATTTTCTGATTAAAGTTCTTCTCAAGATTTTAGGCTCTATTTAAACCCAATTATATAACTCATCAATTTCTCTTAATCTGTTCTTTTGTTTGTTGACAATTTTTTTCTGTTTCAGCAAAACACAACAACCAAATTTTCCTTTTTTTTTTTTTTTTTTGAGACGGAGTCTCGCTCTTTCGCCCAGGCTGGAGTGCAGTGGCGTGATCTTGGCTAACTGCAACCTCCACCTCCCAGGTTCAAGCAATTCTCCTGCCTCAGCCTCCTGAGTAGCTGGAATTACAGTCACGCACCACCACACCTGGCTAATTTTTGTATTTTTAGTAGAGACGGGGTTTCACCATGTTGGCCAGGCTGGTCTCAAACTCCTGACCTCAGGTTATCCTCCCGCCTCGGCCTCCCAAAGTGTTGGGATTACAGGCGTGAGCCACCACACCCAGCCCAAATTTTCCTTCTTATTAGCTATAAATAAATGCAGCTGGGTACCAATTTCTCCACATGCCAGAAACGTAAATGGACCAAGAACTCTGATTTGTGGGTATTTACCCTTCCTCTAATTTTTTTGTTTGCTTGTTTGTTTTGCTCTTGTCACCCAGGCTGGAGTGCAATGGCCCAATCTCGGCTCACTGCAACCTCCGCCTCCTGGGTTCAATCGATTGTCCTGTTTCAGCCTCCCGAGTAGCTGAGATTACAGGCGCCCACCACCATGCCCGGCTAATTTTTGTATTTTTGGTAGAGATGGGGTTCCGCCATGTTGGCCAGACTGGTCTTGAACTCCTGACCTCAGGTGATCCGCCCGCCTCAGCCTCCTAAAGTGCTGGAATTACAGGCATGAGCCACTGCGCCCGTCCACCCTTCCTCTACTTCCTTATGAAACTGCAGCTATGCCTCTGTCTACATGAGACCAAGTGTCAGCTGCTTGGAGACACATGCCTTCTATCCAGATGTTTGGCCCTGGGGGAACACACAGATTTGTCACAAGTAGTGGAATAACCACTTCTCATGGGGGGTTGGTCCTCTGCCTACTGTTAGAGCACAGGATGTCACAAAGGGTGTGATGAAGATGGGAGAGGTGAAGCACATGTGCCACCCAACCACCTTGGGAGGCTACAGCAGACATCACTAATCCATCACAGCATCCATCCCTCTGATCCTGGACTTGGCTTCACAATCCTCCACACAGACTTACCAGTTAATCAGGACTGGCAAGTGAGGTAGGTAGGAATTATTTGGGATCCCATGGAGCCCAACTCCCTTGTACTAGGGGCAAGAAAACTGAGTCTCAGAGACGGTGAGTGATTTGTTTGAGATCACACAGCACAACTCAAGCTGCTTAGCCACAATGAGACAACCCTCACAGAGCCCCCTGCTCAACTCTGTGCTCCACAGATGTAGCCTGTGTGAGGGCAAGGGCCTCCTGGGAGCTGAAGAGGGGCCAGAGGGAGGCTCCCCAGACTTGAGTCTCCCAAGACACACTGAATCCCTATTGCCCTGGTCTAAGCCTTAGCTATCCTTGCTGGGACAAGCTGAGGGTCCCTGCTGTCCCAGATATCGCAGCCGTGGGCCCCAGTCCCTGGGCGTCTGGCCTTCAGGATCAAGGCCGGGAGTGAGGGGCCCTTCTGGGTTCATAAATGGTATCTTCCTTCCGTGTTCCTTTCTCTCCCCTGTCTCAGACCTCCCCTTTTCTCCAAAGCCTTCCCAACCCCCCAGGTCTCACCAGGTGCCTCTCCTCATAATTACGACACTTCAAACACAGATATTTGTCCCTATGCTGGCTTTTACTGGCCTCTTGGCTGGGCACGAGCCTCGGTCCCACAATGGAACCAGATGCGCTTTAGGGGCACACACCTTGGCTCATGTTGTGCCTCTGCCAGGATCACGCTTCTCCGCGCTCTCCTCTGCTTCCCACCCATCCTTTAATGCTCATCACAGGTGTCACCCTACCTCCCCACTCTTACTCCCAAAGGACAAATGTGCCTCGCTCTAAACCACTAAAACCATTTATGGGCTTTTCTCACAACCCTGGGCAAGTCCTACCTGCTGCTGTCATGTGAGTTTGTAGTGTCTGGTTTTTACCCCTAGTGCAGTGGGTCTTGCACTTCTCAGAACCACAGGACCGTTTTCCCAGAGGGGGCCCTGCCACCGCCCACCTGGCATCGCCCAGACAACTTGCGTTTTGTGTGGGAACTTCTGCCTGCCTGCACTGAAAGCTCCTAGGCCAGGCCCCAGCTCCTGCCACGTTGTAGGTGCCGAGGATGAATCTGTTGATGGGGTACCAAGGGATGTACAGGGAATGGAGCCCTGGCCCCCAAGGGTTCCCAGCCAACCCCACTCCCCTGGATTGGACCTGAGGCAGAGCCCAGGATGGGCTTCCACAGACAGGCTGCCTGGCCTCCAGGCACTTCCTCTTGGGGCAATCCTGTCCCTCAAGGCAACAGCTGCTTGCAGGCAGCACTGATGGGGGGCGCTGGGGGAGACTCTTCTGGGCGGCCCTGTCTTGGGGCCAGCTGGACACAGTGTCCCACCTGTGCTGCTTTCAGCCTGGGGTGGGCATTGAGGCTGCCAGGAACATTCCTTCCCTGGGAGGAGAGCGGGGAATACAGCTGCTATGAGAGGGGAGGGGAGGAACGGGAAGGGGTGCGGGGGGCAGGGGTTAAGGAGGAAATGTGAGCCTCAGCATTTGAGTCACATCACACCCAGACCGACAGATGCTTGCTGGCACAGACAGACATGCCATGAGGTGTGTGTCCACACTAATACCGCCACCCAGTTACACATCACACAATGGCACCCCTCACATCCACCTCCACGAGGAGTTTGGGCAAATCCAACACTGGGAGAGGCTGAAATTGTTTCAGACAATAAAGGAAGAAAATGCAGCAATGCAAGGCAGAGCAGGAGACACTGTGCCTTGCTCAGCGGGAGAAGCTGCAGATCCTGCTGTTTCCATCTCAGCTCAACCACAGAGACTTGAAGGATTGTCCTTAACTTCTTTGGACCCCAGGGCCCAAGTCCAGAGCTCAATCCCATCAGCCTCACAAACAGCTCCTTGATGCGCCCACGTGATGAAAAAAAAATGTTGGATCGGGACCTAAGAAGTCTGAGTCCTCCAGGCCCAGGCAGGACCAGCTGGGTGACCTTGGCCAGTCCCTTGACTTCTTTGCTTCCTGGTCTCCGTGCAAAGGGCAGCTCCAAAACCCTTTCAGCCTTGAAGTTGTGTAAAAGGGCAGTGGTGTAGGATGGGAAGAGGAGCCTCTGGAGGATGAGAGCTTAGAAAGGGAGATCCTCAGACTGGGAAGTCTGGAAATCACTGAGCACATCATGAAAGGCCTTTGAAGATTTTCTAGGGAGAGGACAGCTGAGGATGATGGAGGAAAGGAGGCTATGGGGTGGGAGGTAAATCAAGGCCACAACCTCCCACCTGGGGAAGGATGAGCGCGCAGCGTGCCCTGAGAAAACACACCCTCCCTGCAAGGTTGCTCTAAAAGATCACTTCCTGGCCCTACCCCTCACAAGCCCCAGCTGGGTGAGCCACCCATCGGTACTGTCATTGGGCATGTCTGTGTCTTAGAACAGACTCCTAGGCTTGTTACGATGATTCAGTGAAATAATATGTGATAAGGGCTGAGGCGTGCGCCTGGCACAGTAATGTTAGCAATCGTTGTTGTTGTCCTTATACCTATTATTCTATGTCTGTTGTTTGTATTTCCAGGAACTTGTCTGCCCCCATCCAAGGCTGAGAATATCCTGATTTTAAAAATACACATGGCTAGGGACAGTGGCTTGCTTCTGTAATCCCAACACTTTGGAGGGCCAAGGTGGGAAGATCACTTGAGCCAGGAGTTCAAGACTAGCCTGGGCAACATAGGGAGAACCCGTCTCTACAAAAAAATTTAAAAAGTAGCTGGGCATACACTGGTAGTCTCAGCCACTTGGGAGGCTGAAGTGGGAGGGTCACTTGAGCCCAGGAGGTCAAGGCTGCAGTGAACTGTGATTGTGCCACTGCACTCCAACCTGGGTGACAGAGCAAGCTACTGTCTCACAAAAGATAAATAAAAAATAAAAATAAAAATACATCATAACTTAAGCTACTTCTTGCCTCCAGAATCTCTGAAATACAGGATTTTTATGACTTTTTTATTCAAAAAGATGCCTGCCTTTTGTGTAAGTTAGCTTTTCCTGCCTAGCGTCTCACCCCAAAACTTAGTGACTTAAGCACTTAGTAGCTCATGATTCTGAGAGTTGGCAATTGGAGCTGGGCTCAGCAGGCTGATTCTTTGGCTGGCCTCACCTGGGCTTACTTAGGTAGCTACAGTTAGCTTGTGGTTCAGCTGGGGACTGTTTGGTTAGGATGATCTCACTCACGCATCTGGGGTTTGGAACTGCTATTTTTTGGTTATCTGCTGGAGTAATGGGAGTGACTGGGACATGTCTCCAGCAGGCTAGCCTGGGCTTATTCACATGGTGGCAATCATAAGAGCAGGAAAGGAGGGCAAGTCCAGTGTGTAAGCTCTTTTCCAGCCTTTGCTTTCTTCACATTTGTTAATGATCCATTGGCCAAAGCAAGTCACAGGGCCAAACTCAGGTTCAAAGGACAGAAAAATAGACTTCACTTCTTGATGGGAGGTGCTAAAAAGTCACATTGGGAAGAGGAGTTCTTTCAGGGATGGGAGGGAGTATTGCTGCTATTTTTGCTAAGTCTACACGTCCCTTTTTTGTTCCTCTCCACAAACTTGCTTATAGAATTTCACTGCTAGCATATAGGATTAAGATTCTAGTCTTAACTCTTGTCCATGTGACTCTGGATATATCATGTGCCCTTATCACCTGACTTTTTGAATCAGAGTTGGAAGGAATCTTGATGACCACTCATTCAATATCCCATCAACAGAGGTTCTTTCTCTGATGAGATCCATCTTGTTTCCTTTTGCTTCTCTTTCTAATGACGCAGAATAAATTTGAGACCTCATTCATATGGTAAGCCGTCAAATCCCTAAATATACTTGCTTCTAAGTTGTCTCTTTTCCAGGTTAAATATTCCAGATTTCTTTAACTGTTTTCATTTCAATATTCAGAATCCACATAATTAACAGATTTTCCTGCCTTATCACTTACAGTCCTTCAAAATGTGGTGCTGAGAGCTATAATATTTGATTTCCTTATCAATGTGCCAATGGGTTATTTCTTATCTCTATTCAATGGTTCCTATGCACTTGGAATCTTTTGCACATTATTCAGGGTAATTCCTACATTTTGTGTTAGCTTGAAACCCCACATTTTATGTTAGTTTTGGACTTTCACCAAAAAAGAGCTCATGAGGGAAGCCCTAGATGTCCACAGAATTTTGCAAGCTGCTTTTTACATTTACTTTATTTTGAACATAATTCCAGATTAATCAATATAGATCTACATTATTTTCCCTCTTTTAGTATATATTTAAATTTTTTCTATGAAGTATACGTTATATACAATAAAATGCAAAGATAAGTTTGACGAAATTGTACATGTATATACACTTTTAAACCACTACCTAGAACAAAGTTTCAGACATTTCCAACACTCCAGAAATTTCCCTGATCCTAGTCCATACCTCCCCATCCCAGAGCAGGCAACGGTTCTGACCTCTATCACCTTACTTTCGCCTGTTTTGGCAATTCGTATAAATGGAACCATACAGTATGTGCTCTTTTGTGTACACATTTCTGTATAATTGTTTTTTGAGGTTCATCCATGTAGTTGCATGAATCAGTAGTTCGTTCTTTTTAATTGCCATGTAGATTCCCAATTTGTTTATCCATTTTTCTGTTGGCATATATTTAGAAATGCAGATTTAAACCACAACGCAACACTTTTATGCATTCACTAGAAGAGCCAAAGCGATACAGGCTGACAATACCAAGTGTTGACAAAGATGTTAGGACAATTGGAGTTCTCATAAACTGGTGGTGGGAGTCTCATAAACTGTTTTGCAGCATCAACTCAAATGGAACACACATAATCCTTTGAACCCATCTTAGGTATGTACCCAAGTGAAAGGCGTTCATATGCCCACCAAAAGACATGTACCAGAATGTTCATCGCAGCTTTATTGATAATACCATCGCTGTGTAAATGGCTGCCACACGCTCCATTGTGTGAATGTGCAATCTGCCATTGACTGGTATCAGTTGTAAACAAGGCTGGGATAAGTGTCCTTATACTCACGCCTTGTATGAACTTAATATTATTTCCTTAGGATGAATTCCTGGTAGATTGCCGGGTCAGAAGGCATGCACATCTTTAGGGTTTGAGATCCACTTTGCTACGCTGCCCCCAGACTTGCATCAGTTCACCCCTCACCATTCTTGTGTGCCCACGGGCTGGAGGCTTTCACCAAGCCCAAAAGCCACTCATTTAAACATGTCCTGCCTCCTCCCTGGAGTCCAGAGAGCCATGGCTTTCCTGGCAGTGAGCAGAAGGAAAGTGTGCAGTAAACACGCAAGATAGCACAATGGCCACAGCTCTCTGGGCCAGGCTGCTGAGCCAGGGGCCACCACCCTCCTTCCGCCGGCTGAGCCTGAGCTTATCAGAGCAGCTGCTGGGGCCAGGGTGTCGCTGGTGCTGGCGACCCCAGCCTTTGCAGCCTCACCGCCAGCTGAGCACAGGAAGCAGTGGCTGCAGTGCATAAGTGACCAGCTGCACTGGCCCAGGAGTGTCAATGCAAGCCCAGCCAACATGAATGGGAATATGAACGGGTCATTAAAGCATGCAGCACTTCCTCCTCCTCCTTGGCCTCAGCCCTCTCTGCTAGGGCACCTGGCCTCTCCCCTGAGGCTCTTCCAGACTCCCCTTCCCCAAATGCCAAGGGGGTGTCTCAATGTTCAGGCAGGCTGTGGTATGTGCAGGGGTGTGGAAGAAGGAGGTTGGAATGGTCCAAGTGTCAAAGGCGTTCCCCGCTCTTTGAGATGAGGGCACAGTGTACATGACTTGGTGATGTGAAGAAAGCCTCAAGAAGTCCTCTATCCTGAGAGTGTCCCTAATTTCACCAATGATGGTGCCTGAAATGTCCCCATTGTACCCCTGCCTTTGTGTTCAACACTGAGCCACCCACCCATGCACATTCAGGGAAGGGTAGAGTCAGCATGAGGATGGGAAGTTGTAAGACCCCTTTCTCCTGGCAGGAAAAGGGAAAGAAGCTCTGCAGGAAGCTTGCTCCCCAACTTCCCAATCCAGCTGCCCGCCAGATGGGTCGGGTCAGCTGCTCCAGCCATTCTAACGCGGTCAGGCCCTTTCCCCACACCAGGGGAGACCCAGTACTCAGTTTTCCCCCAGTTCCTTCCTGCCAAGGGCCCGGCTTCTGCCAATGCCTCCAGGGCAGACACTGTGCAACTACTCAGGGGCAATGAGCAAGACACAGGCACTGGAATCCAGCAAAGGCACTCAATTTACTGGGTCACCTACGGTTTAGAGACTTAGTGACTATCTGGTCTCGGCGGCCACCCCTGTAAGACAGGACTAATAACATGTGCCTCCCAGGGGCCAGGCTCAGGGTGGGGGCCGGGGGAAGGGTGAGCGAGGCTGGATAGCTGCTCCTCCAGCCTGCCTCCCCTGCACAGATCAATGCCCCTAGCTCAGGCTCCTGAGCTGCCACACTTCCCTCACCCACTCTGAGCTCCTGCAGCCAAGGACAACTCGTGCCTTGATCTGCTTCATCGCCGGATCAGGGTCAGGTGCTCCTGGAGCCACAGGGCCCTAGAGTTCTTATAGGTCGTGCCTGCTGTCCTAGAAGCAGAGCCTGGGAGGGGACCCAGTGAATGTGGTTTATTGGGGAGTGTTCTCAGGAGCAGGGCAGTGAGGGAAGCGGGATGGGGCCAGGGAGAAACCAAGGCAAAGATGTGGCCTCTAGCTTCAGCTGGATCCCAAGGAGCTTGGGAGCACCATGGGATTGGTCCGTCCCACCTGAAGGCAAAGGGGCCAGCTCTGCTACCCTGGGTCAGACATTGGTTTTGGGGAATGGGGATGAAGTTGGGGAATGGGCATCTGGGAGGGGATAATCTCCCAGCTGGTCAGACAGGACAATTCTTCAGAGAAGCAGGCAGCAGTGAGCCTCAGCAGCCAACTCTCCCATAGCAGCTGGGATCTGCATCATGGGCTGGTGAAGGGACCTGGGCAGGCACCCACAGCAGTCACTGATGTACCCCACTCAGAGTTGAGGGGACCCCAGTGGGCCAGCCAGGTGCCAGTCCACACACTCACCTGCAGTCCTGCCTGGGAAGGGCAAGGCCCTGTCTCCAGATGGGCAAATGGGGGCCCTGGGAACTGGGGGGATGCAGGAGCAGCTGAGCCGGGACCAGAGTCCAGGCCGAATGACTTCACATCCAGAGCATGGTCTTCAACCTCCCCTGAAACCTCATGAAGCTGTGGGGAGTGCGTAAGTAAGTGGAGGTTTTTGGGGGAGAAAGTCCAGGAGAGTCAGGGCAAGAACTAAGCAGGGTTTCTAGTCCTCACCTGGTTTTTCCCATGGACAAATCACTGCCCAGGTGGCTGTGACAGGGATTCTGGGCTTGGGAAAGCCCAGAGAACCCCAGACAGGTTCCACACAGCCACCCACTATCCTCCCCTCTTGGGCTTGGTAAGGGGAGAGTGGCTGGCTGGGAGTCTGGGAGGAGAAGGTCCTGTCTCTCCTCATCTTGGAGGTGGGGCTGGGCACATCCAGAGTCACCCACCACAGGAGATTCAAGGGCCGAACCCCACAAGCTGCCAGAACTCCACAAGCTGCCAGGTTTTTCCCATGGATAAATCACTGACCAGGTGGGTGTGAGAGAGATTCTGGGCTCAGGAAATGCCCAGGGAACCCGAGACAGGTTCCACACACCTGGCCACCATTGACACATATGACACTTTTGTGTAAATTAGAAGAAGGCACCCTCACCAGGGAAGACAAACCAACAAAAAAAATTCCCTTTATGCCGGTGAACTTCAGAAAGGGCCCTTTCTTCAGCGTGGGCCTGCCCTGGCCCTCCCCAGCCCCCACACCCTGCCAAGCCTTGGTTCTGCTAGGTCTGTCCCAACTCAGCCAGCCAGCACTGCCCCCCACCCATGCCCTACCCTGCCCTATGGGGACAACCCCACCATCCACCCTGGGCCGCCAGAAACTGAGACCTGTTTCCAGGGTGACAGAGGGAGCAGGAAAAGACTGGGATGTGTGCCTTAAGGCTCTGAAACCCTGAACTAGGGCAGAGATGGGGCAGCATCTCAATGAAGCCGCTGACAGATTCTAGGCCTCACGCCAGCTGCACACCAGACCTGGCAGGGGACCCAGGCTGTGCCAGGCTGACAGGGCTGGTGGAATCAGGGCTGGGGAGCACACGGAGGCCACCCAGCCACCCTGGCCACAGAGGTGCCCCAAAGGCAGCAGAGGCTGAGGGACGTGAGGGTCCTGGGAGACAGAAAGCCCGAGTCCTCACTTAATGCAGGGGCATCCTCTGAGCCCTGCCAGGGGCCAGTGGCAGCTGGAGAGGCATCCAACTCCATCCTGCCCCAAGGGGGCTGGGCATCTCCTTCCCTCCACCCAGCAGCCTGGTTGCTCACCTCAGCACGGCTGTGGGGACGGCCGAAGGCACTAGGGGAGGGGGTCCTCTACCGAGTGCAATCCCGCGGTCCTCGGTCCTGCCTGGCCATCAGTCACCCGGGCAGCGTCAGGCTCCCACTGGATTCCATCAGCCTGCAGTGGGGTCCAGCATCGTTTTTTGTTTTCTTTTTAAGGCTCTAGGAGATTCAACTCTGCAGCCAGACAGGTCAGGAACTACTGAACTGATCAATATTGTCCCTATCGGAATGTGCCTGCTGTCATCACCACAGTGAGTGTCATGGTGTGGATTCTGACTCAGGGCTCTCTCCGCCTCACACTCCCCACACACTCAACATGGCCTGAATACCTCCAGAAATGGGATTCCTGAGACTCCACCGGGGGATCAGGTGGCCAGGTGGTGCTGCGGCAAGCCTGCTTCACATACTTCCTCTCCCAGGTGAACTCCTGCTGCTCTCTCCCTGCAGCCAGCCCCCTCCTGCTTCCTGAGCAACCCCCGCGTGCCCAGATCCTCTCAATCCTCCCTGCTTTCTGTCTCCTGTGAGGGGATGGAGGGAGGGATACGGTTCCAAATTCTATTCCTGCAGGTCAACAGCATCAGCATGGCTTTCCCAGCATGAAGTGGGTCGTTCTTCCAGGCCCACTGGGGGAATTGGAAGCCGCAGGGCAGACTCAGGGAATCACTGGAGATGGTGCAGTGACCTTTAAGTAGCGCTGCGGGACCACCAAGCTCCGGAACTCAGGCTACCCCCATGGACGCCCCCCCAGGTCACTGTTCTCTGCTTCTCAGGCTGGGGCAGTGGCTCCCCATTTCAAAGGTCCCTCTGCCCCAGGGGACTTTCAATCCCTTCCTCAGTGCCCACCCTGGTTTGAAAAGCTCTAATGAGGAGGCCACTGTGTTCACTGCAAAAGAGAACCCCTGGAGCTAGTGAAATCTGAGTCCTGGGCACAGCCTGGATGCAAAGCTTTTCTGAGTTCTCACAACCTGCACGAACACATACGTGGGAAAGTGTCTTAGAGCACGTTCATTTTTCTCTGGCAAAACCTAATTAACACGCAACGCCACCTTCCTCAGGAATCTGCTGCGTGCTATCATTGCAATTCCTAAGAAAGATTTAGTGAAAATTCTCTGGCTTTCCACGGCAGGCCTTGCTCATATTGTGAGTGTGTTTCTTACTCTCTGGACTCATGTCAGCAAGAAAATCAATGTCTTCCCAAGAGATGTGTGGATGATAAGGCTTCTGTTTCCCAGTAAAGTTTATGAACTAAAGCTCCCCCAACACACCCACCAGTGCACCACCCTCTATGGCGGGGGTCCACCTCCGCTTCACCACTCTCTCTTTTTCCCCAACAGCCCAGCCAAAAGGAAGTCAGAATTATAGCAGTGCAGGGAAGGACCAGGGGGCAGAGCCAGAAGTGTCATGGGAGTGAGCAAGACTGGCCTAATGGGCAAAGCCTGACACCAGCAGGAAGAGTGATAGTCCGGGGAGGTAGGCTGGTGGCACCTGGGAAGTCTGGGGCCTCAAATGGCCAGGTAGGGATCATCTCAAATGATGGAGGCCCCAGGGAGTCAGCACCCCAGAACCCAAGAGGGCTGGGGCCTTGGCTTGGCAGAATAATTGTACACATGCCCGGTGCTTTTCTACGTGCTTTATGTTGCTTAGTTCATTTAATCTTCCCAACAATTCTGTACTACTTTCACCCCCATTTTACAGACACGGTAACTGAGGCACAGAGAGACTACGTTGCTTCCTTAGAGTCATACAATTGATATGTGAGAGTCAGGATTTGAGCCCAGGTAGTGTGGCTCGGTGCCCACCCACTAAACCACCACACCACAACCCACATCACAACTCAAGCACACGGCGGAGAGGAGGAAGAGGAGGAGGTGGAGCAATAGTAACAGTCCTGGACCCAGTTAGCAGATGTTCAGGTTACTATGGCTTTGTAACTCCAAAACTTAATGGCCTAAAATATCATCAATGACTAATTTCGCTCCTGAATCTACAGTTTGGGCAGGGCATGGTGGGAAGGTTCGTTTCTTCTCTGCAAGGTGGTAGCTAGGGCAGCTCATCTGCGGACTTGAGGGCCCACTTGTAAGATGATTCAGGCAGTCAGCGAGAACTGGCTGCTGGCTGGGAGCTCAGCCAGGGCTGAGAGCTGGGGCCTCCGTTCCTCTCCACATGGGCCTCTCCACAGGCTGCTCACCCTCCCTCTCAGTACCGTGGCTGGATTCCAAGAGTGAAAACCCCAAGAGACAGGAAGTAGAAGATGACAGTTTCTGAAAGCCTAGGCCCAGAGCTGGCAGCAGCATCACTTTTGCCATATTCTATTATGTGAAGCAGTCACATATTCCAGATTCAACAGGAGGGGATATAAAATTGACCTCTAGGCCGGGCGTGGTGGTTCACGCCTGTGATCCCAGCACTTTGGAAGGCTGAGTCGGGCGAATCACCTGAAGTTGGGAGTTCAAGACCAGCCTGACCAACATGGAGAAACCCCGTCTCTACTAAAAATACAAAAATTAGCCTGGCGTGGTGGTGCATGCCTGTAATCCCAGCTACTTGGGAGGCTGAGGCAGAAGAATCACTTGAACCCGGGAGGTGGAGGTTGCAGTGAGCAGAGATCGCGCCATTACACTCTAGCCTGGGCAACAAGAGCGAAACTCCGTCTCAAAATAAAAAAGCAAAAAAAAAAAAAAAAAAAAAAAAAAAAAAATTGCTGATCTCTAGATGGAAAGAGTGTTGGAATTTGGGGGCCAGGTTTTAAAACTGCCACATGGGGCGTGGGATCCAGAGGAAGGGCTGGATTCCAGGTATGAGGGCAAAGTGGCTGTTTGATCTTGCTCAAAGGTAGACTAAAGGGAAGATAAATTGACTGTAACACTCACCAAGTCCCCAGCATGTACCAGGTGTTGGCCCTCATGGGCATTATCTCAACTTACCTTTGCAAGAACCCTCTGACACAGATTTTTCACCACTCTTTGTAGATGAGTACTCTGAGGCTCAGAGAGGGTGTAAGCCTTATCCAAGGTCACATGCTGGTGAGTGGCCAGCTTTTCCAATTCCAGAGTTGACCCTTTAACTCCTCTGATGGGTTGCCTCCAGATAAGGAGCAGGGCTGGCCCCAGAGATGTGGCAAGGTGGGTCAGGATAAGGTAGGAGAGCAAAGAGCCAGGCTGTCACTCCCCATCCACTCACCTCCTCCTCCAGAAGCCCTCCCAGGCAGGAAAGGGTCCCAAGACACCCTGTCCCAAGGACCCTTTCCCTCTGACACCTCCTCAGTCTGGGATGTGCACCGAGCTTCCCCTCCGCCCTGTCTCCCAAGCTGTATTTCTCACCCCTGAGCAGTTCCCCAAATCCTCCCTTGTACTTCCTTGAAACCTTCCCAGGGCATTCTCCCAATTCCACCTGTCTTAGCCATAAGCTGTGAATAATTACCAATGTAAGGCTTTCAATTTTCGATATAAAATTTTTACTTTAGAAAAGTTTTAAAGAAAAATGGCAAAGATAATACAGAGAGTTCCCATATTCTCCACACCCAATTTCCCCTATTATCATCATCTTACATTTAGTACGGTACATTTGCCACAATTAATAAACTGCTATTGATATCAGCCCTACAAGATTAACATTATTATTAAACTATGTTCATACTTTATTCAGATTTCCTTAGTTGTTTTTTTTTTTAACCTAATATCCTTTTTCTGTTCTAGGATGCAGCATTACATTTGGCCATCATGTCTTCTTAGGTCTCCCTTGGCTGTGACAGTTTCTCAGACTTTTCTTGTTTTTGATGATCTTGATGATTTCAAGGAGTATTGGTCAGGTATTTTGTAGAATGTTCCTCAGCTGGGATTTGTCTGATGTTTTAGGTTATGGGTTTGAGGGAGCAAGACCTCAAAGGTGAAGTGCCACTTTCATTACATCCTATCAAGAGTATATGCCACCACCATGACCTGTCACTGTCGATGTCAACTGCGTTCACAGTTAACAGAAGTAGTGTTTGTCAGGTTTCTCCACTATGAAGTTATTCTTTCTTCCCCTTTCCGTGTATACTGTTTGGAGGTAAGTTGCTATGTGGAGCCCACATTTAAGGAGCAGGGAGCTATGCTCATCCTTGAGTATCTGTGAATATCATCTGCAATTCTGTATTTTTGTATCTTCTCCCCCTTTTCTCTATGTAGCCATTTATTTATATAAGTTCAAACTCATGGATATTTCTCTTTTTTTTTAGATGGAGTCTTGCTCTGTTGCCCAGGCTGGAGTGCGGTGGCATGATCTCGGCTCACTGCAACCTCTGCCTCCTGGGTTCAAGTGATTATCCTGCCTCAGCCTCCTGAGTAGCTGGGACTACAGGTGCCTGCCACCACACCTGGCTAGTTGTTTGTATTTTTAGTAGAGATGGGGTTTCACCATGTTAGCCAGGATGGTCTTGAACTCCTGACCTCATGATCTGCCTGCCTTGGCCTCCCAAAGTGCTGGGATTACAGGCGTGAGCCGGGATATTTCTCTTCTACTTTGGGTAATTATCCAATACTACTGTATTTATTTTATTGCTCACTTTGTTCCAGCTTTAGCCACTGGAGCTCTACCAGTTGTCTCCTGTGTCCCTTTGACATACTCCCATCATTTCTTCCTCAGATCTTCCTTACTTTCTGGCACTACAAGATGTTCCAGGTTCATCTTGTACATTTCCTGTTCCAATCCTAGAATCAGCCATTTTTACAAGAAGCCCTGGTTTTTGTGGGGGTTTTTAAAATTGGAGAATGATATTAGAAGCCAAAATCTGAGCACTAAGTGTGCTCACAGCTACTGGGCTGTCATTACTTCTAGGCCCTCTTAGCTGACAGAGCATAGAAATACATGTGTATCTACTAACCTGTATGTATATCACAACAGATATACACAAACATATAAATATTCCTATATGTCACTATCTGTATCTATATTAAACTTGATTTCTTTTTTTTTTTTTTTTTTACTTTTTTTTTTTTTTATTGATCATTCTTGGGTGTTTCTCACAGAGGGGGACTTGGCAGGGTCATAGGACAATAGTGGAGGGAATGTCAGCAGATAAACAAGTGAACAAAGGTCTCTGGTTTTCCTAGGCAGAGGACCCAGCGGCCTTCCACAGTGTTTGTGTCCCTGGGTACTTGAGATTAGGGAGTGGTGATGACTCTTAACGAGCATGCTGCCTTCAAGCATCTGTTTAACAAAGCACATCTTGCACCGCCCTTAATCCATTTAACTCTGAGTGGACACAGCACATGTTTCAGAGAGCACAGGGTTGGGGGTAAGGTCACAGATCAACAGGATCCCAAGGCAGAAGAATTTTTCTTAGTACAGAACAAAATGAAAAGTCTCCCATGTCTACTCCTTTCCACACAGACACGGCAACCATCCGATTTCTCAATCTTTTCCCCACCTTTCCCCGCTTTCTATTCCACAAAACCACCATTGTCATCATGGCCCGTTCTCAATGGGCTGTTGGGCACACCTCCCAGACGGGGTGGTGGCCGGGCAGAGGGGCTCCTCACTTCCCAGTAGGGGCGGCCGGGCAGAGGCGCCCCTCACCTCCCGGACGGGGTGGCTGGCCGGGCGGGGGGCTGACCCCCCCACCTCCCTCCCAGACGGGGCGGCTGGCCTGGCGGGGGCTGACCCCCACCTCCCTCCCGGACGGGGCGGCTGCCGGGCGGAGGGGCTCCTCACTTCTCAGATGGGGCGGCTGCCGGGCGGAGGGTCTCCTCCCTTCTCAGACGAGGCAGCTGGGCAGAGACGCTCCTCACCTCCCAGACGGGGTCGCGGCCGGGCAGAGGCGCTCCTCACATCCCAGACGGGGCGGCGGGGCAAAGGCGCTCCCCACATCTCAGACGATGGGCGGCCGGGCAGAGACGCTCCTCACTTCCTAGATGGGATGGCGGCCAGGAAGAGGCACTCCTCACTTCCTAGGTGGGATGGCGGCGGGGCAGAGACGCTCCTCACTTTCCAGACTGGGCAGCCAGGCAGAGGGGCTCCTCACATCCCAGACGATGGGCGGCCAGGCAGAGACGCTCCTCACTTCCTAGACGGGGTGGGCAGAGGCTGCACTCTGGGCACTTTGGGAGGCCAAGGCAGGCGGCTGGGAGGTGGAGGTTGTAGCGAGCCGAGATCACGCCACTGCACTCCAGCCTGGGCACCATTGAGCACTGAGTGAACCAGACACCGTCTGCAATCCCGGCACCTCCGGAGGCCGAGGCTGGCGGATCACTCGCGGTTAGGAGCTGGAGACCAGCCTAGCCAACACAGCGAAACCCCGTCTCCACCAAAAAAATACGAAAACCAGTCAGGCGTGGCGGCGCGCGCCTGCAATCGCAGGCACTCAGCAGGCTGAGGCAGGAGAATCAGGCAGGGAGGTTGCAGTGAGCCGAGATGGCAGCAGTACAGTCCAGCTTTGGCTCGGCATCAGAGGGAGACCGTGGAAAGAGGGAGAGGGAGACCGTAGGGAGAGGGAGAGGGGGAGGGGGAGGGGGAGGGAGAGGGAGAGGTACCTTTTTTTTTTTGAGACGGAGTTCCGCTCTTGTTGCCCTGGATGGAGTGCAATCTAAACTTGATTTCATACTAATATTACAACTCTAATAAATTATCACAAGGATCATTCTAGCCTTCTCCCCTTGCCTGTCTGTAACCTTCCACTCCCACAGTGAGAAACCTGTCTGTTACCATCCACTATCCATTGACTTACTCATTCAGTTCCAATACACATGTATAGTGGTACTGGAATTGTTAACCACACTCCATGAGAAGCTACTTTATCAACTAGAGTATAGTGCTTAGGCACAGTTTCTTTAGTCTTTAGTCTTATAGACTCCACTCATTTCCAAAGTTGCTTAGATCAAAAACTCCCACCCCTCCCCCACTTCAGTGAAGTTGTTTTACATGTTTTTAATCCAGTTAAATAGTTTTGTCACATTTTGCATTCCATCTTCGTATCCTCTGATCTCCTAAATGATTCTTTTATTTTGTGTAAAAATGTACTCTTTGTGCTATACATTTCTACAGGTCTTGACAAGTACATAGTGTCAGGTATCTACCTGCAATATCATACAGAATAATTTCACCCACCTAAGAAAACCCCTGTGCTTCACCTATTCAACCATACCCCAACCCTCAAGAACCCTTCCATTTTAAGCATATTTAAAAGGTTTTTCAAAGCCTATTTGATGCACATTATCTCATTTAATTTACAAAGCAACCCTGTGTGTTAGGAAGAGCAGAAAACATCATTCCCACTCTATAGAGAAGGAGACTGAGGCTTAGAAGTATTAACAGGCCTGCCTTTGGCCACATGGTTAGTATGTGCAGACTTTAGACTGGCCCTGCTGCTTTATTCCTGCTCTGCTCAGGCCAGGAGTGGTTCCCGAACCCAAGACATAGAGAGAAGGGGGGATTGGGTTTGCAATCAGGCAGATAACAAGGCCGTAATGAAAACAAGCCTTGGGCTGACAGAGGGACATCTGAACTCTAGTTCTGGTTCTGCCACCCATTCACTGGGCAGCCTTGAATAAGTCACTTTCCTTGGCTGGGCCTCAGTTTTCTCCTATATAAAGTGAGAGATGAGATGACCCTCGAGGTCCCATCCAAGTCTCGCAGGCTATGTCTGGCCTTTGGCATGAAGATGACTACAGTCAACAGCGAGGCTTGACAGGCAGGCAGGGGAGATGGCTGGAGCAGTAAGGTTCAAGTCCACCACAGAGGAGCAGGCCCACATAGGCCAGTGATGAGTGGCACTGGGGTCACCATTGGTGTGCCTAGGGTGGCAGCTCCCAAGGCTACTCCAGGCCCCACTTCCAGCAAGCTCTCTAGGTGATGAAACCACAAATGCTTTTATATCCCCTTCCATGGTTTATGACAGTGTTTCTGAAACTGTAGTTCAAGACCCAGTGCATTATGATCTGTGATTTTTTAAAAAATAGAAAGAAACAGAACAGGATAGACTAGATCAATGCATTCAACAGAATATAACAGATAAGTATAAACTTTTGTTTCGATTATATGTGTGAGTAATAGGTCAAAATTTTACATGTATTGGTCAAACAAGATGTGATCACTGGCTGACAGAATACATTTTACATCTCAGTCTCATCTATCCTTACTGTAACCCTGTGAAGAGGGACGATTATTAGTACCATTCCTATTCTCCAAGTATGGAAAGTGAGGCCCAGAGAGGGCAAATGGTGCGCTTATGGCCCCCAGTTAGTGAGGGGCAGGGCCATGAGGAACACACCGTCTCCCGGACCTAGCTGGGGATTTCTTCCTTTAGCCCCACACAGAATTGTGGCACTTGTCTGCTTCTCAAAGTCCCAAGGGGAAAAGGTCCAGGTGTGAAGGTGTCTGGGCCCATAAACCTGGCCAGCCCCACCTTGGCTTGGCAGGATGAGGGGTCACATAAGCTCAGTGGTAGTTCAGCCAGGACCAGGTTCTGCCAGGTAGGGCACTGAGGGCAGGGGAGCCAGCTGGCGGGAGAGGTTGAGGAAGGTCACACGGGCCTGCTCCATCCTCCCATATGCCACACACAAACCACGTATACCCAACACACTCGTGATGGCGCCCGCTGGCTGGCTCTCAAACTCCCTCAGTGCCCTAAATCTCAGCCCCAGCACCTCTGGGTCTTACGGTGTTTCCTTTAGTCCCGCCTCGGCTACGCCCCAGGTTCTCTTGCTTTGTCCAAAGCCAACATGACCCCACCAGAGTGTTTTTGTTTGTGGTTTTTTTTTTGCCCTTTTCTGTCTTTCTTGCCCCCCTGATTTGGACACCCACAACACCACTGGGTTGTTTTGTGATTTATGAGCTCAGAAAACTCACTAATCCTTCTCCCTCAATTACCTTGATGTAAAGAAGTCCTCACTTTCTCTGCAGACAGGAGGGCTGTACTTCTCCCTGGGACACAGACCACCAGGCCCTGGTCAGGACCCCTCCCATGTGGCTGTGTGGTTTATTTGTGGCTCAAAGGTCATCATTGTCAGAAAACCCCTGACAGTGATGAGAAAAAGGGAAGCAAAATGAGGGACAGGAGGAGTTTTCCTGCAGCACAAGTCTTTCAGCCAACCTCTTCCCGGCCATTGCCCCTCAGTGAGCTGGGGGCCACCACCGGGCCTCAGTGGGTCTCGGCGTCTCCCAGCGACTGGGACCTGAGGACAGAAGGAAGAGCCACCTGGCAGCTTTGGTGGGAACTTGCCTGCAGACCCAGCCACTGCCCTGGAGGGAGGACACCCTGACATTACTCAGGTCTTGCTCCAGTGTCACCAACCCAGATAGGCCACCTCTGACCCCGTTCCAGCTCCTGACACCTCCTTTTTTTTTTTTTTTTTCTTTTTTGAGACAGAGTCTCGCTCTATTGCCCAGGCTGGAGTGCGGTGGCATGATCTTGGCTCACTGCAACCTCCGCTTCCCAGGTTCAAGCCATCCTCCTGCCTCAGCCTCCCAAGTAGCTGGGATTACAAGCGTGCAACACCACGCCCAGCTAATTTTTGCATTTTTAGTAGAGATGGGGTTTCACCATGTTGGCCAGGCTGGTCTCAAACTCCTGACCTCAGGTGATCCACCTGCCTCGGCCTCCCAAACTGCTGGGATTACAGGCGTGAGCCACCACGCCGGCCGACCTCCACCCGGTTTTGCGTTTTTTCTTAGCCGTTCCCACCGTCTGTCAATCTCCTTCTCTTACCTTTCACCCATGTGCCTTCCCTGCTAGAATGCAGCACAACGATCTTCATTTTGTTCATGGCTTTCTCCTTGCTGCTTAGAACAATCTCTGGCACATAGTAAACATTCTGTAAATACTTGCTGAGCGAATGAGTGAATGAATGAATGAATTTCTTGGGCCCTAAAATGAATGAATGAATGAATTTCTTCTGCCAAAAAGACCCATTCTGTGGCCTGTCCAGCACCCTTTAGACACATATTCACAGTGAATTCTAGAAAAGCAGTTGTCTGGACTCTATGGTGGCTGGTCTGGAACTAGTCAAGCACAAACCAGACTCTCTCCTTGGCTGTCCCCAAGGCTGAGATTACTTCAGAGTGGCTCCCGTTTCTGACCTGGCCACAGCACACCAGCAGGAGCTGCTGCAGGAGCCCTCCCCGCCCCCTCCCCCAACACCTGGGCCAGCACCGGACATCTTGAGGCACTTCTCTGTTTTGGAGCTTTCCCCAAAACCATTTAGGAGGCATGGCCCGGCCCCAGAGCTTCCTTGGTTTCCTTAGAAGGGGCCAGGACCCTGGGGTCCCCAGCGGGGAGAGAACGGAGGCCCGAGGCTGCTGGGCTGGGGAAGCTGATGCTCAGCTTAAGCTGGGACCCCACGTGGAGCCAGTGAGGGGCAGGCTGAACCCCCGCCATGGGAGAGGCCCAGGGGACAGAGACACAGAGGCAGAAGGCCTCGGGGCAGAGGGGCAGAGAGAATGGGACAGACAGATAACAGAACGCCGGGGAGAGACAGAGATAAAAACACAGAGAGGGAGAAAGATGGGGAGACACAGAGAGGGAGACCAAAAGAGAAACAGCCGGCGGGTGGAAGGCCCGGAGACCGACAGACAGAGGTAGAGGACAAGGGAACGGCAGAAGACGCAGCGAAGGGTGGCCACGGCAGCAGCACGGCGCAGGGCGCAGCTGAATCGCCGCTCTGTTCCCGGCGCGCACTGAGGGGCTTTCTTCGCGGCCGTGGGAAAGTGGTGGGCGAGCGCGCGCCCCGGTCGCCGTGTGGACCGTAATTAGCCGGATTAGGGCGGGAGCTGCGCGGGCCGGGCAGGCCTGGCCAGAGAACAAAAGGCCCCTCTTTGTCCGCGCAAACGGCGGGGTCGCGAGGTCACCGGGCAGGGTCCCCCAGGAGCGGGCGAGGGGACGCGCGCCTGGAGAATGGGGCCTCTGTGCACCTGGAGGGGGCCGGCGGGGGCCGCCCGTGGGCCTGGGACTCCAGGGAGGCCGCAGCCCCGCTTCAGGGTGCAGACTTAGGGCCTCTGGCGGAGAGCAGGGAGGGAGAAGAGGAACAGAAGCCGAGAATGGAGGCCAGAGAAGGAGAGACACCAAAGGGGCAGGAAGCTGGCCCGTTCTTACTAGTAATGGTACCTGTGACATGGACAACATTTATTGAGCGCTTGCTGTGTACCGGCTCCACGCCCAGCCTGGGAGACATACATCATCTCATGTAATCCTCATAACTACCTCCTAAATCAGATACTGTCATATCCGAGTTTATCCGAGTTTTACAGATAAGAGAGCTGAGGTGCAAGGATTGTGGTTTGCCTGAGGTCACACAGTCAGAAGGGGTGCCTCACGTCTTTGCTGGCACACAGTAAGCACCCAACAATTATGTGATGAATGAATGACAAGGTTGGCAGTGTCTGGAAAAGGCAGAGACACAAAGAGCCCTGGCCTCACCCCCTGGCCACCCACAGCCTGGGGATGTTTGGGAATTGGGAGCTCCCAGCCTTCAGGGAAACTGCCTGGGAGATCTGCAGAGGCGGGTGTCAGTGCTGACACCTCACCCACTTGGGGCAGTGTAGGGGATGCCAGTCACTAGGGTCAGGGGCTCAAGGGATGGGACATGTTTCTTTCCAGCAGCCCCAACAGAACTGTAGCTCCCTCAGGGCTCTCTGCCTGCAGCCCCAGGTCCCTCCAAAGCCCAGGGCAATGTGAAGGGCTGACGGTGCCCCATGGGAGTGGGAAGAGGAGGCACTGGGGCCTTCCCCCGCCACCCAGCTCTCACCAGCCATGCCTGAGGGTCAGAAAGGCTCTGACTTTCAAAGAGCATTCTCTGGGCTGTGGGGGTCATGCCCCAGCTGACCAAACGTCTCTCCTCACGGGAGATGTCGTCAGAGACCACACACTCCAGCCCACAACCACCGGCAGGTGATGGGCATGGGAGAAGTGGACAGGTGTGCCTTGCGTGGGGCATTAGGGGCCGTGGGGCCTGTGGCAAAGCCTGCTGTCGACAGGACAGTCACTGCACACTGTGGCCTGTGAGTGCCATATGGGCCGAGATGGTCAGGCCTGAGCTTTTCAAGAGAAATACGAATTCCAGGCTGGGCACGGTGAATCACCCTTCTAATCCCAGCACTTTGGGAGGCCAAGGTGGGTGGATTACCTGAGGTCAGGAGTGCAAGACCAACCTGGCCAACAAGGTGAAACCCCATCTCTACTAAAAATACAAAAATTAGCCGGGCATGGTGGTGTGTATCTGTAGTCCCAGCTACTCGGGAGGCTGAGGCAGGAGAATTGCTTGAACCCGGGAGGTGGAGGTTGCAAGAGCCAAGATTGCGCCACTGCACTCCAGCCTGGGTGACAGAGTCAGACTCCGTCAAAAATAAAGAAAAGAAATCCATCCTTTTGGGTGGGATTTCCAAGTTGTAAAGTCTGATGTGGGCCAGGCTAACTTAGGTACGGGCCAGCTTCAGCAGCAGGTTGGCAGCTCACAACCTTCTTCCTGATGCTCTGAGCCTCCAGAAGAAGGAATGCCCTGTTCCCTCCCCTCAAACCCTCTTCTCCCAGCTTCTCCAGGGCCAGTGAATGAAAGGAGCAGGTAGGAGTGCTTGGGGGTGCCCAGTCCCTGCCCACATACCTGTGCCCTGCCTCAGGGCTGTCCCCTGTTGGAGACACTGCACCTGCCCTGGGAGCCTCAGCCCAAAGAGGCTCAGGCAGGAAGTCTCCAGGCCACTGGGATCTGGGTGACCAGGCACATGGCCAAGAGCTGGAGATCGTCACACCCAGCTCAGCTGGGGGAAGCCCAGTGACCCATTCAATGAAGGTTTCCTCTGGGGACACAGCACTGGAGTTTGCAAGCTGCAGGCCCAGGAGGAGGAAAGGCCTGCTTCCGCCCAGCTCCGTCCCACCCCACCTCCACCCAGCCCCACCAGCCTTTCCTCATACGTGGGGTTAACACTACCCCACTTCTTGGCCGAAGAAACTGAGGCACAGAGGGCTGGTGTATTTGAAGGGAGTGGAGAGTGAGCATCCGAGGGAGTAGCTTCAAGGGGCTCCAATGGTGTGATTTGTTGGAAAAGTGGTGTTTTCTTAAAAATTGATATGTGTTTTGCATCTTCCTTCATAATATACACATGGCTACTTCAATATAAAAATGATGGTGCTTTTCTTCCTACAGTCTGGCAAACCTGATGCTCTCCAGGATGAGCCATGCTTGTCCTGCAGCATCTGGAACCTCTGGCACAACCCTGTGTACCCATACAGTCCACATCCACAAGAGAGAGAAGCCCGGGTGGGGGCCTGTCCCCTAGAGTCAGCTCATGACAAAGTGGACCTGAACCCAGGCCCCGCGCTTTCTTGGGGGGCATAATATGTATGAAGAGGGTTCTGTTACTGCTCGTGCCTCTCCTTAGGTGCCCCATTTCCACCTCATGGAAAACCAGAGGTGGGGGGAGGCTGCTCCTCCTTCCACAGGGCAGACACAGCTGTGGCTCAAAGCCGAGCCCCCGAGGGGCGATTGTCCGGCTCCAGATCTGGACATGGGCAAAGACTGACACAGCTTTTGTTTTCTCCTCCTTCTGCAACCTTCACTTCCTCTCCTTTTTCTGATGGAAACTTCTATCATAGCAGCGGCTTCTTCCAGCTCCTGAGAGGGGCAGGCGTGGGCAGCAAAGGGCTCCCAGCCCCAAGCATAGCCTGGGGTGTGACGAGGGCCTCAGGCGCCAGGCTAATGGCTAAGAGGTGGCAGTGAAAATCCAGGGGTCAGGCCTCTCTCTCCCATGGCCCCTGAAAGAGCAGGAGTCAGGGAGCAGAGGCCAAAGGGGTGGACAGCTAGAGAAAGGGAGGGGCGAGCTGCAGGACAGCTGCCCTTGGAGGGCAGGAGGCAGCTCCACTCAGCTTGAACTCAGAGGAGGAGCTTTAGAACCAGGGCAGAGGGAGGAACATAAATCTCTGGACCTCAGCAGCCCAGCGGAGCGAGTTGGGGTTGCTGGGTGGTTCTTGCACCTCTTCTGCAAAGCCTCCCCACTTTTCCCTTCTAATGGCTGATGGTAATTTCAGAGACAAACAGCCCAGGATCGCTGATGGCATGGTAAATGCTTGCTTCCCGTCCCAACTCCCACCCTCTCAGGGTGGGGGACAGGTTTAGGGGGAAGTGTTATTCAAAAGAAAACCCAGGTTCTGGTGAGAATGCCTCCATTTCCAAGAAATGTGGGAAACATTTGGAGTTGTTTCAGTCCCCGATCAAATTTCTGTGCTCAGCATTCCCAGCCAGGCCCAGAACATTTTTGTTAGAGTCCCCTCTTCCCCTCTTTCCCCACTTTGCACACAGCCAGCTGCGCGGCTCAAGTTCCAGCCTGGGATGTGCAAGGCGGCGGCTCAGCCCTTTCTGCCAGTGGGAAAGGAGGAGTTTCATTCCAAGGCTTACGGCCAGTTACATTGACCACTTATTCCAAACTCCAGCCTTAAGGAAAACCAAATTCCCACGAGTCTCGCCTCTCCCCAACTCTCCACCCCTTGCCTACTCCTTGCCTACCTCCACCCTATCTTCTGGGTCACAGGTATATACATACATAGGTCTCCTGGCCTAGAGATTGCCAAACTGCAGCATAGTCACCAAGGAGGCCTGAGTCTCAGGAAGGGGCACGGAGAGAAACCTGCTCTACCTATCTGTGAACTTGATACCACAGTTCTGGACATGCACTGAGAAAAGATGGGTTTGTCCATCCAAAATGCAGTAAGCCATGAAGGAGTTCAGCATCTGATCCAGGTAGCCTCCGTGTCCGGCTGATGGGCTGAGGGAGGACACTAGAATGGCCAGGCTCCCGTGGCTGGATTCCAGCAAGCCTTTCATAGCGTCCTCTGCCATGCAGGCCTGGAGGGTGAAGCAGTTCAGGTTGCAGGCTTTGTGACTCCTCAGGCGCTGGGCCTTGAGGCCTGCCTGTGGTGGTGTGGCGAGAGCTTCTTACACAGCTTTGGTCCTGGCCCCTTCGACATGTTTATCAGGAACTTGGGTGGATATGTGGCTGGTAGAATTTGCAGACCATCCAAGCTGAGAAGAGTGGGAAATGCACTGAATAATAAAATTGGGATCCAAAAAGATTTGGTCAGGCTGGGTGGATAGGCCACATTTAAAGAGATGAGTCTGAAGGGGATTCAGTGTAAGGATCTGCTTGTGGAATCCAAGAAATCCACAGCATCAGCACAGGTTAAAAGAAAAAAAAAATGAAAGATTTTAGATATTCAGATGAGTGCCATTTAACTGTGAAATGTGTCCGCGCTAAACAGTGGTGTGATCTTCAGGTGCATTAAGGGAAGTCCTGTTTCGTGCCCATTTCTTGTGAGTCCTCTGACAACGCACGTCAACAACCTTTGGGGCTTGTTAAAAATTCAGACTTCTGGGCTGGGCGCGGTGGCTCACGCCTGTAATCCCAGCACTTTGGGAGGCCGAGGCGGGCGGATCACGAGGTCAGGAGATCGAGACCATCCCGGCTAAAACGGTGAAACCCCGTCTCTACTAAAAATACAAAAAATTAGCCGGGCGTAGTGGCGGGCGCCTGTAGTCCCAGCTACTCGGGAGGCTGAGGCAGGAGAATGGCGTGAACCCGGGAGGCGGAGCTTGCAGTGAGCCGAGATCCCGCCGCTGCACTCCAGCCTGGGCGACAGAGCGAGACTCCGTCTCAAAAAAAAAAAAAAAAAAAAAAAAAATTCAGACTTCTGTGCCCATCCCAGATTATTTAACTGAACTGTATAGGGATGGGGCCCCAGAATATGCATTTACAGCAACCTCCCAGGTGATTTTTGACAACACTTGCAGCTCTTTCTGTCATGCTGGACCCTCTTGCCAGGATTATCCTCCCTCTTGGCAAAGTAAGAGGGTGCCTGCCCAAAAAAGCTTCTCTCTCTGTTAAAAATTCCACTGGTGAAGCTTTGCTCCTTGGGTTAGGAGCTTGCCCCTAGAAGTGGTCTTGTCAGCAAAGATGTTAGAGGATAAAGACAGCTGGCTGATGGCCAAATTGTGTCTGGGGCCCCTGGGTGGAGACACAGGCTGAACTTCCCAGACAAGAAAAAGGCTTAATCATATTGCCCAAGGGCCATGATCTAGCTCAGCCTGAAGCCAGGGAGAGGCTGAGAAATAAGCCATTTGTTCTTTGCTGGCGTGGGAAGAGCTCGGGTTTTGGAGAAGCAGCGTGGACATTGGACTGTGACCCTGAACGTTGCCTTCAACTTCTCTGAGGCTCAGCCTCCTCCTCTGAGATACGTTCCTCACGCAGCTGTTGTGAGTAGATGAAATAATGTATGTAAAGCTCCACAAGGCTTCGGCATACAGGAGAGGCTCAATGCTGCTTGTTGAATGCATGAACAGGTAAGTACATAGTGAAATGGACAGATGGAAGAATGGACAGATGGATGGATGGACAGACAACCTCTGTGGACTCCTCTTCCTTACTTGCAGAAAATCAGCCTGTGCCTCTGAATTGATTATCCCCACAATCCTCCACCCCAGCCCCCCAGTGTAGTACCCTGACATCTCACAGATGTCTCGCTTTGGGGTCCAAGTCGTGCCTCCTAGGAAAAGCCCCTCTCCTTTCCCCATCCCTCTCCCCTTAGTGCCCTTTTCCAAGCCCCTATCTAACTCCAGGGCACTCCTGTCTGGCATTAGGTCTCAAATTCAGAGCAGGGGCATATCTCAAGGCACAACCTTGACTGGTTCCCCCCAGGTCCACCTACAGTTGCTACTGACTCCAGCTCCGTTCACCTTTCTGACCAGCTTGCAGGAGCAGCCCCATCTTCAGGCTGGCTAGGACTTGTGGAGGAAAATCAGCTGAGGGAGGCACAGATCCTGCCCTCTTGGAACTTGGAGTCCAGGAGGAAAAGGAGGACACTGTTAAAAGGCGGTCACCACTGAATGTGAGAAAGCATTCCTAGCTGGCAGAATTAGGGAAGACTGCATGAAGGGGGCCACATTTGGATCTTCAAGACCTGATCCATTTGGGCATGCAGAGTTGGGGAAAAGCATTCCAAGAAGGAATAGCCTAAGCAAAGGCAGAGAGGGCCAAGTAGAAGATGGTTGTGTCTGGCAGGAGCATGGGTGAGGGGAGGTGGACCAGGAGAGCCCAGATCCATTTGGGAAAACCATTGTCCAAGACCATGAATGCCGAACTGAGGCATTAACTTGACTCCTTGAATGTCAATCCAAGCAGAAGCAGGGGCTGTAGTCTGCCTGTGGCCTCTATCCCTCTCCCCTAGGGGATCTAGTCACAACCTCTCTCTGTACCCTGCTACTGTTCTCCCAGCAGGCATCCCTGAGCTCTGGCCTGGGTGCCCAGGGAAAGGGTCATTCACTGAGCCTTCCATGATTCATGGCAGCTCAGTGGGCCATCTTTTCTGGGGCCATCTGCATTTACAAAGCAGCACAGACTCTGTCCATCACTGGTTCCAAGGAGTGAATGGAGGAAGTTCAGGCCTTACACAGGCTGTTGGGGGTATAAGGCCCGAACTTACTCCTGAGTGTTGTCTGCTGATACCTGTGTAAGGGTGAGGGGCTACTCAGCCCCAGACACATGCTGTCAGTCCTTTGGTTGTAGGCCACCCTCTCTTCCTCCTCTACTCCCTACAGCCTGCAAGTGGCAGGTCTGGCCTCTGCACTTTCCCCAGCTAATCCAAGCCACACAGAGTGCAGCCAGCCCGCCAGCGAGTCTTGTTTCACTGGAATGTTGGCATCAAACTTGAGATCGGAAATGAACTCATTATCTGATTATTTTTATTTATGAAAATATAACTGCTCTGGGAGAGGCCTTTCTAAGTGGATGAGTAATTCTCTCCCCTTCACACACACATGCTCAGACTCATATGTTTAGACACACACATACTCAGAAACTCAGATATTCAGACCTCTCTTCAGACACACACACAGGCAGCCACATGTTCCTTTATGTACACACGCATCACATGGAGATGTGTGCTCTGGGTCTAATAACACCTTTGAGGACAGGGACCTTGCCTCTTTTATTTACTGTGGAATCTCCCATGGCACATAATAGGCAACAGTAAATATTTGCAGAATGATTGAATGAATGAATGAATGTCTAAGTCATAGATGCATGCACCCACACACACATTATTACTCAGACATACACACTTACATGCATACATATATATCTGGGCTCTCTCCCTCTCTGGAATAAAGTCAGTGAATCGCTAATTCTGCAGCCTGAAGTCTTCACACCATGAACTGCATCATGAAGGTACCATCCAGGACCTTCCAGTGGAGATGCCCGTTGGCAGTTCCCAGGAGGCCAAAGCAGCATTCCCCCTGACCCACTAAGGCCTCACCAGATGCTCACAGCCATCCCAGGCCTTGCCAACCTGAGACCAAATGTGTTGGTATGGCCAAGAAAGCCTGAGAGGGTTACTAAAGGCAAATTGTTTTCCAGGAATGTTCTCTGTGTGCTGCCCCCACTCATCCATGGCTGGCTCACTGGAAGGTCCTGGCATGGGGTCTTGGATGATACCAGCCCCCAGGCTCTGTCTCTCTCTCTCTCTCCTCCAGCTCACAGCCATGACTCAGGCTATTCAAGGCCTGCAAATGTCTCCCTGGGAGGGGACTGGGCCAGAGGCATGGCTGGTGGCCAGGCAGGGGTGAAGATCCCAAGAAAGAACTGCCTGGAGGCTGATCTCAGGGCAGAGCACCCAGCAGGTCCATAATGCTGAGCCCTGACTATCTCTACATTCCTCCCCACAGAGAGGGCAGTCTTTGTGTGGTCAGAAGAACTCTGGGCTAGAGGAAGACTCACCTGAGTTGACATCCCTGCTGGCCACATACTGGCCATGTGGCTTTGGACAGGTCACTAACCTGGAGCTTCAGTTGCCTCCAGCACCTTGTGCAATTGCATCCTTCCTGCCTTGCTGCCCCAGGCCCCATGCTTTCCTGACCTTCCTACCAGGCCTTGAAGAAGAGCCCGCAACTCCCTCCGTAGCATTTCAGGCCTCTTCAAGTGGCTCTTTATGTTTCTTTCTTTGTCTGTTTTGAGACAGGGTCTCACTCTGTCACTCACGCTTGAGTGCAATGGTGTGAACATGGCTTACTGCAGCCTCCACCTCCGGGCTTAAGCGATCCTCCCACTTCAGCCTCCTGAGTGGCTGGGACTAAGGCATATGCCACCACACCCTGCTAATTTTTGTATTTTTTGTAGAGATGGGGTTTCACCATGTTGCCCAAACTGGTCTTGAACTCTTGGAGTCAAGCAATCTGCCTGCCTTGGCCTCTCAGAGTGCTGGGATTATAGGTGTGAGCCACCATGCCCGGTCTCAAGTGGCTCTTTAAAGGCATGAGCCCTCTAGGATGGGTCTTTCCATTCCTTATAGCCAACAGTATGAAAGAGCACCTGACCTTCCCAAGAAGCTGCACCTGGAACGGGGAGGGCACTGGGAGGTGGGGACAACTATTTCATTAACACTATTATGTCCCAAAGCCTGGCCAGTGAGAAGGACGGACTTGACCTCTTAAAACTCCAAGTCTCCTGGCCAGGCGTGGTAGCTCACGCCTGTAATCCCAGCACTTTGGGAGGCCAAGGTGGGCAGATCACCTGAGGTCAGGAGTTTGAGACCAGCCTGGCCAACATGGTGAAACCCCGCCTCTACTAAAAATACAAAAATTAGCCAGGCATGGTGCTGCATGCCTGTAGTCCCAGCTACTCAGGAGGCTGAGGCAGGAGAATGGTTTGAACCCTGGAGGCAGAAGTTGCAGTTAACTGAGATCACGCCATTGCACTCCAGCCTGGGAGGCAGAGAGACTCTGTCTCAAAATAAATTTTTAAGTTAAAAAAACCTCAAGCCTCCCAGGAATTCCACTCCTACTTGTCCACCCAAGAGAAATGAATGCATGTGTGCATGACTAGGTATGCACATGAATGCTTTATTCATAGTACCTCAAACTAGAACACCCAAATATCCATCAGCAGGGGAGCTAAACAAATCGTGGCATACTCATATAATGGAACACTACACAGTGATTAGAACACAACAACAAAAAGCATCTGCTACACACAACTGCATGGGTGAATCTCCCACGCATTATATTGAGTAAAATAAGCTGGACATAGACAGACTGTTTGATACCATTTGTATGAAGGTCAAGAACAGGTTAAATGAATCTAGGATGTCAGAAGTCAGACTAGCAGTCACCACTAGGGATGGTATTGACTGGAGAGGGGCACAAGGGAACCAGCTTTGGAGCTAGAAGTGTTTCAAATCTTGATCTGGTGTTTCCATGGGTCTAGACACACATGTGGCTATCCATCGAGCTGTACACTTCTGCTTTGTTAATGCTATTGTATGTAAGTTACCATGAGGAGGGACCAAGTCACAAAGGATCTAATCCATGCAGAAAGGCAGAAAGGAGGATAGCTAAAAGGAACTTGCAGGGTTTGGGGCAGGAGGGCCAGGGAACAAGAATAGAGTGGAGCTAATAGTGGAAGAGAAAGCTTAGAGCATTCTCCCCAGAGACACTGAGCACCCACCTAAGGAGGGGCTGTTGGGAAGGATGAGGCAGGGACTAGACCTCCAGCAGACTCCATACATTGCCAGATCAGGTCAGGCTGCCCATCAGTGGGTTTCCTACACAGAGCTGGTGCCTCGAGACTGGAACCCAAGGTGGAAGCAGATCTCAGTTGTGTACTATCTACCCCTCATTCCTTCTTCCCTGCCCACAGCTGTAGGACCAAGAAGAGGCTGAGCCCCAAGTCCCTTTTAACTCTAGTTAACAGGCAAACTCAATCTGCCCAAATGTGCTTAAATAAAAAGTGTAAAGGAGAGGGCCTTGCTTTATCCCCAACTAGACTCCTGGATAGAGACTCTCGTAAGAGAATATTCTGGAAACCTGCAGGCTGGCTCACTACTCTCTGAGCCTCTTGACGATGGTCTGTGGGCCCATGGGTGCAAGAACGCATGTCCAGGTGTGTGTCTGCCTGTGAGTACTGTGTTTTCCTATAATGGGGTCCTCAGAGTTATGGCCACATCCCCCAGCCCCTCCTCACTCTGCTCTTTTGCCTCTATTTAGAACCCCTGCCCCTCCTCCCTGGATACCCCTGGTCTTCCAACTGCCCCTGACCCTCCTGCCTCGGCAGTGGAGTCTGATGACCTTTTCCCAATGATGTGGAGAGGCCAAGCCCCCATCCATCTCCGGACTTTTTTAAAGGAAACCAGGGAAGGCAAAATGTAACCTTAAGTCTTGCTTTCAAGCACCATGTCGGCAACTCAGAATTTCACCATGCTGTGGGTCTTGCAGGCTGACTGTGAGCACCTGGTGGCATTCTGAGGGCATTCTTAAGGGCACAGCACCCACTCCCAGCCCTGAAGCTCCTAAGGAGGGGCAGTCCCAGCATCTCTATGAGGGACCAGATGAGGCCAGTGAGGAGAAGCTGCCAAGCCACAGGCAGCTCTGGCCACATGGACCACATCTGCCTCTCTGGAATGACGGAGGGCACTGGGGCTCCCTTCCCCAGGCCTAGCCTTGTCCCTCTCTCCTCCCCTGGGCGGCCTCTGCTCCAGCCAGGCCCATTTCCTTACATGCCCTCAACAAGCCATTGTCAGACCTTCCCCATCGGTCCCCACCCAGCAGCAGACGTGCATTGCACATTCACTGCGGTGCCATGTGAATCAGGTTCCCATGAATAGGTGCCCTCACTGCACTCGCTCCACAGGTGAGGAAACCTTGGTGGAGAAATCGAGCAGCTTCCCTGAAGTCACACCACTGACAATCAATGGAGTCAGCATTCAAAAGACCCAGCTGATCAAACGGGATGCAATCAAGAAGCCAGCCAAAACCTGAGAGTGGGACTCCAGAGCCGGCCTCACCAACCCCTGATGGTCTGTTAACTCCTGCCCTGGAGCCGAGCATGTCCTTTGGTGGGAAACTATGGAGTGTGGTGGCCAAAGGCACTGGCCAAAGAGCCTAGCTGCCTGGGTTCCTCTTCCAGTTCCTCTTCCTGTGTGGATGCTTGAGTGCGTTACCCAGCCTTCTGTGCCTCAGTTCCCTCCTCTGTATCACATGAAGGTGCATGGATGGGACTAGGTGGGACAGGCACTCCCACCCACTCAGAGCTCCCAAGTCCAACTACCTCACGGAAGGCCGCCTTTGTCCTTGGCCCCACACTGGGTCCAGTCTGTCGCAGTGGAGTGCAGGCCTGTGGTACAATGCAAGGCGACCACATGTAGTTCCTGCACCAGAGAGAGCCATGGGATGGGGGGCTGAGTTAAAAACTCATAGACCCCTCATCAACACAGTGGCCAGCACATGTGCAGCCCTGTGCCAGGGACCCTGGAGCTTACCACCCATGCTCCTCCAGCCCATCTGGAGCTCCTGCCCCCAACCCCAGCACCCTATTTATCTATAGCTACTGCACCCTGGAATGCACCCTAATACATTTTCCTGGATCTCACCTGTGAATTTCCCCAGTTAGGCTGTGAGTACCCTAAAAGCAAGGACTCTAGTTTCCTCATCCTCCATCTTTGATAAAGGCTGGTCTGGCCGGGCATGGTGGCTCACGCCTGTAATCCCAGCACTTTGGGGGCCGAGGCAGGCAGATCACGAGGTCAGGAGATCGAGACCATCCTGGCCAACACGGTGAAACCCCGTCTCTACCAAAAAAAAAAATACAAAAAATTAGCCGGGCCTGGTGGCAGGAGCCTGTAGTCCCAGCTACTCAGGAGGCTGAGGCAGGAAATGGCGTGAACCTAGGAGGCGGAGCTTGCAGTGAGCTGAGATTGTGCCACTGCACTCCAGCCTGGGTGACACAGCGAGACTCCATCTCAACAACAACAACAACAAAAAAGGCTGCTCCAGACATCAGGCCCTCAAAACACACTTGAAATGGATGGAATTGGGTTTGGGGGCTTAGCTACTATAACTTTGGAGTGGTACGTTAAATATTCATTCTTACTAGAGGTGGAAAAAGGAACAGTATGGAGGGACTGGATGTGGACTTGGATGCAAATGTATGCAAACCACTGTGCAATGATATGCAGATGTGCATCCTGGATCTGTGGGAAGGAGTTCTATGACTTCAGAACCCTGGTTCTGGCGGGCTTTGCTCTCTGAGGGGCTCTGCCCCTGCTGGGGATCTTGCCATCTCGCATGGCAATGCTGACAGCTGGCTGCCGTGCGGCATTCTGGCGCCAGTGGAAACCATTTGGGGATCCATGTCATCTTCTGATCCTCGGTGAAGCAGCTCCCACCCACCAGGGCAGATGAGCCAACAGGAGGCTATAAAGACAGAGGCCTGCATGAGGAAAGGCTGGCGTGTAGCCAGAGCTGGAGGCTCCTGGGTTCCAGGGACACAGCTCTGGGGGAGCACGGAGCGTGGGACCAGGGAGGAAAGATCACACTTGGTCTCATTTCCAGCTCTCTGCTGTGGCCACCACTGGGGAGCCCATGGCTGCCTGACACTCCTCACCACCACTCCCAGCCCTAGGCCGTGCTGCCCACCAGCCGTCAGCCAGTGCCCTGCATGGCAGGCAGGCCATGGTATCTGGGAGAGCTAAGGGCTTCCTAGCACTGTAGCCACCATGTATGGGGCACCCTCTCTGGCCAGGCACCGTGACCAAGCACTTTAACCATATTATATCACTTAATCTTTGACAGCCCCACCAGGTAGGCAGTACTCTTACGATCCTTATTTTATGGATGAAGAAACAGAGGCCAGGGTCATCCAACCTGCAAATGGTTGAGCCGGGATTCAAACCCAAAACTGTTAGACTCCAAAAGTGGCCCTCTCAACTGCCACTTCCTGCCTCCTCTCCCACACCACAATGGCCACTGTGTACCCGGTTCCCATGAGGGACATTTGGGGAGGGGGACAAGTCCAGGGTTGAGAGGGGGAAAGTTCCAGTGTAGTGCTTGGGGTTCCCCGCCCCATGCAAGGTAAGGTAAGCTGGCAGCCACCTAATTGAAACACACACCCCCACCACACCCCCGCCACACCCCCCTGCCTCACCTAGAATGTCCCCCACTCAACTACTGCAGCACCTGGAGTCCTGCCATTAGAACCTCATGCTTGTTTTAGAGAATGCTTTTTCTGTGGGACAAGAGCTGTTGTCTTTAGTCTCCTATTTTAAAAGACAAATCCTCTTGGAAGGCAGGAGAGGCTGAGGTCAGCAGGGAGGTCCTAGAGAAATGTATGCAAAAGCCAGGAGGGCCCAGAAGGCAAATTCTGTGATCAAATTCAGTGATGTTATGGCCCTGGGATGAGGATGACAGTGAGGGTGACCCTTGGCACCCTACCTAGGGCACCTGGTACTCTTTCCCACCAGTTGCACATCATATTCCACACCCAGCAGACCCTCAATCAATGGCATTCTAATTAGTCATAGCAGGAGGGTAACCCTAAGAGATGTAGCAGAACTGCAATTTTCACCCCACTTTAGAGTCCAGGAAACTGAGGCCTAGAGAGGCTGTGAGTAGCTCCAACTTGACAGTGGGTCAGAGAAGAACCAGATCAGTACTCAGGAGTCCAGAGTTGGTGGTTGGAGGGGGTGGCGTGCAATGAGAGGCTGGTGGGTGGGGTCATGCATGGCAATGCAACCCTGGAGGCCCCATCTCCTTCAGAGAAGTCAAGGTGGTGAGGTCAAGGGGAAGGGGAAGGAGGACAGGAGCAGAGAGGTGATGTGAGGGAAGCAGGGTGGGCTGGCAGGGGCCGAGAACCCCAGTGCCTGGGAATCTTCAGGGGCTCTGCGAGGCGGCCCAAGGCCGGGGTTCCCACAGCGGCAGGTGGTCACCAAGCGGGCCAGGCCGGACAGGGCTGGCACCGACTCTAGCAGGGGTGGAGGTGCCAGCTCTCACCCGCCAGCCGGCCTGCCAGCTGGGGAAGCTTCATTAGAATTCCTCAGCCCTCCAACCCATTTCCTTCCTGGTGAACAGGACAGCTAATGGCCCCAGTTGCCTGCTGCCAGGGTGAGGTGGGTCGGGCTGGCAGCTTCAGGCCAGGCTGGGGGTAGCGGTGACCTCTAACAACCCAGGAAGCATGCCTCTCCCCTGCCCTGGGGGAGGGAGCAGCCCACAGTGTGACCCGAAATTTCCCCAAGTTAAAGACCATCTGCCTGTCTGTCTATCCATCCCCCCAGGGCCCAGGGGGCTGGTGAGTGTGGACAGACAGACACAGGCTGTGGGAAGCTGCAGTGATTAATGAGTGATGAAAACCAGACTTCGTCAGGATGGGGGTGGGGACATAGAAGCAGAGAGAGGTTGTCTGTTTTATGCTTGGCTCAGCTCTAAGCCCACAGCTCAGGGGAGGAGGGTGGAGGCAGCTGAGGGCAGTACTGGGCCCTGGCCTCAAAATCCCAGTCCGAGCATAGGGCCCCAGTTCATAGACACCCCCCTCATCCCCCAGTACCTCCTTCAGCCTCTGCCCTGGAAGGTTTCCCTAAGAGGAACTAGCTTTACTCCCAAATCCCAGGGACTTGCACTGGCCCTCAAATACCATCCATCCCAGAACACCCCAGAAGCCATGGGGAACAGCAGGGAAAACAGCCTCACCAACCCTCCAATCTTCTTGTCATGGGGCCAACGATTCTGGGGCCCAGAGCCTGAAGGTCCTCTCACCCTTCACCCCGACAAACACATGACCACTCCCACATTCCCAAACTCTGCCCCCAGGACCTGCTGAAGTCAAGCAGATTTTTCTCAAATGTCAAGGACAGCAAAAGCTACTTCTAAGAGGATTCAGCTCAAACCTCCAAACCTGCAAATAGACAGTCAGGATAAACCCAAGCAGGAGAGAGGCTTGCACAACCACTGCTTTTGGTCCCCACCCGACAGACACCTTGAGGGACCTTGGCAACATCCTCCTCCCCTGCCCGAAAATATTCCCACACTGGCCCATCTGCTCCAGGGCCTTGGATTCCACCATTCAACCCTGACCTCCCTTTGCAATACTGAACTCGAAGACTCTTGCCGAGGTTTCAAGTGTGTCCCCGCTCCCAGGGCCTGGGATCTGGCCAGGGAGGGCTGGAAAGAAGGAAATGCGCCACAGATGGAGGAAGTAGCTTCGGCAAGGTGAAGCACAAAGGCAAACTTTGCTGACAGAAGACTCTTGCTGCTGGCCAACCAGGCCTGCCTGTCATGAGAATCAAAATTGTTTTCTTTTGTCGAAAAAATATTTCCAAGGTAGTTCTTGTGTTGTGCTCAGGCACGTGGGTAAGGAAGCAATAGTGAGTGCTTCCTTCTTGCCTGCCAGGGACCTTGTGCATATCTGTTGGCTCATTGCATCTTAGAAACTCCTGAAGAAACTGAGGCTTGGGGAGGTTGCCTGCCCCCACGCACCCCTCAGGGACTAAGTGACAGAGCTGAGATCCCCAGTCGGCCAGACACAAAGCCCTCCTACTTTCTGAAGCCCCACCCTGCTGGGGAGGGAGAACTGGACGCCATCTGGGAAGAATTAAGGAGGTTTTTAGAAAAGGCCTCTGCAGGAATGAGAAAACCTTCATTAGGGCTTTTTAATCAATAAAGCAGGAACAAAACCTCCCTCCCTGCAAACATTTCTGGACTCCTAGGAGATGCCCAACTGTGCCCAACAAATGATTCAGAAAACGAGTATAAAATTCAAAAAATCCCCATCCCGACAAGTCAGAGAATGCTTTTTACTGGATGTTGGGGAGGGGAAGCCGAACCTCATGGCTCCTTGGATCTCAGTTCCTGTCTCTTGCCTTAACAGAGCCCAGACTTGTCATCTGAGAGGAAGGGGGAGGCTGAGGTCACTGCCCTTCTCTGGTTTCTGCCAAGAGCTCTGCTCTTCTCCAGGGAGGTGGCGGGGCTGGGATGGCTTTGTACCCTGCAGGCTCCAGCAGGATTGCATCTGCTGAGGTGCATCTTAGAAAGGGGAGTGTGAGATGCAGGTCCCCCACCTCTGGTGCTCCTGGCCAAGGCTGAGTGCCTGTGGTTCCTTTGTGGCCGTTCAGGTGGGAAAAGCGTTTGTGATACCAAAAAATCAGCTAGGCTCAGCCCTGAGCCGCAGCTGGGCACCTGCAAACCGAGGGCCTCACTTAGCCTGTCCCATCTGCAGAGGGAGTCGTCAGATGCTTCCCAAAGACCTTCTCAGGGTTAAATGAGAAAGTGGAGTATATTCGTTTTCTATTGCTGCATCACAAATTATTACAAAGCAGCTTAAACACTACCCATTTCTTATTTCACACTTCAGGTCAGAAGTCCAGGTGGGCTCAGCTATAGTCTCTGCTTAGGGTCTCACAAGCTGAAAATCAAAGTGTGAGCTGGCTGGCTCCTATCAGAAGCTCTTTTCCAGAAGCTCTGGGAAAGCATCTCCTTGCAAGCTCATTCGGGTTGTGGCGGAATTCCACTCCTGCAGTTGCAGGACTGAGGTGGCGGTCAGCCAGGGATCTCTATCAGCTCCTCGAAGCTGCTCTCTCTCGAGTCCTTTCCACATGGTCCCCTCCTTCTTCAAGTCATCAAAGATGTATCGAACCCTCCCTCACACTTCACATCTGTGACTTCCTCTCCTGCCCCCAGCCAGAGAAAACCCTCTGCTTCTAAAGGGCTCGTGTGATTCGATTAGGCCCCTACCAACTCATCTTTCTTTTCTTGGACTCAGAGTCAACTGATTTCTATCCTTAATGATGTCTTTGAAATCCCTTTGCCATATAATTTCACATGATCATGGGCTTGATGTCTTATCATGTTCAGGGGTTCGGATGGAAATATTGGGGGCCATATTTAGAATTCTGCCTACACGGGAAGCAAAAGTGCTTTGTCACCTCTAAAGTGCCAGACTTAGGCTCTCATTAGAGCCTAATGAGGGTCTAACCCTTAGGGAGGGTTTCCTTCCCTCTGCCCCAGGAGCGCAAAGGAAAGGGTGACACTGGATTAGGGGTGGCTGCCTGTGGCCCCTGCCCCTTCCCCTCCTCCTCCTCCTCCTCCTCTTGAGCCTACCTCTGGGCTTTTCATGACTTGGAGAGGGAGCCCTGTCTCAGGACCCCAGGACTTAATCTGTCCGTCACCTTCCCCTTCCAGATCTTCAGCCACTCCACACCCCCTGCAAGTTCCTTCCTGGGCTCTGCCCTTCCTTCATACTCTCTGGGTACCACTCCTTCCCGGGATCTACGACGGCGGTCTACACTCGCCTGCTCCCATCTCTGTCCACTGGAGCCTGGCGCCTACCAGCCCCCACTGCCTGAATCTGTTCTCCCTCCCTTATCCCAGTGGACACCTTCCAGGCCATCTCTGCCAGGCCTTCCTGTGATGGCAACCATAGAGTCTGTCTTGTACCTGCGGTATTATTCCCAACACCCACCCGGGTGCCAGGAGCATAGCAGACACTCTAGCAAACATTCGTCATTGTTTGTCTGCATCCACGTATCTATGTGGTCCACGTGCTAATGTGCTCCCCTGCCTGCCCCAAACCTGAGGATACGTCTCCTGCTGCCGCCTCAGCAAGTGACACCCATGTCACCCTCTCCCTCAGCCCGAGGGCAGTGACCACAGTGAGAGGAAGCATGAGTGTGGGTCCATCAGGATAAAAGGCCAGCACTGAGTCTGTTTCACGCCCCCTGCCCCCACCCCACCACACACGTGCACACACCACAGGCTCTGCGTTCTCCTTGGCCTAACGCTGGGGAGGGCAAGAGCCACCACCCACCAGCTTTCTACCCTTCACTATACCTGGGCCTCAACTCAGCTGGCCTCTCTAGGAGTTACTTGTGCTGGCCTTAATCTTTTTTCTTTTTTTTTTTTTTGAATCGGAATCTTGCTCTGTCGGGAATACAGTGGTGCAATCTCGGCTCACTGCAACCTCCTCCTCCCAGGTTCAAGTGATTCTCCTGCCTCAGCCTCTCAAGCAGCTGAGATTACAGGCACCCACCAACACATCCAGCTAATTTTTGTATTTTTAGTAGAGACGGGGTTTCACCTTGTCGGCCAGTCTGATCTCGAACTCCTGACCTCAGGTGATCTGCCCGCCTCAGTCTCCCAAAGTGCTGGGATTACAGGCGTGACCCACCACGCCTGGCCAATCTTTTTTCATTCCGTCCCTGCATTTAGGCCTATGTTCTCTTCCCCCAGAGACCCACCCACTTCCTCTTGGGGAGTCCAGCCGAGGACAGTGTGGCTTGAAGAACATTCTAATCCCAGCCCGAGAGCTCTGAGAGAAAAAATGACTACAAACCCTGGAATGTGAAGCCTGCTGCTTCCTGCAAAGCATTTTGAATGAAACACGTAACCAACAGCTGCAGCACAGAGAATGGAAACTCTGAGGAACGTCATGGCTCCAGGTTCCAAATAGCAGGGTTGTGAGCAGGACAGGCTCTTCATTTCAGCCCAACCTGGACACCCTCAGCAGCACCCCTCCCTGCTCTCCTTCCAGGAAGCGGGCCCGTCATGCCAAGGATGTGCCGCTGTTGCTCGCTTATTCCAAACACCCCCGGCCCCCAACACAGCCAGACATCCCCGTGTATAGGGGTGAGGCCCCCTTCCCACTCACCAGCCCCCAGAGACATTGAGGACACCCAAGCCCAGCCACTCTGCCCTCTCAGGAGCAGGTTAATGCATCCCTCAACATGACTCCCATCCTGGAACTCAGCCCCAGGCCAGGCTGGGCAGTGCCAGCCAATTCATGCAATGCAGGAAGATATCATTGCCAAAGCTGCTCTAGGGCAGACTTGGGGTGAGGGGGCAGGACAGAGAGCCCATGAGGAGCAAGAGGCCCTAGAATTGGAGAATTCCTGAAGATCACTCCTGCATGAAGGGGAGACATGCGAACATTTTTTCAACTTCTTTAGGGAGATATAACACACTCAGTAAAACACACTCGTCTTAATGGCGTGGCTTGATGAACTTTTACATACAAACACACCTGGATGAAATGTAGAACACTGCAAATACCCCAGAAGATTCCCTGGATCCCCTTCCCAGTCAACATTCGTCCCCCTCAGAGGTGACCGTGATTTGGAACTTCTCTCACCATCAATTAATTTTGCCTCTTTTTGAACCTCATTGAAATGGAATCACCAACAGCATGTGCTTTCATGACCAGCTTACCTAGTTCATCCTGTCTATGAGATTCATCCACGATGCAGACACACTAATGACCCCATGGCACCTCCCACACTCCAGGTGCTGTACCAAGGATGTCATGGTTACTTGTTTACACTAAGGCCTTGACATTGAACCCATTTTCCAGATAAGGAAGTTGGTTGAATCAGCAGTTCATTGCCACACAGTCAGGACTTGGAGAGACTGGAATTCAAACCCAAGAGAGAACCAGAACAGATTCTCTCTTCTATTTTCTCTTAACAAACTTACAGAGACCTGCCTCCATTATACCTAGAGATCTACAGCCTGGAATTTCCTCACAAGGGAGACCTGTTTCAGGGTTTTGTGCTCTTGGGAACCCAACAGGAGCACCCATTTTACTTTAGTCCCCTATTCCTTGGGGGACATGGGCAAGGCAGAAGAGGAGGGGTGAGCAGCAGGTGAGGAGGGGTGAGCAGCAGGTAAGGAGGGCGTCTCAGGAGGCCCAGACCCAGGCAGAAAAGGTTTCACAGGAAGAGAATGAAGAGGTTCATTCATTTAGTCAGCCAATATTTATTGAATGCCTGCTGTATGGCAGGCGCTGTCCTAGGCACTTACTTTTTGGTTATCTACCTGTATGTATCAAACCACTCTAAAATGCAGTGGCTTAAAATGGACAACAAACATTTATTATCTCTTATAACTTTATAAGTTGGCTGAGCAGTTCTTCCACTGATCTCACCAAGGGACTTTTATGCTGCTGCAGCCAGATGGCAGCTGGAACTGAAGTCATCTGGGAGCTAGACTGGGCTGGCTGAGTCAAGATGGTGGCCTCACATGTCAGGTACCCTGGAAAGAACCTGGAGGGCTGGGCTAGGCTGGGACTGGTGCATTGATGGGATTCCTTCTCTCCTGCTGTCCTGTATGGGCTCCTCCTTCTCCATGTGGCCCTTCCACATCTCCTCTTCATGCGCATTTCTCCAAGAGGGTATCCAGACTTCTTACATCACAGCTAAGGGCTCCCAGAAGTAATAAAGTGGAAGTCACCAAGCCTTATTAAAGTTTAGGACTGGCAATGGCTTGGCACCACTTTGGACATATTTTGCTGCTTAAGGTGAATTACAAGCCTGGACCAGATTCAGCACGGGAAGGAACTCTAGAAGGGAATGAATATCATCCAGGGCCATCTTTGGAGAGTAGCGACCACCCCCCCAAAAAGAAAATCATTGTCTTTTTTCATTTATTCAACAAACATTCACTGTCAGGCACATAGTTCCTTCTTAAATAGAGTACACTTAAAGTAAACACCACTTTTGTTTGACTCACTATCATTCAAGATACCAGCCACTGAGAAGCTCTGTAAAGGGTAAATAGCATTCATTGAGAGTTTACTGCATACCAGACCCTGAGCTCAGTGCTTTACAAAGTCTAACTCATTTACTCCTTACTTGTTTTCCCTCCTTTGAAGTAGGTATTATTGTTTGTCCTGTTTTCTAGATCACTTAGAAAAGAGGTTATGTATTGCTGAATAACAAACCACCTCCAAACTTAGTGGTTTAAAACAACAATAATCATTTATTATCATTCATGGTTTCTTTGGATCAGCTGGGAAGTTCTGGCTTGGGGTCTCATGAAGCTGTAGTCAGACTGTGACTGAGGATAGGATCAGTTTCAAGGCTTCTTCACTCACAGGTCTGGTGCCTGGGCTGGGAGGACACAAACAAGCGGAGGCTGCGAAAGCCAGGGTCTTTCAGGCATCTCTCTATCTGTGTGGTTTCTCCACATGAGCTCTCCAACATGGCAGCCCCAAAATAGCTGGACTTTTTTTTTTTGAGACGGAGTTTTGCTCTTGTTGCCCAGGCTGGAACGCAATGACACGATCTTGGCTCACTGCAACCTCTGCCTCCCAGATTCAAGCAATTCTTCTGCCTCAACCTCCCGAGTAGCTGGGATTACAGGCGCCCACCACCATGGCTGGCTAATTTTTTTTTGTATTTTTAGTAGAGATGGGGTTTCTCCGTGTTGGCCAGGCTGGTGTCAAACTCCTGACCTCAGGTGACCCGCCCACCTTGTCCTCCCAAAGTGCTGAAATTACAGGCATGAGCCACCGCGCCCGGCTATAGCTGGAGTTTTTTACATGGCCACTCAGCAATCCAAAGGCATATATCCAGAGAGACAGAAGCTGCGTCACTTTTCCTGATCCAGAACTTGGAAGCCATGCAGTGTCACTTCTACCTCATTCTATTTGTTAAGGCAGTTAAAAAGGCCTGCCCAGGTACAGCAGGAGGGAGAAACAGTTCCATTTCTTGATAGGAAATGGGTCAACAATCTGAGCCATATTTAAAACCACCATAGTCTATCCTCTGGACATAAATTATTTACATTCCTTTCACATACAAAATATACTCATTCCTTTGCAAAGATCCCCCAAAATCTCATCTATTATGGCATCAGATTTAGGCTAGAGAGGTCTAGGATCCCATTATATCAACCATTCAGGTATGGAGGAAGTTCCTCAGATGTAATTCCTCAGGCACATTTCCTTAAGTACTATTCCTCTTTATTCAGAGACTTGTGAACTAAAGAGACAAGTTATCTGCTACTGGACCGCATGCAGTGGCTCACACCTGTAATCCCAGCACTTTGGGAGGCCAAGGCAGTTGGATCACCTGAGGTCAGGAGTTCAAGACCAGCCTAGCCAACATGGTGAAACTCTCTCTCTACTAAAAATACAAAAATTAATTGGGCATGGTGGCAGGCACCTATAATCCCAGCTACTCAGCAGGCTGAGACAGAAGAATCGCTTGAACCCAGGAGGCGGAGGTTGCAGCAAGCCAAGATCACACCATTGCACTCCAGCCTGGGCAACAAGAGTGAAACACTGTGTCAAAAAAAAAAAAAAAAAAAAAGTTATCTGCTGCTTACACACTGAACATCCAATGATGAGATAGGCATAGTGTAGCCACTATAAACACTCTTATTCAAGAGAGGGGAGAGGAGGCACAGAGCCATGACTGGTCCATAGCAATTCTGAAATCCATTCAGGCTCATATTGTGTTGCCAATTTCTTGATTAGGGCTCAGTTCTACTGCCTGGGAATGATTCTTTGTGGCTTTTGGCTCTGTTCTCTAGATTCTTGGTTCCACCTTCTGAATCATCCTTCTTTCTCTATAAAAAATGGCTGGTGATATGGTTTGGCTATGTCCCACCCAAATCTCATCTTGAATTTCCACGTGTTGTGGGAGGGACCTGGTGGGAGGTAATTGAATCATGGGGGCAAGTCTTTCCCGTGCTGTTCTTGTGATAGTGAATAAGACTCACGAGATCTGATGGTTTTAAAAAAAGAAGCACAAGCTCATCTTCTCTTTGCCTGCCACCATCCACGTAAAATGTGACTTGCTCCTCGTTGCCTTCTGCCATGATTGTGAGGCTTCCCCAGCCATGTGGAACTGTAAGTCCAATTAAACTTCTTTCTTTTGTAAATTGCCCAGTCTCAGGTATGTCTTTATCAGCAGTGTGAAAACAGACCAATACACCTGGTGTTTCCAACTGAGTAGTTTTCAGCTTGTTTCCTTCCCATAGAATTTTGGGGGTCCAAAAGCCTTTTTTCATTTCACACTATTCTGACCCTTTTTGCCCAAGCTGGTGGTGCTTCTGACAAAATAATTCTATTAAAAACTGTGTGGGTTTCCCATGAATCCTATTGGGGCTCACTCTGTTAGTCAAAAGCTATAACCAAACATTTCATCAAGAAAACATTCTCTACATTCTCAATGTGAGGCTGGTGTAAAACGATTTACTTAAGATACTTAGAAGCCCTGTTGTTTAATGAAGAGGATCTGTGAGGCACACTCTTTTTCATTTTATTTTTAATTTGTTTTTATTTTAATATGAAGTGCTTCATGAATTTGCATGTCATCCTTGCACAGGGGCCATGCTAATCTTTTCTGTATTGTTCCAATTTTAGTATACGTGCTGCTGAAGCGAGCACTGAGGCACACTCTTGAAATACTTAGAGGGCCTTTGTCTATTCAAAATATTTTATGAAGCCTTAGATATTTCTGAGATTTTAACAAAGGTTCTTATAGTCCCACTCTGGGTTTTATCTTTGTCCTGAAGCCCTTTCATACTTTGAGAATCTTTTGCCATCTGGGAGGCTGAGAATGAAAAGCAGATTTATTTTCAAATCCAGCAAGCCCCTGGCTCTTGTATATGTTTTATAAATTTTGCTTGAAAGTTAAAGCTTCCTTTTAACTCATCTTTCTCTGTCTTTATCATATACAGCTAAAATAATCCAACTAGCATTTTCTAATCCAACTAGCATTTTCAACAGTCTGCTTAAAAATTGTTTTAGCCCAAACCATTAGTTCATTAGGCATATTTTCTTTTTCATTTTTCTTTTTTTTCTTTTTTTTTTTGAGACAGAGTCTTACTCTGTCACCCAGGCTGGAGGGCAGTGGCACAGTCTCAGCTCACTGCAACCTCTGCCCTCTGGGCTCAAGCGATTCTGCAGCTTCGGCCTCCCGAGTAGCTGGGATTACAAGCATGAGCCACCAAGCCCAGCTAATTTTTGTATTTTTAGTAGGGACAGGATTTCTCCGTGTTGGCCAGGCTGGTCTCGAACTCCTGACCTCATGTGATCTGCCCACCTCGGCCTCCCAAAGTGCTGGGGTTAGAGGTGTGAGCCACCGTGCCCAGCCTTCATTAGGCACATTTTCTATTGCTCACATAGCTTCAAGTGACAATGTTACTAACTTTCTTCCACCACGTAATAAGGGTTTGTCCCCTTTCCTCCTGCTTCTAATAAAAATTTCTCACTTTCCTTTAAGCCCTCACCAGCAACTTCCTTGAGAACTATCAGACTTCCATCAACAATATCCTCAAAGTCCTTACAATCTCTACCCATCTCCCAGTCCTAAAGCCACATGACTTAGGTTCTGTGATGGCAGCATTCCGTTTCTAGGTTATAGAAAAGTCTGCATCAGCTATCTATTGCATGATAAGAAACCATCCCCAAACAGTGGTCTTAAGACAACAACAATCATTTATTTTGTTCCTGAAATTTGAGGGTTGACAGAGACTAAGCTAGGCAGTTCTCACTCAGGGTGTCTCATGAGTTTGCAGTCAATTGGTGGCTGGGGCTGAGGTCAGCTCAAATGCTGGGGTCTAGACTAGGAGGTTCACACTGCTTGGGGCTGGATGGCTGGAACTCCTCAGGAATCTCTCACTTTAAATGCAGTCCCTCTACAAGGCAGCCTCAGGGTAGCTGAGTTTCTTTCACAGCAGCTGAAGCCTCCCGACATGAGTGTCCCTAAAGGAATCATCAGAAGCTGCAGGGTCTTTTCTAACCTAGCCTTGGAAATCACACAGTGTCACTTTTGCCACATTCTATTTGTCTAGGCACTCCCACATTTCCACCCAGGTTCAAAGGGAGGGGACATAGGCTCCACTTCTTGATGGAAAGAGAGTCAAAGGATTGTGTACACGTTTTAAAACACACAAATGTTTAAGTAATATGTCCAAGGCCAAATAGCTGGAAAGTGACAGAGTTGAGGTTTGAACCCAGGCATTCTGATTCTAGACTCACATTCTCAACTGCTAGTCTACACTGCCTCCTGTAAGTTGTAGACACAAATGGTCTACATGATGCAGAAGTTGGGGAGACAGGGGTTCCCTGGCTTGGGAAAGTTACTGTCTTGCTTTTCTGTACTCACCTTCCTTTCAGAAAGGTAGTAGGACTCATATTACCTTCTTCTGGGGTGGAGTGGCTTCCTGACTGTAAAATGAATGAACAAATCAGAGCTGGAGCAGCCTCCTCTCAAGGAATTATCTCTTCCTTGAGATCATTTTCTTCCCATGGCCATCAGTGCCTTGACTGGTTTCCATGTCACTCTCATTGTGGCCTTCAGACACCTCCTTGTCATCTGTTCCTGTGATCTTGCTCTTAACTTCTCACCACTAGTTTTTTAGTTTTTTTCACAGGGGGATGGAAGAGTACCCTTTGGCATTTCTTTCTTTCTTTCTTTTTTTTCTTTTTTTTTTGAAATGGAGTCTTGCTCTGTCACCCAGGCTGGAGTGCAGTGGTGCAATCTTGGCTCACAGCAACCTCCGCCTCCTGGGCTCAAGTGATTCTCCTGCCTCAGCCTCCCGAGTAGCTGGGACTGCAGGCGCGCACCACCATGTCCAGCTAATTCTTTGTATTTTAGTAGAGATGGGGTTTCACCACATTACCCAGGCTGGTCTTGAACTCCTGAGCTCAGGCAATCTGCCCACATTGGCCTCCCAAAGTGCTAGGATTACAGGCGTGAGCCACCACCCCTGGCCTATCCTTTGACATTTCAAGAATGTCTGCCAGCCTGTTTGGAGGAAGGCATCCTTTCAAGCCTGAAGATCATTCATCAGAAGATGAGGCTTCTGTGGACTTTATCAGGCCAGAGAGTTTTTCTACATTTCCTTTAAGTCTTGACTTTGAGCAGGTTTGACTTTTAACATCTTTGTCATGAGCCTTAAAGTCCAGAATAGGACTTGCATGATAGTCCATGTCCCGTGAATCTTGTCTGGAATAGCCCTTCATATTCTGAACAATGCCTAGCTGCAGAAGACAGATCATCCCAAAAGCACATGGTGGACAGGTGTAAGGCCGCCATAAATGGGGATGTCATCTGTGCAATGCACAAAAGGGCTGGGCCAAGGAAGTGAGCAGAGTATGGCCTGAAACCCAGCCCGTGCTCCACTGGCCAAACCTTCCACCCTCGTTAGAGGCTGTGTCCGCCTGAAGGAAAGAACAGCTTTTTCTTGCTTGTCCACCCAGAGTCAGGCATCTTTTTCTAACTCAATAAAGATACCATATGTATTAACAGCAGCACCAGGGGAAGGTGAGAAGACAAAAATATAGTAACCTACTCCATAGGACAAGTAATAGAAATCAACCCTGACAAATCACAATAATATGACAAAATTCACAATAATGAATAAAACATTACAACTACAGTCAAATCCCTGCCCCAAGCCCTTCTCTCTCCCACTCACACAGATATGAGTGCCATCCTAAAGTCGGTGGCATCATTTCTAAGAGTGATTTTGGTTTTGACCTTTTGTTTGGCCCTAAATTTCAAGAAAAGGTTGAACAATTGAGCCTCAGGAAAGGATGTAAGCATCTGGAGTCAATGCATCTCCTCACCAGAACATTCCCATTAAAGCAACCACATTCCCACAGCTCCCTGTCTCTGCCCCAGTTCAGAATTCCAGAATCTTGAGACAGATAATCTGATTGGCCCAGCTTTGACCCTCTATACCAATCAGCTATGGCTAGGGCCAACAGGAGTCATAGAATATAGCATCTATACCATAGACAACTGCTCAGCCCCCTTGCCATGCGTGTCAGGTTGGTGCCCAGAGAAAAAGCCCTAATTGTGAGACTTCCAGCCCTCCAAGAATTCCTAGAGCAGTGCAGTACGATTGTCTAGGATTTGTGATCTTCCCAAAAAGTCCTGGGAAGTTGATCTGACCCAACAAGTGAGAACAAAATGCTCCTATAGCTCTTTAGCCATTTCATTTCACCCTACAGACAGCAGGCAGTGACATTTTCCATTTTCCACATTTTTCCAAAGATCTTATTTATTAATGCTTTTAGCATCAATAAAAAGTCAAATTCTTCATATTCTTCTCCTTATTAAGACTGTGTCATCGGGTATGGTGGCTCATGCCTGTAATCCCAGCACTTTGGGAGGCTGAGGTGGGTGGATCACTTGAGGTCAGGAGTTCAAGACCACTTGGCCACATGATGAAACTCCGTCTCTACTAAAACTACAAAAATTAGCCGGGCATGGTGGTGCATGCCTGTAATCCCAGCTACTCGGGAGGCTGAGGCAAGAGAATTCCTTGAACCCAGGAGGCAGAGGTTGCAGTAAGCCGAGATTGAGCCGAATGCACTCCAGCCTGGGTGACAGAGTGAGACTCCGTCTCAAAAAAAAAAAAAAAAAAAAGAAAAAGACTGTGTCACAGAAGACTAGAGCATTCAGCTCTGTAAAACTGTTCAGAGGCCAACCTAGCAACAGAAATGAATTCTACTTTGGGAGGCCAAGGCAGGAGGATTACATGAGGCCAGGAGTTCAAGACAGTCTGGGCAACATAGCAAAACCCTGTCACTACAAAAATAATTTAAAATTTAGCCAGGGCCAGGCACAGTGGCTCACATCTGTAATCCCACTTAGGGAGAACAAGAAGGGAGGATCACTTGAGTCCAGAAGTTTGAGATCAGCCTGGGCAACATAGCAAGACCCCATCTCTATTCAATAATTTAAAAAAAAAAAAAATTAGCCAAGCGTGGTGGCATACAAGACTGTAGTCCCACCAACTTGGGAGGCTAAGGCAGAAGGATTGCTTGAGTGATCCCTGTCTCAAAACAAAAAAAAAAAAAAGAAAGAAAGAAATGAATTTTGACAAAAGCCACAAAATTAGTTTGTAGTGTCTTGATTGGCAACCTCTTAAAATATTTTTTAAAATTATGATATACAGTCATGAACCACATAATGATGTTTCAGTCAACAAAGCATTGCATATACAACAGTACTCTCATAAGACTACGATACCACATTTCTACTGTACCTTTTCTATGTTTAGATACACAAATACTTGCCATCGTATTACACTTGTCTTCATTATTCAGTACAGTAACATGGAGTATGGGTTTGCAGCCTTCAAGCAATAGGCTAGACCATATAGTCTAAGTTATATAGTCAGCTATTCCATCCTAAGTTTGTGTAAGTACACTCGATAATGTTCACACAATAACAAAACTGCTTAACAACGTATCTCTAAGAACTTATTCCCCATCATTAACTCATGCATGACTGTATTTAAAATGTACACAAAATGGTTTAACAGAAACCCTCATAGCCTCTCCCCAGATTCAACAGATATTAACATTTTGTTTCAGATTATCTTATCTTTTTTAAAGGAATAAAACATTACAGCTACAGTCAAATCCCTGCCCCAAACCCTTCTCTCTCCCACTCACACAGATATGAGTGCCATCCTAAAGTCAGTGGCATCATTTCTAAGAGAGATTTTGGTTTTGAGCTTTTGTTTGGCTCTCAGGTGCAAAAGTTTGAGTTCATCATTCTCCTCGACGGCACGCTGTCATCACCGTTCTGTACAGAGGCCCTCTCTTGTTTTATTTATTTATTCCTTTAATCCTCATTCACCAGCCCAGTCCCCCATCCATAAATGAGGCAACCACATTAGTGTGTTTGACATCACATCTTTGTCTGTGTCTCTACAAAACATACGTTGCTGACTGGGTGCGGTGGCTCACGCCTGTAATCCCAGCACTTTCGGAGGCCGAGGCACGTGGATCACCTGAGGTCAGGAGTTTGAGACCAGCCTGGGCAACATGGTGAAACCCCGTCTCTACTAAAAAGACAAAAATTAGCCGGCCATGGTGGTGGGCTCCTATAATCCCAGCTACTCTAGAAGCTGAGGCAGGACAGTCGCTTGAACCCTAGAGGTGGACGTTGCAGTGAGCCGAGATCGTGCCATTGCACTCCAGCCTGAGTGACAAGAGCGAAACTTTGTCTCCAAAAAAAAAAAAGTGGCCTTTCTCTGTGCATGTATTTTTAGTTTATATGAATGATGTGCTGCAGATTTCATTCTGTTTCTTGCCTTCTTCAGGCAGCACTGTTTTAAGGTTCATCCACATTGTTGGGTGTACATCTAGTTGGTTCTGCATTCGTCTCATTGTGTTATACTTATCCCATTCTTATTCCATTCCCTAGGTGAAGTGGGAGAGAGAGGGGCAAACTGAGGAGATGATGGGCCTGTCCTTGAGACTCCATCCTAGGAGAGAGATACTAATACCCCCTTTCTAACCACATGTGTACATGTGTGCAGGCACATGTACACACACACACACACGTATCCCTTCAGCTGGGGACCCGGGAAGGTTGGGGTGGGAGAAAGAAATAGGGAGTTCAGTCAGAGGAGGATCTATCCTGGAGCTCTGGTACTGTTAAATCTAAGTCTTTGCCTCCTCCAGGAAGCCTGCCTTGACCACCCTGTTCCATGCAGGTCTCTCCCTCTTCTGGGGATGGCAAATGTCATTTAATCATACACTAGTCTAGTCTAGTCTTTCTGTTACTATCTCCCTGATCAGACTGAAATCCCATTAAAGGGAAAGATCATCTCTTGTTCTTTTTGTCTCTCTTGCTCAAGGCCTGTCCCAGAGGAAGTGAGAGCAGGGAGTGGGAAGTTGGATTTCGCTTTATTCGGTTCTACTTCCTCTGTTTTAGGAACATGCCATCTTTCAGCAAACAATTATGTGCCAGGTTTGTAGAAGTCTGGAGAGGAAACACATGCACTGTGCCAGCTCTCGGGGGCCCTTCTCATGGGAGTTGTGAACATCCAAACACGAAGCTGGAGGACAAAGTGTAGGGTACACAGATCTGAGCATGTACCTGGGGCGCAAAGGAGGAACCACCAGCTCAGTGCACAGGGAGGCCAGGGAGGGCTTCTAGCAGAGGTCACAACCAAGCTGAACCTGAAAGAGAAGAGTTAAGCTTAGAGCTGGGCTTGGAGCAAGGGGAATATGAATTAACATGGGGAGGATGCAAGAAATCTTGTGTGCGTTCCAGTCATTATGGCTGTGTAACAAATTATCATAATATTGGCATAAAACACCCCTTAATTATGTTTGGTATCCAGTCAGGGTCAGGAATCCGGACAGGGCACAGCAGGAGGAGCTTGTCTCTGCTCTCTGTTGACTGGGGCCTCCACTGGAAACACTGAAGGCTGGAGTTTGGAATCATCTAAAGGCTCATTCACTCACAAATCTAGTGGTTGAGCCTGGTTGCAGGTTGGAGGCCTCAGATCTCCTCCACATGGGTCTCTCCATGTGGGCTAGTTTGGGCATTTCCATAGCACAGTGTTTAAATTCCTACAGCACACATCCCAAAGAAGAGAGAGCGAGCTAGGTGGAAGTTCTAGCTTTTATATGACTTAGCATCAAAAATCATCCCTTTTGCCATAGTCTGTTGGTCAGACCGGTCTCAAGCCCCTATCCCAATTTGATGAGAGGAAACAGAGACCCCCTTCCTCTCAGTGGGAGGAGTGTCAGTCACACTGCAAGAGCCTTTGGGTTGGGAGATATATTGTGGTGCAGTCATCTTTGGAAAACACAATCCCCACTGCCTGTGTTGATGGGGATGGGAGGGGGTAGGGGAACAACAATAGACCAGTGTCTACTATTGCTGGAGCACCACGTGCAAGGTGAAGGCAGGCGGAAACAAGGCAACTGGGATAGGTCAGGCCAGGTTCTGGAGGGTCTTAAAAAGCACATGTAGAGGTTGGGTGCGGTGACTCATGCCTGTAATCCCAGCACTTTGGGAGGCTGAGGCAGGCTGATCACAAGGTCAGGAGTTCCAGACCAGCCTGGCCAACATGGCGAAACCCCGTCTCTACTAAAAACACAAAAAATTAGCTGAGTGTGGTGGTGCGCGCCTGTAATCCTAGCTACTCAGGAGGCTGAGGTAGGAGAATTGCTTTAACCTGAGAGGCGGAGGTTGCAGTGAGCTGAGATCGCACCATTGCACTCCAGCCTGGGCGACAGGGTGAGACTCCATCTCAAAAAAAAAAAAAGCACATGTAGGACAATGCTTACAGGCAAAGGAAGACTTTGGAAGCCCCAGGACTCCTGCTTACTTATTCCCATCCACCCAGCATCTCCTGTGTGTTGGATCAGAAAATATGCAAAGCCCCCCATGAGTACCTGAAGCAGAGGAACTCTCAGGGTTTAGGCTTTCACATAGGCTGGCTCTTCAAATGTATGGTAAGATGGTGGAGAGCAGTAAAGCCAGGTCTGTGTCCTGGGAGTTAGAGTCAAGAGTAGCTAGCCAGCAGCTTCCTACCCCTGTTCCTATGTTCGCATACACACCATATGTACCTGGCCAAGCCCAGTCTCTCAACCTGAGTCCCATGGATGCTGCTGCTTGGGTGGCAGGTGGGGACTCTTCAGAAGTGCCCTGCCAGGTCCACTTTGAATGGTCCTAGGCAGAGCACGATCCATGCTTCATACACACAGGCTCAGGAGGTGTGGGCCAAAGGGGTAGCATGATACCAAGAAGAGAGCTTTAGCTTGGGATGGGAGTCCTGTGTCCTGATCCTGCCTCTGCTCAACCAGCTGTGGGCCTCAGGGAGGACATTTCCTCTGCTGGACCTTGCAGGCAAATGCAAGGATTGGACTAGACAGGAGTTTTCTCCAAGTGTACTCCTTGGAACTCATGCATTAAAATCACCCACCCAGAAAACTACAGCGAGATACCACCTCACACTCACTAGAATGCTAAAATCACAAAGACTGACAATATCAAGTGCTGACGAAAAGGTAGAACAACTGGAACCCTCATATATTGCTGGTGTGGATACAAAATCATATAGCCACTTTAGAATCTAGTAAAGCCAAATACCTTCTCTATGACCCAGCAATTCCACTCCTAGACATTTACCCAAAAGACAAAAACACGTGTTCACAAAAAAAAGTCTCGTACAAAATGATCATAGCAGCTTTATTTATAACAGCCAAAAATTAGAAACAGTCCAGGTGTCTGTCCATCAACAGGTGAATGGATCAAAAAAAACTGTTTAATCAAAAGAAAGAAACTAAACTATTAATACACACAACAGGAATAGATTTCAAAAACATGATTCCAAATGAGAACAGTCAGAAACAAAACAAATGTATACTGTATGGCTCCATTTATTATGGAGTCCAAAAACTGATGAAACTTTAGGAATAGTGCTAGAAATCAGAGCAGTAGTTACCTGGGGGGATGAGCAGTGGGGTGGAGAAACTGGAAAGAGGACCCATGGTACTTTCTGGAGTGATGGAATTGTTCTATATCTTGATGAGATGTGGGTGACATGGAATTGAACACCTAAAATCTGTGTATTTCATTTCCCCGCTATATCTTATATTTTATTATATATTATTAAAAATATTTGGACTGGTAAAATGCAGTTTTCTGGGCGCCCCAGAATCCCCGAGTCAGGGAGTCCTCTGTGGTGAGGCCCTGGAATCTGCATGCTGAAAGGGCTCCGGCTTTGGAGAGAGCATTAGACTTGAGGCCGAGGTCCCCAGGGGCGATACCCACACGCCGCTCCCTGCCCCCCACCCCGGGACGCCCCCCACTGCACACGATCCCACTCGGCCCTTGGCACTTCCCCCTCTCCCCAAGCCCCCAGCCCTCTGCCCAGTCGCCCCTGGTAACCAAGAAAGGGCCTGAAAATCCTCAAAGTGCAGCCGCCCGGGGAGGGGCCGTCCACAGTGTCAGCGAGACAAGGGCACATACAAAATGCGGGGTAATTGCCGCTTCTCTAATTCGCGGCCCTTTGTGCGGCGGCGCGGAGCCGGCGGCCGCGCTCCCAAGCCCGGGCCTTTCAGCCACCCAGGGGGGGCCCCGGCGGCCGAGCTCCCCGCGCTCCGCCGCGCATAATTAATCGGGCTTCACAGGGCCCGGGACAAAGGCGCCCATTCACCCCGCCGCTCCTCCCCCCGGGGATATTGTTATTTCTAAAAACTGCAGCCAGCTGGGCCGCAGAGAAACGTCAGCTCTGTGGGAGAATGAGCGCCCGGCCGGGCCGCGAGGAGACTGGGAGCTCTGTCTCTCGCGCCCCGCGCGGGATTACAGCGGCCAGGGAGCCGGGGTGGGCAGGGGGCCCAGGGTCTTTTCTGAAGTCTGCACGACTCCTCAGAAAGCCTCGTGATTTCCATGGGGCCCTGGAGGAGGGCGCCATGGAAATGGTAATGCGGGGCATTGAAGCTGGCTCGTAGGGAAGGAGGGGGGTTGCGTCCAGGCTGCCCGGGCTGTGGCACGACTCCCGGGTGGGAGGGGCCGGTGGACGGCCCAGTGGCCAGGCCCGGGTGCCCCCACCTGTACCAGGCCCTCCCGGACACCGGGAAAAATGCATCCAGGAATAAAGGCCCGAGTCTGGGTCCAAGGAGCCTGCAGTTAAGTTAGGGGCGGGGGATGTGGTGCCTCCACAGTAACCCAGCTCCGCTCCAAGGACCACCAGGAGAGCTGGTTGAAAGCAATGCCTACACACGCCTGGGCCTCACCACCGGGAATTCAGGCTCCCAACTTCCCAGGCATCTGCCTAAGCTCTCCAAGCACCTCTGAAGCCCACCAACATTTGGTGACCACTCAGCACTGTCCCGGGAAGGTGGCTCCAGTGCTCCACGTCCCATTTCACAGGCGGGAAATGGGCCCAAGGAGATAAACGGACTTGTCCAAGATCACAGAACAGAGCTGGAACTGGACCCTCGGCATGCTGGTTGTATACAAAAGCAGAACAGAAGAAGGGAGAGGGTGCTAGAAAGGGGGGCTCAGGCCTCACTTCCTCCGCTAAGCATCCCCTGGCAGCTGGGGGCATCTGAACTCTCCCTTCCCTGGCCTCTCCTTGCAGGAGACGTGCCTGCCTGGTTAAATGCCTCCAGCGTGTTCTGTTCTGCCTGGTGGATTTGCGGGGGGTTCTCCTACCTGCTCCATCAGAGGCACTGTTGAGTGCAGGCCCAGAGGCCCCACTGGTTTTATGCCAGGGTTGGTGCCCAGAAGAGCTCCAGCCAGGGCTTACTGGATGGGAGCAGCATCTCCTGACTCCAGGGTCCAGGCCTTCTAGGCTGCATTCCCCTTCAAAGTCCAGTGTCCTCCCCAGGCCCGGGAGAGGCCCAGGTCCCAGGTCGGCAGTGCTGGTCTTCACCTTTGCCACTGAACCCGAGGAAACGAGCACCCGTCTATTCCTCCTCCCAAAGCTGGGAGCAGTTGTGAAGAGCCGCCATAGATTTCCAAAACCTCAGCATCCTGAACGCCTCCCAGAGCAAGCAGAGGCCTTTCCAAAACACTTCCCCTCCGAGCCCGTCTTACTGAGACATTCTGTCCCTCGGCTATACTCTGGAAAATGTTCCCTCAGCCTAAGACTGCCAGTCCCAAGCAGGACCACAGGCCTCAGAGCCAGACCGCACCACAGGGCCTGGCTCCTCCAGGCAAGTCAGGGAAAGGAAGCTGCCTGTATTTTCAGAGGAGCCCAGGCTTGCCTCCAAGGCCCAGAGAGGGTGCCCAGCCAAGCTCATTTCTGCTGCTACCACGCCATGCAAGACACTGGAAAGCCAACATCACACGACATTCACATCTGTGGGTGGAAGAATGTGCAGAAAACTCGAGAACAAAGTAGAGGGAAGGAGAGCACAGAGTTCAGCCAAGCCTCTAAGGGGACAGACCAGCTGTCCAGTAACAAGCAGACTCAAGCATAGCTGCGGAAGTCAACAGATTTTCCCTGGGGGACCCTGTGACCTAGGCAGCCCCCAACAGCCAGGCCACCAGCACAGCATCAAGCAGAAAACCAATCCAGCTCTCTCTCCCATTAAATCAGCTTTACTTAAGATATAGAATGACCCAATACTGTCTGAAAATGAAATGCCCAAGGCTCAGCTAAGAGGAAGCCAGACTACGTAAAAGAATGTCCTTGAAATATAAACTGAAGTATTTAAGGGTAAAGGGGCAAGATTTCTCTAAATTTTTCTCAAATGATTTCATAAATGTAAATAATTGGTGAATCTGGGGAAAGGGTATACAGGAATTCCTTAGTCTTATAAACTTTCTGAAGTTGGCAATTTAAAAAACAAAACGGCAGGCAGCAGACATGCCAAAACATGATAGCACTGATATTCCAAATGCCATACCCAGTGAAGGGACTCAACTCTTCTGTTACCTTCCCCCTGCAACACACAGTCACACTCACACTCAAAATACTTGGAACCGCACGCTTAAGATCTGTGCATTTCATTTCCCTGTTATACCTTATATTTTATTACATATTATTAAAAATAAAATATTTGAACTGGTAAAATGCAGTCCAAAGATGCATGCATCTTTCACTGTCTTCTGTCATAGCAATTTGTGAACCCAAGTCAGGCCCAGCGTCCTTAAGGGGAAAGCCAGTGTTGTTTACCTCTGAATCCTACTGCAGCTAGCAATGTACTTTGTAAATGGTAGGCATTTAACCAAACCTAGAATCCAATCATTTGCCATGGAAGGTTTCTAGCTCTAAGTGAGGTGGAAGGAGGAAGGGAAGGGGGTAGATAGCCAAATGGAAGAAGAAACCAAGAAAGACGGCAGAGTCCACATGGATTTTCCAGTCCAACACACTCATGTCAGAACTAATTTTTTTTGTTTTTGTTTTGGGGTGTTTTTTTTTTTAAGACACGGTCTCACTCTGTCACCCAGGCTGGAGAGCAGTGGCACAACCTCGGCTCACTGCAACCTTTGCCTCCTGGGTTCAAGCTATTCTCCTGCCTCAGCCTCACGAGTAACTGGGATTACAGGCGCGCGCCACCACACCTGGCTAATTTTTTGTATTTTTAGTAGAGGCGTGGTTTCACCATGTTGGGCAGGCTGGTCTTGAACTCCTGACCTCAAGTGATCTGCCTGCCTTGGCCTCCCAAAGTGCTGGGATTACAAGCGTGAGCCACCATGCCTGGCCAATTTTTTTTTTTTTTTCAAGGTTAGTTAGTGGTCAGGCCCACCTAGTGGTTACCAGAGTCAACAATGGACTTATTAAACTTTGCCTCATTCTCTGAGTGTTTTGTGTATATGAATATAGTCTCTCCAGCAAGACCACAGAGGTAAGGGCCTTTCCTCTCCCTACCCTCCCACGGCCATCCTCATGAGCTTAATAGAGACACAGACCCGTGATATGCCCTTAAGTGCCTCTACCAGACTCGAAGCTCCATGAGGGCAGGGCTGTGTCTTGTTTGCTCTCTTCCGCATCCCCAGCACTTAGCACAGCGGTTGACACATTGTTGGTGACTAGTACATAATAGTTAAATCACGGAGTGAATGAATGGGAGTTTTGTTGAGTTTAATTGAGTTTAGTTGAGTTGGGTTGAGTGGGGTTGAATTGAGTTGGGTTGGGTTGAGTTGAATTGGGTTGAGTTGGATTGGGTTGAGTTGAGTTACCTTGTTCCCCAGGGTACACTGAGCAGGCTCTTTGGGAGTCATGCTTCTGACATCAGATGCTCAACCACAGAGTCAGAACCAATGCAAACCTCCCCTCTTTGCTTTAACTCCCACCCTCAGAGTAGATCTCTCTGGCTGCTGAATCTATCACCAAAGGTGGTGGAGCTTTCTATGGCCAGTGTAATACGATCAAAGTTAGGATAAGGTCTTCTTCTCATGGTCCTTTTGGGTGGGGCTACTTTGGGAAGAGGAGCTTTGCTAAAGCACTTTTCTGGTGAAGGCAGGATCTTCTGTAGGAAAGCTCTGGATTGAAGTTATGGTACCACCACCCCCCACCTCCGCCACCCCATCACTCTATCCCCACATATACAGTAGGGACAAGGCTAGGGCATGGGGGGCAGCAGAGAGCAGCACCCTGCAGGTGCCAGTGACTGAGGGAGAGCAGTAGGCCTGAGGGAAGCAGTGGGAGTGTGACCCACGATCAGCAGGAGCTCAATGTTTCTCCCTGATGCTTGGGGCAGGGCACTTGTGATAGGGCAGGGGAGGTACATCTCCCTGTCATTAACAGGAACAGGAGCCTGAGGCATGGGGATCTTCAGTCAGGCTCTCTGAGGTCTTCCAGCCTCCAACCCCTGGGCTAGGAGCCTTGTGTAGCAATCTTCCTGTTGCTACCATGGAGACCTGAGCCCCAGGTCAGCCCTGGGAAGGGTTGGGTGCATTCCTGGCCATAGGGATGGTGCATTTCATTCAGGCTGTCCAGATGTTTATGTCCCCCCCAAATTAATATGTTGAAATCTTCACCCCTAAAGTGATGAAGGTAGGAGTCGGGCCTTTGGGAGGTGATTAGGTCCTGGGGGTGGAGCCCTCATGAATAGGATTAGTGCCCTTATATTATGCCCTGAGACAGACCCCTAACCCCTTCTGCCATGTGAGGTTAGAGTAAGAAGTCACCATTTATGAGGAGATCGCCCTCACCAGACACTGAATCTGCCGGCCCCGTGATCTTGGACTTCCAGCCTCCAGAACTGTGAGAAACAAATGTCTGCAGTTTACAAGCCATCCAGTCTATGATATTAAATGTCTGCTGTTTATAAGCCATCCAGTCCATGATATTTTGTTATCGTAGCCTAAATGGACTCAGATATCAGATATATTTCTGTATAGCTTGGGGGAAGGAAGAGTTCCTCCTCTCACATCCCCTTCTGTGGGCTGGACTATGTTGAGAAAACCTCCACGTTTCCAGCACCTCTCACCATCTCCCTGCACCCCTTTAGAGGAAACCCCTTCCTGGGCCTTCAGGGCATGGCTGGGCATGCTCCCAGCACACTTCATGTTTGCTTCCAACCTAAGAAAGGCCAGGCTTCCCAGCTGGGAGCTCTTTTCCCTCCCCACCTCCCCCTTTCTTGTCTGTCTGCCTCCCTTTCACACTCCCCTATCTCCATCCCCTCAAACCCAAGAGTTTCCACAGTGACAACATGTGGGCCCCAAATCAAACCCCTGTCCACAGGTCCTGCCTGTGTCCCTCCTCCTCCTCCTCTAGCTCCCCAGCCTGGCCACCCTTGTCAGCCCCACCCTCACTCCCACACCCCCACCATTCCTCCTTGTGGACAACTTTCTAAATGCAGCCACACTTCCCCTTTTGAGCCACAGGGCCTATAAAACAGCTGCAGACAGTCAGCGGCACTGCAAAAGTCCTCTTGCCAAGTTTGGCTGAGACCAATACCCTCTAACTCTAGCCATTGCTTCCCCACTACCAGGCACTGAGAGAACAGGCTCCTTTTCGAGTAAACAGTGGGGAGACATCATGTTCCCAACATTCTAAACTAAAGAGGACTCACTGAGGGGCCCAGCCAGTGGGAGGAGGCAGCCCAAAGCCTAGCCTGGCTTCCCACACCCCCAACCCTGCCAGTGCCCTGTGAGACCCTGACTACTCCACCCCCTCCAGTCTTCTGTTTTGCAGGATGAGGGGTAGCTTGGTTGGTTTCCTGGCCCTTTCTGAGTCTAAAACTCCACAAATCTGTCACTTCTCCTTAGGGTGCTCCTGCCCAGTGCCTGGAGAGGGAAGGGGCTTTGCTGAGAGACATGCTGCCACCTGAGGGTTGTCCAGACACGAACTCAGTCCCCCACCTGCCTTCTGTGCTCTTTCTGCAACACTCTGGCCTCAGTGAAACAGTAGCTCTCAGTCCTGGCCACATAGCAGAATCACCCAGGGAGATTTTACAACATCTCAATCCCCAGCCACACTCCAGACCCATGAAATCTGAATCGTGGGTTGGGGCCTGGAAATCAGTCTGTTTGGAAAGTTACCCAGGTGATTCTGCTAAGCGGTCAGGGTTGAGAACCACGGTGGGAAAGGCTTCCAGGAAGTAAAGATGAAGCTATAAGCCAGAGGTGATACATTTCCGTCCCACATTCTCCGCTGAGAAGGATCTTGAGGCTGGTAGGAAGAGATCTGGGATGAACTAGGCATGTCTGTCAGGGATGGGTAGGGAGTGGCTGTGGCCTGAACTAGGTATTTGTCCTCGGGCTTTGGTGGCTCAGAGGTCCTGCCCTGAGGATGCAGGAGAGGACCAGCCTCCAGGCACTGGCTCATTGGCCGGCTTGCTTCCTCCCAAACCTCCCACCTCCCAAGTCTCATTATGGCCCTTGAAGTCAGACAGCCCCAGGGCTACCGTCCAGGAACTGGAAACCAACCTCAGCCAGAGCCAAGAGGCCCCAGGTCAGCCCCAGCCCTCCAAGGGCTTTGTGTAGATTGAAAAAAGGAAAATAGAGAAGGGAAACCAAAGCAGGGCAGAATGCAGTGAAGGAGAAAAAGACAAGAGAAAGGGGAAGGACCCTGAGGTCAGAGAGTCATGTGAATGGCATTTAGGGAACAAAACCTGGCTCCTCTCCATCCATCATCCCCTGGGCCGGGAGAGAAGCACTCTTCTGCCAGGGTCCAGGGCACAGAGATCCAGGCCAGAAAATCCAGATCCAGAAATCTGCCCAACCATGTGTCTGTGAGCACCATGCAGAGCCAACAGAGGAGCCTCCTCGCACAGACACCCTCAGATCCCCACCTCTTCTTCTCACCAGAGCCACAGCCTCCTGTTGGACATTTAAGCGAAATCACTTGGTCATTCCTCAACCAAAAAAAAAAAAGAAAAAAAAAAACACATTAAATCCAGTTCCCAAGACACTTGGCATCACATCAGGGTGACCTGGGTGATGCTGCTGTCGAGCTGCATGACCTGGAGTGAGCCACCTCCCTTCCCTGCCCGGGCCTCAGGGCCTGACCTTGCCTGCCTGCCTGCGAAGTCATATTTGAATGGAAGGGACACTGCTGTAGCCCAGGGGTCAAGAGCCTGGGCTCTGGAGACAGAGGCCTGGACCTGGCTCACCACTTACTAGCTGTGTGAGCATGGGCAGCTATGGCTGTGAACTTCTGCTTCCTCATCTGTAAGGCAAGAGTTAGCAGACTGATGACAGAAAAGGAGAAGAAAACACAGGCCACACCAATGTGGGACTCATATTTAGAAAACACAAGGACTGGCCAGGTACGGTGGCTCATGCCCTGTAATCCAAGCACTTTGGGAGGCCGAGGTGGGTGGATCACCTGAGGTCAGGAATTCAAGACCAGCCTGACTAACATGGAGAAACCCCGTCTCTACTAAAAATATATAAATTAGCCAGGTGTGGTGGCGGGAGCCTGTAATCCCAGCTACTCAGGAGGCTGAGGCATGAGAATTGCTTGAACCCAGTGGGTGGAGGTTGCAATGAGCCGAGATCACACCACTGCACTCCAGCCTGGGTGACAGAGTGAGACTCCATCTCAAAAAAAGAAAAGAAAAGAAAACACAAGGACTGCTCTTTGCAGATCCAAAGAAGATGGCAACTCCAATAGAAAAGTGGGCAAAGGATATGAATGGGGCAGTGAACAGAGCTGCAAGGATGTGTGCAAACAGGAGGACACACAGCAGATGCATCAGAGAGGCTTCTATTGGGAGAGGAGGGGAGTGAGGAAGGGGACAAGGGGATAGTGGTTCTCAGCCTGAGATGATTCTGCTCCCTTTCCCCAGGGGACATTTGGCAATATCCAGAGACATTTTTGGTTGTTACAGTGGAGGTGTGGGGGTGGGTAATATTGGCATGTAGTAGAGAGGCCAAGGATGCTGCCAAACATCCTACAATGTACAGGACAGCCTGCATAAAAGGAATGATCTGACTTGATATGTCAATAGTGCGGCCAATGAGAAACTCTGGGCAAAGTAAGTGGATAAGCAGACAAATGGGCCAGATGTGGTAGCTCATGCCTGTCATTCCAGCATTTTGGGAGACTGAGGAAGGAGGACCACTTGAGCTCAGGAGTTAGAGACCAGCTTGGGTAACATAGTGAGACCCCATCTCTACAAAAATATTTAAAAATTAGCCAGGCATGGTGTCATGCTCCTGTAGTCCCAGCTATGGGAGGCTGAGGTAGAAGGATAGCTTGAGCCCAGGAGTTCAAGGCTGCAGTGAGCTATGATCACACCACTGCACTCCAGCCTGGGTGACAGAGCAGGACCCTGTCTCAAACAAACAAACAAATAGATGCAGGGGCCTTGTACAAACAAATAATGAACATGTACCATGAGCTGAAGCACAGGACAAACTTAAATAAGTAAAATTAAATGGCAATAATAATGGTTCCTAAGTGGCACACAGTAGAGTTTTCAAGTAGTATTTGCTGCTCTATTGCTACTCTTTCGTTGAGGATCTGAACTGCTTGACCCTCTTCTGTTTGTTCCAGCAGCAAATTGTGGGCCTCGGTCCAGAGAGACTCCTGTCTTGCCCAGAGATGGAGGAGCAGTCACAGTGGGCAGCCCATCTCAAACCCCTGCACCAGTGGCCACATGAAGGGAAGGAGCAAAACATGGTTTAAAAAAAAAAAAAAGAAATGGGTAGGAGTGACTGAGTTGGGAGAGAAGAGGAAGAGAAAGGAGACACTGCAAGTTTCAATGTTTCACAACATTACAAAAATACCCCCCAAAGCCTGGGGGCCATGGGGAGAAGTGCAAATTGAGCAATGACTGCGGTTCTCTTTTCAAATTCATGGAAAATCCTCTTTTCACACCCCCTGGGTCAGTGAAGCCAGACCCTTCAGCATCACCACAGTGGCCTAGAAAGGGACACTTGTCCTGTCACCACCAGGCCCTACACCATCTCTCCCCTTGGCTGCCTCCTCCTTCTCTCACTCACCCAGACCAATTCTTCATTCCTCTTTTGTTTTCAGGATGAGGATGATTTTATTTACTTACTCCCACTCCGGTCCCACTAAAGCCCTGAAGCAATTGACAAGATACATACAAAATAATAATTATAATCTCATCTGTTAGAAACCAGCACCTGGAAAGTAATCATCTCCTTTAAAAACAGCCCAAGAGAACCTCTAAGATTCCTTTTTTTTTTTTGAGACAGAGTCTCGCTCTGTCGCCCAGGCTGGAGTGCAGTGGCACGGTCTCGGCTCACTGCAAGCTCCGCCTCCTGGGTTCACACCATTCTCCTGCCTCAGCCTTCCAAGTAGCTGGGACTACAGGCACCTGCCACCATGCCTGGCTAATTTTTTTGTATTTTTTTAGTAGAGACAGGGTTTCACCATGTTAGCCAGGATGGTCTCGATCTCCTGACCTCGTGATCCGCCCACCTCGGCCTCCCAAAGTGCTGAGATTATACGCATGAGCCACCGTGCCCAGCCTACTAGAGCCTCTAAGATTCTTAAGGATGAGTGCCCAATTTGGCTCAGAGCTTCCCAGCAACCCAAGTAAAGTGGGAATTGGGATTAGTTTCATGAATCACATTGCCCATAAGTCAGAAGCCCCCTAATTCCTCTGAAGATGCAGAATTTTGCTGGAAACTGGAGCCTAAAATATATTCATTCCACTCACAGGCCTTACAGAGAACACTAGCTGAAGCAGCAACATCCCAAAATAAACATAATGGCCAGACCCCTTCAGCCAATTTCCTTCAAGTCTCCATCATAAGGGAGGGACGTAGTAGAGATTGTGTGGAGACTAAATACTGTGCTCCAAGAACGACTCAGCTTCGTGAGAGTCTGACTTCGTTCAGGGATAAGTCCCATCTGGAAGAATGGATGGAATGCATGACCTTTAAATAACCCCCATGAACTTTATTTCTCTCAACTGAGCTTTTGATAAAAGTCGGGCAGCGGGAGGCAGTTGGAGGTTGTAACCGCTGACAAGGGTCTGGCAGGCAGCACTTGCACTGGGTGAGGGTGGAGCCGTGGGTCCCTGGCACCTGCAGAGGCATCATTCATGGATTCAGCTATTCACAGACTCCCCCGAAGACCCAGAACAAGCAGGGCTTTCGTATTTTGCCCTGGCCTGAAGTGGACTGGGCTGAGAGGCTGGTAGAAGTAGGAACAAGCCTCAGAGCTGGCTGGGGACATTGGCCTGCGCCCAGCACTGAAAGCCCCCACAAGCAGCTTTGGGTTTTCTTTTTTCTTTTCTTTTTTTGGGGAATTTTTGTTCTCTTTTTTTTTTTTTTTTTTTTTTTTTGAGACAGGGTCTCACTCTGTTGCCCAGGCTGGAGTGCAGTGGAGCAATCTTCATTCATTGCAACCTCTGCCTCCTAGGCTTAAGCAATCCTCCCACCTCAGCCTCCCAAGTAGCTGGGACTACAAGTGTATGCTACCATGCCCGGCTAATTTTTGTATTTTTTTTTGCAGAGATAGAGTTTCACCATGTTGCCCAGGCTGGTCTCAAACTCCTGGGCTCAAGCAATCTGCCCTCCTCAGCCTCCCAAATTGCTGGGATTACAGGCATGAGCCACCACACCCAGTAGGGTTTTCATTAAGTGTAATAATAGTTCTTATTTATTGTGGGTCCAGACATTATGTTACTACCTCAATGAGGCTTCACAACCAAGCTACTAGGTAGATACTGCAATTGTCTTCGTTTTACAGATGAGTAAACTGACACTCAGAGGACTTTGCCAGACATAACACAGCCAGTAAGAGCAGAAGCCGCAATGCCCACTCAAATCTGTCCAGTTCCAAAGTTCACACACTTTTTTTTTTTCTTGAGATGGAGTCTCGCTCTGTCGCCCAGGCTGGAGTGCAGTGGCACAATCTCAGCTCACTGCAACCTCCACCTCCTGGGTTCAAGGAATTCTCCCGCCTCAGCCTCCCAAGTAGCTGAGATTACAGGTGCGCACCACCACACCTGGCTAATTTTTGTATTTTTAGTAGAGATGGGGTTTCGCCATGTTGGCCAGGCTGGTCTTGAACTCCCGACCTCAGGAAAGCTGCCCACCATGGCCTCTCAAAGTGCTGAGATTACATGCCTGGCCAGTTCACACACTTTTAACAACTACACTGTAAGACCCTGCCACACAGAAAGAGAGATAAAACCTGTGGGAAAAGTGAAAAGGCAGTTAATTTGTGGCATGAGAGCACAGGAGACATATAACTCTCAAGAAAACACCATTCGAGAGAAAGCCAGAAGCCCACACCAACATTTTGCATTCAAGACTGTGGGGCTTATGGAAGGCCAGTGGACAGAGCCCTCCCAAACATCGAGAGCCTGCTGGATCGTAAATATCAGTTGCACCCAAGTTTCTGCAAAAGTCAGAGGGCAAGAGGTGTTGCAGGGAAGGGCCCAGGTTAAACAAAGGCTGCACATTGTGGGTGATGGACACTCCACAACCAAGCTCAAGACACTCCTGTGGGTCCCTCCTGACATCAATGAGTGAGCAATGCAGAGCCCAACACTCCCTGCCTGAGCACAGGCCAAGCTGATTTGGGCCAGGGATACCTGCTGGGCACAGCCATATGTGCCCCCGTCACTTCCCCAGGAAACCAGCAGGCAGGCGTTATCAGGGACAAAACAGAACCCAGGAACTTGTCCACTGTTGAGCTCCTGAGCACTTCACAGCAGGGCCGGGAAGAATGGATGGACTGTGACTCTCTGGTACTCAAGACACTGAAGCCTGGCCAGGCGCAGTGGCTCATGCCTATAATTCCAACACTTTGGGAGGCTGAGGTGGGTGGATCACTTGAGGTCAGGAGTTCGAGACCAGCCTGGCCAACATGATGAAACCCCGTCTCTACTAAAAATACAAAAATTAGCCTGATGTGGTGGTGCGTGCCTGTAATCCCAGCTACTCGGGAGGCTGAGGCAGGGGAATTCCTTGAACCCAGGAGGCGGAGGTTGCAGTGAGCCGAGATCACACCACTGCACTCCAGCCTGGGTGACAGAGTGAGACTCCATCTCAAAAAAAAAAAAAAAAAAAGACAATGAAGCCCCATCTCCTTTGATTGGATACACAGGACAGTTCCTTTAGAAGAGGGACAGGAGTGTCCGAGCCACAGGAAAGCTTTTCTCATCATGAGCAATACACCCAGGCTCAGCCCCAGGAAATCTGATGACTCAGGACACAGACATGTTTAACCAGGTGCTAGGGATAAGCTGTGCCTGAGCCCACTGTAAGGGTAAGGCCCATTCTCTGCCCTCATGGGGCTTACAGTCTATAAAACGGCACAGAGGTAGAAACACTTCAGTGTGTCTTCACAAGTCACTCCTAGAAAACCAAGAAAGGTACAGGAGGAAAGAGGGAGGTACCTACCAAATAGATGCAGAAGCTAACCACTTCTTCTCTCTTACCCACTGCTACTACCATCATCTCTGGCCTGGATGAAGGCAAAGGGTCCAGAACACAGCACCCCTGCTCCTACTACAGGGACTTGGCGCCTGTTGTTCCCTCTGCCCTTCCTGAAGTATCCTCATGTTTTAGCATCTTCATGTCTTTGCTCAAATATCCCTTCTCAATGAGGCCACCCAAGTAAAGTTCACAACAATGCCCCTCTCTCTGGCAGTCCACAAACATGTAATTATGTGCAATACAAGAGGCTTTGCTCACTGGCTCTGCACAGCCCACTCTCTTCAGAAACTTAGGACAAATTCCCCATTGGCCTTGGCCAGAGGCTATTTCTGTGGCTCACAAAAGTGTACCCAGAAGGAGCCTTCCTGCCACCCATTCAGCCAGTGCATGGGATCAAGCTTGGTTCCTTCAGCTTGCTTACCCCAAGGCTGGTCCTGTCCCCTCCTGGAGAAATCCCAGCAGAGCCTGGACAGCCTTTCTGTCCCCTCTCCTCCACCTTGACCAAAAGGCCTAGTCCCAGATGGACCCTGGGAGCCTGGCCTGGAGCAGTTCAAGTTCCTGTCCAGGAAGATATGTCTCTCTTTACCAGGCTCCAGAATGTAATATTTAGGATGTAGAAATCAGCTCTGACCTGTTACAGCAGGACTGAGAAGCTTATCACCAAAACTCCCTTTCCCTTCTCCCTAGGCACCCATCTAGACTACAGTTCCAGCTCCCTTGCTATCCAGGGTGGCCAGTGGAGTGTGAGCAGAAACAATGTGTCTCGCTTCTGGCCTAAGGATGTTAGGCAGATGTGCCTCATCCACCTCTCTTTCCCCCGCTGCCTGACCTCATGGCCTAGAGACAGCAGAGCCATAAGGTGGAAGGAGCCTGGGTGCCTGAATCTCCACTCAGAGGAAGGCTGCCTGCCAATCACAGCATCTGAGCCTTTATGTGAGTGAAAAAAGAAACTTTGTGAGCAGCCCACATTTGGGAAATTGGCTACGACATGAATTTGGTGCTTAAAATTAAATTTCACCCTGCTCACTCCAACACTGCTCTGTCCCCTCCCCTAATTGCATTTCTCACCTGAACAATGTTCCCTCCTCCCCACCCATACCAGACCTCCAGTGAAGGCTGAGCAACTTATGGATGAATAATTTCTGCTCTTAGGCTCTGTGAGCTGATGTTGAAGGCAGACTGGCAGGGAGGGAAGGCTCCTCCCACCACCTGCCTATAAGCCTGGTTTCAAAGTATGTGGATTTGGGCAAGATTCCAATCTTGCAGACTCAGCTTCCTCAACCTTAAAAATGGAACAATAGCATCTGCCCAGGCTACTTCACAGAGGAAAAGATCAGGAAGCTTGATATGCAGGAGCAGCTGCTCTGAGCAGATCCTCTACAAATATCATCTCACATCACTTATCTCAGATGGGCAAACTGAAGCATATAGGGGCTTAAAAGTAACCTGTCCAAGTTCATGCAATTGGTAAGTAGTGGCCCCCAGCCCTAACTTGGTCTTCCCCATCATCTCTCTATAATCAGATGGCACCACCACCCACCTGGCTACTCAACCCAGAAACCTCAGGTCATCCCTGCTCCTCTCTTGTCCTCACCTCCTATAGACAATTGGGCACCAAAGTCCGGTTTTTTGCCTTAATAAATCATTCTCCAATCTTGCCCTTTCCTCCATGTCTGTTGCCACCACCCTAGTCCAAGGCCCCCGCATGCCTCTCCTGAATCCTGCAGGAGCATCCTTGCCAGTCCCCATGCTAGTCTTCTTCCACTCCACCACGCTCACCCCCATGGCAGCCTCGAGCACCTTTTTGGAAATGCAAATCTAGCCATGCCAACTCCCAGGTTAAGCCAGCTCAATGGCTTCCCACTGCTCTTATGACAAAGACCTGGGCATGGTCTGCCCGGCCTGTGCCATCCAGCCTCTTCTCGAGCCCCTCCCACTCTGCTCCTCCTCTCTCCGTTTCAGTCATGGCAGCCTTCTTCCAGTCCCCTGAACACCCACCAGCTTCCTCCTTGGTAGAAGCATTCTTTGCACATGCTGTTTCTTCTGCATGGAACACCCTTCCTCCCCATCTTCACCTGGTTGACTCCTAATCACCCTTTTTGTATCTCAGGTCTGGTGTCACTTCTTCAAAAACTTTTCCCTGACCTCTTGACTAGGAGACATCCTCCTAGAGCACTCATTGCTGCTATTATTTTATGTCTCTTCGAGTAATTATTTGAGGAATATGTCTCCCTTACATGATTTTAAGCTCCTTCAGGACGAGAACCATGTGCATTTTGCTCACCATTGAAACCCAGTGGATGTGGAAATCAGTAGACACAGTGTCCAGCACATAGCAGAACTTGAATATTGGCTGAATGAATGAATCAGTGAAAGCTAGAATTGAAATCTAAGTCTTCATGACTCCTCTGCAAATTGCTGTGGGGAATTGTATTTGTCTGCTTGGGCTGCCGTAACAAAATAGCACAGATTGAGTGGCTTAAACAGGAATTTGTTTTCTCACACTTCTGGAGGCTGGAAGTCCAAGATCAAAATGCCAGCACGGGGCTACATATGGTGGCTCATGCCTGTAATCACAGCACTTTGGGAGGCTGAGGCAGGTGGATCACTTGAGTTTAGGAGTTCAAGACCAGCCTGGGCAACAGGTGAAACCCCCATCTCTACCAAAAAATACAAAAAAATTAGCCAGGTGTGGTGGGCACCTGTAATTCCAGCTACTCGGGAGGCTGAGGAAGGAGAATCACTTAAACCCAGGAGGCAGAGGTTGCAGTGAGCTGAGTTCACACCACTGCACTCCAAACCCGGGGACAGAGTAAGACTCTGTCTCAAAAAAAAAAAAAAGAAAATGCCAGCAGAGTTGGTTTCTGATAAGGCCTCTCTCCTTGAATTGCTCCTTCTCACTGTGCCCTCTCACAGTCTCTTCCCTCGGGGCATGCATGCAGAGAGGAGGGCTGTGGCGCTTCCTCCTTTTCTATAAGGACACCAATTTATCAGATTAGGACCCCACACTGAGAACCTCATTTAACCTTTTTTGTTTGTTTGTTTTGTTTGTTTTTGAGATGAAGTCTCACTCTGTCATCCAGGCTGGAGTGCAGTGGCGCCATCTCACCTCACTGCAACCTTTGCCTCCCGGGCTCAAGAGATTCTCCCACCTCAGCCTCTTGAATAGCTGGGACCATGGGCAAGCCCCACCACACCCGGCTAATTTTTGTATTTTTAGTAGAAACAGGGTTTAGCCATGTTGGCCAGGCTGGTCTCGAACCCTTGACCTCAAGTGATCTGCCTGCCGCCTCCCAAAGTGCTGGGATTACAGGCATGAGCCACCACACTCAGCCTCATTTAACCTTAATTACTTCCTCAAAGGCCTTATCACCAAATAGGGTCACACTGGGAGTCAGAGCTTTCACATGTGAATCTGGTGGGGAGATACAATTTACTCCAAGACATTCCATCCTCTGGCCCCATAAAATTCATGTTCTTCTCTCATGCAAAATTCATTCAGCCCATCCCAGCAACCCCAGACGTTTTAACCCATTCCAACATCAATTCCAAGTCCAAAGTCTCACTGAATATCTAAACCAGGTATGGGTGAGACTTGAGGTATGTTTCATCCTGAGGCAAAATTCTCTCCAGCTGTGAACCTATGAAACCAGACAAGCTTATGTGCTTCCAAAATACGATGGTGGGGAGGCATAGAATAGACATCCTTATTCCAAAAGGGAGAAATTGGAAAGAAGAAAGGGGCAATGGATCCCAAACAAATCCAAAACCTAGCAAGGAAAATTCCATTAGATCTGCAATCCATTAGGCTGTAGTCCCAGCACTTTGGGAGGCCAAGGCAGAAGGATTACTTGAGCTCAGGAGTCCAAGACCATCCTGGGCAACATGGCGAAACTCTGTCTCTACAAAAAATACAAAAATTAGCCAGGTATGGTGGTGCATGCCTGTATTCCCAGCTACTCGGGGGTAGGGGTGCTGAGGCAGGAGGATTGCTTGAGCCCAGAAGGTCAAGGTTGCAGTTAGCCATGATCACACCACTGCATCCTAGCCTGGGTGACAGAAGGAGACCCTGTCTCAAAAAAACAAAAAATAATGAATAATCCTCTTTGGCTGAATGCTGTGCCCACTGGGGCAGCTTCATCACCCCCACCACCCTAGGTGGTAGATCCCATTCTGCAGCTCTGCTAGTCACCTTGCCCCTGAGGCACTGGGCAACATTTCGGCCCACTGAAACCAAGAAGGTGGCCCCGCTCTCTGAAAGCAGGAAAAAACAACCAAGCCCCTGGGCCTGGGGTGTGAATGGCAGCCCTGATAATCTCCAAATTGTCTTCAGGGGTCATTCTTCCCTTTTCTTGAAGGATAACGTATGTTCAAAGCTGGATAACTCTATTGTCCTGTCCTGTAGAATCCCAGAAGTCCAACAGCCTTCTTTCATTCTGTTCCATTTTCTCTGTTTTCTTTAGTCCCAGCTGGAAGTGTTTCTGCTAATATAATCCCATCTCTATTCCTGGCTTCAACTGAGATGGTTGATTAAGTTCGTGGGAATCTTTTTATGGAGTGATTGTCCAGACAGGCCTTTGGTATTTGCACCAAGCAGAGAAACGTGTTTTCTCTCTTTTTGAAATATGGACAGGCTGAGCATTTCCAAATCTTTAAATTCTGGTTCCTTTTTGCATAACAATTCCTTCAACTTATCTCTTTCCTCTTGCATTTTATTATAAGCAGTAAGGAGAAACCAGGCTACACTTTCACCACTTTGCTTAGAAATCTCCTGTGCTAAATATCCAAGGTCATCACTCCCAAGTTTTACCTTGACTGAACACAATTCAGCCAAGTTCTTTACTACTTTATAACAAGGATTGCCTTTTTACCAGTTTCCAACATCATGCTCCTCATTTCTGAGACCTTACCATAAGTACATTTAATGTTCATATTTCTACCAACATTCTGTTTATGATGATATATGTATTCTCTTAGATGATAGAAACTTTTTCTACAACTCTTTCCTTTCTGAGCCTTCACCAGAATCACGTTTAATGTTTGTATTTCTACCAACAGTCTCTTCAAGGCATTCTAGGCTTTTTCTAACATGCACCTCAAAACTCTTCAGTCTTTGCCCATTACCTAATTCCAAAGCCACTTCCACATTTTTAGGTATTTGTTATAGTAGCATCCACTCTTGGTAGCAAAATCTATATTAGTCAGGGTTCTCTGGAGAAACAGAACCTATAGGAGATATATACATCTCCTATGTATACATAGATGGTCCCCAACTTATGATGGTTCAGAATTATGATGTTTTTCACTTCATGATAGTGCAAAAGCAATACACATTCAGTAGAAACCATTCTTCAAATTTTCAGTTTGGATCTTTTCCTGGGCTAGCGGTATGTGGTATGATATTCTCTCATGATGCTGGGCAGCAGCAGTGAGCTGCAGCTCCCAGTCAGTCATACAATTATGAGGTTAAATAACTGATATTCTACAGTTTACTGTATTGCCCGATGATTTTTGCCCAACTGTAGGCTAATGTAAGTGTTCCGAGCACATTTACATTAGGCAGGCCAAGCTGTGATGTTTGGTAGGTTAGGTGTATTCAGTACATTTTTGACTTATGATATTTTCAACTTACGATGGGTTTACTGAGATATATCCCCATCATAAGTCAAGGAACATGTGTGTGTGTGTGTGTGTGTGAGAGAGAGAGAGAGAGAGAGAGAGAGAGTATGAGGTATTGGTTCAAGCAATTATGGAGGGTGGCAAGTTCAAAATCGGTAGAGCCAATGTCCCAGTTTCCATGTGAAGGCCAGCAGGCTACTGCAGAATCAGGAAGAGCTGATGTTCCAATTTTAGGTTTGTCAGGCAGAATTCTCTTTTATTTAGGGCAGGGTCAACCTTTTGTTCTATTTAAACTTTCAACTGATTGGATGAGGCCCACCTGCATCATGGAGGGCAATCTGCTTTACTTAGTCTACAGATTTAAATGTTAATCCCATTCAAAAACACCCTCATAAAACACCCAGAATAATGTTTGACCAAATATCTGGACACTTCATGAACCAGTCAAGTTGACACATAAGATTAACCATCATAGGAATCATACCAGAAGATAGATGTGATCAAGGCTTAATGAGTATCCAAGACCAATGTAAGAGATTAGCACCAGGGCTAGAATTGTGATTTGCCATTCAGTCATTTCATACACATTTACTACACACATATTACTAGTATCTCAGTTATCTATTGCTGTGTAACAAATCACACCAAAATGTAGTGGCTTAAAACAGCAATGATTTATTATTTCTCATGATTTTGCGGATCAGGAATTTGGGTAGGGCTCAGCTGGTTGGTTCTTCTGCTCCAGGTGGCATCTTAGTGCCACTTATTCAACTGAGTTAGCCTAGAAAGTCCAAAATGGCTGCACTAAAATATCTGATGCCTTAGCTCCTCCACATGGCCTCTCTGTCTCCATGTGCTGTCTCATCATTCATGAATCTACCCACACTTCTTTTCAGCTAGGTGGCTAGATTCCTTGAGAGCATTCCAATAGAACAAGCCGCAAGAGGAGAAGCAAGTGCTTATTAGATCTATACTTGCATCATGCTTATCAATGTTACATTGTCCACAGCAAGTTACATGCTCAAGCCCGTGAGGGGAAGACAACGATACAAGGGCATGAATGCCAAAAGATATTATTCACTGGGAGCCACCAATATAACAGTTCACCCCAAGATATGAGGGGACACTACTCCTGACTCTTGTCCTCAAGTATCTCACAGACCAGTACAGCACTTCTGAAATGTGTTAGAGATCACAGAATTCTCAACATCATTCATGCATTCAGCAAGCCCTAATATGAATTCCTGACATCTGATAAAGTGTCCCATTTTGTAAAGGCAGATTATCATATGATGATAAGTGTAGTCACATATTTATACTTTTCATACATATATTAATACATTTTTTAACATAATTTTTTGAGATGGAGTCTCGCTCTGTCACCCAGGCTGGAGTGCAGTGGCATGATCTCGGCTCACTGCAAGCTCTGCCTCCCGGGTTCACGCCATTCTCCTGCCTCAGCCTCCAGAGTAGCTGGGACTACAGGGGCCTGCCACCACGCCCGGCTAATTTTTTGTATTTTTAGTAGAGACGGGGTTTCACCGTGTTAGGCAGGATGGTCTTGATCTCCTGACCTCGTGATCTGCCCGCCTCGACCTCCCAAAGTGCTGGGATTATAGGCGTGAGCCACTGCGCCCGGCCTCAACATAAATTTTAAACTAAAAATGTTACTAGTTTTGGCCAAGCACAGCAACTCACACCTATAATCTCAGCACTTTGGGAGGCCAAGTCAGGAGGATTGCTTTTAGCTCAGGAGTTTGAGACCAGCCTGGGCAACATAGTGAGACCCCGTCTCTACAAAAAAATATAAAAATTAGCCAGGCATGGTGGCATGCACCTGTAGTCCTAACTACTCAGGAGGATGAGGTGGGAGGATCACTTGAGCCTAGGAGGTCAAGGTTGCAGTGAGCCATGATTGGGCCACTGCACTCCAGCCTGGGAGACAGAGCAAGACCCTGTCTCAAAAAGAAAAAAAAAATTACTAATTTTGTGTGTTTGTGGGAGGAGACTTTTTACATTCCATGGTACGGTAACGTTGCTCAAAAAGTTCTGGAAATGCTGGCCTGGTAGGAATTTAAAGCTTATAGAGAAGGGCTTTAGGTGTCTAGGACCATAAATGCAGGCTGCCCACAGTGGATCAGACACAGTTTGTTCCAGAGGAATGGAAAGCCCTCCTTTCTGTGGGACTGCCTGTGTCCCTTGTGTCCCTTGGCCTTGAGTGATGGGAGGTCAGGAGCATCATTGCTACACCACCTGAGGAGTGTCTGGGACAGCCCCTGTCAGTCGACTCCAACACATTCTACTGCATCAACACTGACCCTCTGTCACCTGGCGCGAAAGAATCCCATGTCTTACACACTGGGCAACACCCACCCCACTCTACCCCACCCCATCTCACTGCACTTCAGAATGATTGTGGCTATCAAGAGGCAGTTTTCAAGAGCTTAAAAGTTCTGTCCTGAAGCCCCCTCTCTGAGACACTGCATAAAGAAAGGCCCCCAACACGGACCACCTCCAGGAGCTCACTGAGAAAGCTGCCAGCCAGGGACAGGGGCTACCCAGGGTGGACTTCATGCACCAGCTGCAGTAGAATCTCCAGAAGCTGCTAGGAGATTCCAATTCATTCAGTTGGAAGGGGCCTGGGAATCTTCATTCTTAGTCTCTGCTGTGAGGATTATCACAGGTCACAGGAGGCTAGGCCCTTCCCAAATTTAGGGTTTCTAGGTGGTCGTTTCTGAAAGGTCCCCATAGACTGAGACCACTTTAGGACAGGAAGGGGCAGGTGAGGGAAACCAACCCTGAGATGTGGCCCTAGCTGATGTCCAGGCAGGATGCAGGTGACCGGCAGCCAGAGATTCAAGTCACTTCATGTGCTGAATGAGCTTTGTATTTTTCAGAGCTTTTTATTTTTATCTTACAACCTCAGAAACAACTTGTTTCCACAGGTTCTCCTCACAGAACAATCCTCTGAGATTAAATCTGTTTTGAGTTGTATTTTGAAAAAAGAGGAAATTGGATCCTGGTTCCAGATGGGATGGAAGGAGAGGAGAGAGAGGGAGTTCAGGAAGGAGGCAAAAGGCATAGATTTCCAGAATCTTCCTCATGGTTTCCTCTCACGTGCATCTCATCCTGGCACTCCTACCCATGAAGACAAAACCCAGCTCTAGCTTGAATACACCCCCCCCCACCCTTCCTGCCTCCCTCCCCCGCATTCCAAAGCTGCCCACAGCACCTCTCTGAACCAGGGCCTCTGGTCTCACCTGGTCACCAGCTCTGCCTGAGTCCTTCCCTCCAGGACCTTCTCTCCAGAATAGCCCAGATCCCCCAGTGTCTACTCACAGCTGGTTGCTCAGGAAGGACAGGGTCTGCCCACACAGCAAGGACCTTGGAGAGCAATTCTTAACCCAAGGTCTGCAGCACTGGGTCAGGCAGTGCAGGTAGGAGCATACTTAGTGTCTTTCTTGGGCCCTGTGGGCAGCCACGGAGCCCCCTACACACTGGCCCATGCCTGCAGGTTGCCCATCATTCTCCTGTCTGATTTCACCCCACTTCTGTGCATGAGTGACTCTTGCCTGAACTCTTTTCTAATCCCCTTGTGGGTTTTCCTCAAGAGCACATGCTGTTAACCTGGGGTCCACAGATGCCCCTTCTCACCCAGAGGTCTGGGAATAGAATTCAGGGGTCCATGAATGTGGGGGTTGTTTTATTCTTTTTTTCTCTTTTCTACCTTTCCTATGATGCTGCCATTCATGAGTTCAGACGGTAAAAAAAAATGCCTCCTTATTTTCACTAGGCTCCAACTGAAAGGTAGCCTCTCCTTTCAACATGGACGTAGGAAAAATCTCCAGTTGTATTTGCAGAACCTCAAGCTTTGTCACCAGCCCAGCCAAACTCACAGGCATTTTTAAATCACATCTGAGTTGTTGCAGGTCTTTTCAAATATCATTTATATTATCACCACTTTAAAGTGATCACAATTAAAGTGTCAATAAAGAAGCACACATATTACTACATCAGAGCTGTTTTCTTAATGCTTTGGTAAATGTATTTTAGTAGCATTGGTTTCTTCTGCAGCCCTGTGAATTTTGTTTTACACATTTGAAAACATTATTCTGAGAAGGGGTCCATCCATAGGCTTCACCACATGCCCATGGGGTTTATGCTACGTGAAAGGTCAAGTCCTAGAATTCTCACACTCTTCAGTAGAAAATCACACCCCTAAATGTGTCCCTCTCCACTAGTAATTATGCTTTTGGTGTTCTCCTGATTGAGAAAAAGTTTTAATAGCAACAGCCATTATGCAATGCTTGCCTTGAAACAAATGTGCATTTTATTCATTACAGTAGTATCTCCTAACATTTGAAAAACAGCAGCCACATCAGTAGGAAAGCTGTCCTAAGCCAGTCTGGTTCCCTGGCCCCACCATTCAGGTCCACTGAGTTAGACCATGTGGATCTACTAGGCAGAGGCCTTGGGCCTCAGATTGAGTAAGCCCCATGCTCCCGGCACGAGGCTGAGCCCCAGGAATCACTCAACAGGCATGAGCTGACTGGAGCTGCCCTGAATTTGCTGGCCAGGGTGGAACATGGCCGGCTGGGTCTCCTTACTTCTCCCCCAGCCTCTTAGCCCATTTGGCGCTAAGTTGCCAGACTTTGCAAATAAAAATAAGAATGCCAGGTTAAATTTGAATTTCAAACAAATAATGAATAATTTTTAGTATAAATATGTTCCATGCAATATTTATGACATACTATACTAAAAAGTTATTCATTGTTTATCAGAAACTCTATGCTCTAGGAGCCTGTTCCCAGAGAAGTCCTTGCCAGGACCAGCAGAAGCTGTGCCGAAACCCAGATTCTCTGCTGAGACTTCTACCTCTGCCCCGGGTCTGGCCGCGGAGAGACACCATTCAGGGTAGGGAGTAGGGCCAGGGAGGTGCCCAACAGCAGCCCATAGCCCCCACGGCCCACACTTCAAGCCATGCCCCACCCCTGGCTAGGTCTCAGATCCCCAGCCGTAAAATGAGAGAACTAGTCCAGGGTGGAACTCTAAACTCCATCGTGGCTCAGAATTAGATTTAATAACCCGATAGTCTTTACTGCAGGAAAGAATCTTTAACTTCCACTAGCATGAGGAGGATGTTTGCAGACCCAGAAGGCCTCCACACTCAGCCCTCCTGAAGCAGCAGGCCTGTGCTACCTCCATTCACGTCAGCCCTGGAGCCCCCTCATGCAGCAGAAGCTCCCACAAATCAGCCCACCACGGCACTGTTAGAAAGGACCCAAGGGCCAGGTACCCACACACAGCAGCAGAAACACAGATGCACTCAGCTGGGGAGCAGGGGGGCAGAGAAACCCAGAGGGGTGTCAATGCAGAGAAGCCCTCACACACACGGACCGAGAAGCATTCCTACATGGTGCACACCCGGCACACACGTGCCCTCACCCAGAGCATGCATGCATGCCCCACACAGACACACACCCAGACGGTGCAGACCACACTCCTGCACCCTCACACACTCACCACACATGATCTCACACACATTCCCCGAAAGCAACAGGAACACAGCCAATCTCAGCTGCATCCCCAGCCACCCCACATCTGTGGTCCTCATCCTGTACCCCAAATGTCCAAGGTGTTCCTGGGCTAAACCTTCTCCCAACTGCCTCTGCAAGCTGCTTGGAGGGCGGTGGGGTTGTGGGGAAAGCCAGGCAGTGCTTTGTTTTTCACATCAGGCTAAAGCAATAGATCACCTGAAAGTTGGATTCTGGAAATCAAGATGTTAACTTGAATGGTGATGATGATGACAACAGCAGCAGCAAAAGCCACACTTGCCAGCACCCACTGAGCACAATCTATGCCCCAGCAACCACGCTAAATGCTTAACATACATTCCCTCATTCAACCCTCACAACAATCCATAACGTAGGAACTGATACTTTGCTCATTTATAGATGAGGAAGCTGAGGCTCGGAGGAGTTCAATGTCTCTGTGGAGATTCCAGCATCTGACCCAGGGCCAACTCCAAAATGTAGCCTTACCTGCAGAGCCGCACGATAGGACCCAGGGATGTTTCAGCCCAGTCGCGGTGCAGCCAGTGTGCACAGGCACATGCGCGCACACACACACACACACCCCACTTGCAGAAGGGGCTGCTTGGGCAACAGTTTCCTTGTGGAAAGTGCTAAAAAGGCCTTGACTGGCAGAGAGGCTTATTCTCCTCCAAGGCCAATCCTTTCCTGGTGAGGTGTGGACCCCAGATAGAGCTCTCCCCCATAAGGCAGGTCTGTGAGATCCGGAGAGGGAGGTGCTCCAGGTCCCCTTGATAACCAGAGACCAGGTTATCTCTGAGAGGACTGAGAGGATATCAGTGGGCTCACTTTCCCCTGCCCTCTGTGTGGACCCCTGCCCCAGAGAGCCAGAGCTAGGCCCCTGGTGGCACAAGAGGTTTTCACACCAGGAGAGTGCCACCTCCGCTCTGCAGCCAAGCGCCCTGCGCCACTCGAGCCCACCCCAGGAGGGCACAGAGACAGCCCCTGAAGAGCCCTCAGAGAGGCCCGTCTCAGGGTGACCAGCCTCTGGGACATTCTTAACCCCAACCAAAGTGGGGCCACCCTGTGGAGCCTCCACCTCTGCATGGGGGCCTGGCTAACAGCTGCTCCCAGCTGGAAGTTCTTTATGCGCCCCCACCCAGTCAGTCCCCAGGAGACGTGAAGGAAGCTTTGATGGAACCTATCAAAGCATTCTTGTTCTCACAGCTGTTTCCCGGAAGGGCAATTATAGCCACAATAACCCTACACATCTGGTGAAGGGGCCCAAAGCCGGTACTCTACCCTCAGCTCTGCTGGAGGGGTCCTGCCCATCAGCAGAGGGAAAAAGGACTTGTGCACATCAGAGACTCAGTTTAGAACCCTAAACCATTAGAACTGGAAGGGGCCACCCTATCCCCATTTTACAGATGACTAAACTGAGGCCAAGCCTGTACCCAAAGAGCTCCTCACACAGAGCCCTCTTCCCCCACGGACTCCCTCTCTAGACAGACCCTGGCTCCTCCTCCTCTAGCTCAGGTGGGCCTCCACTTAGACACTACCAGCCCAAGAAAGGCCGTGGGAGGGACCTGGGACTGCGATGGTCATATGGAGGGGAGGCTCCTGCTCTGTCTCCTTCAGAGGGATGATTTGCTCCTGCCTGAGCCATTGCCTCTTCTTGGATGCTATATTTATACCTCAATCTATGAATTTATTTCAATCAGGATTTCTAACCTGGGCACTGCTGACATATTGGGCTGGGCAGTTCTTTGTTGGGGTTGGGGCTGGCCTGTGCATCGTGGGGTGTCACAGCATCCCTGACCTCCATCCACTAGATGCCAGTAGCACCGCCCCCTCCCCAAGTTGTGACAATCAAAATTATCTCTAGACATTGACGAATGTCCCCTGGGGACAAAACTGTGCCCAGTTGAAAACCACTGACTTAAATGGGCTTCAGTGAGCATGTTGAGACTGTCCCCTGGGTCTTCCCAGGGGTGCAAGGAAGAAGGTGCCATAGATCTTCCTTCCTGAGGCGTGGAGCATCTACTATGGGCAGATGGGATAAAGCAGCGTGTGTCAGGAAATCCTGCGCAAGTCTAAAGCTGGGAAAAACCACAGAGGCTGAGATCCAGCAAGGCAGGCTTCCTGGACAAGGTGAAATTCCACTGGGGACTTATGTAGGCAGTTGAGGGAGAAGGGATTTTGAGGGGAAAGTCTCAAACACAGTAAGCAGAGCCCAGGATGTGGGATGACTGGGAGAGCATCCTGGAAGGATGGCACTGCTGGCTGGATTTTAATCTGGTGTGGGGGGGGGCGGGGTGTCTGTTTGCCTCAGCTGCCTTCCTCCCAGAGCAGGTCCCTGAGCCCAGGGAGCAGGGAAGACACTGAGGAGGAAGGAGGGAAGGGGGATGGTAGGGTAGGGGATAAGGGCATGTCTGAGATCCCAGAGGGCCAGTTACGGGCTTCTCCTCCCAGAATCCCCAGCACCCAATACAGAACCAGCCTAAGGAAAAGCTGAGATGATGAAGCCACCGACTTGAAGAAAAGGTCCGACGGAGAAGAAAGGCACCTGGGATCCGGAGGGCTGGGAGCACCGCCACTGATGCCAACGGGGGCCCAGCCTGAGGGCGAGCCAGGGACCTTACCAGCCCCAGCCTGATTTCCCAGGGTCTGTCCTTGCCCGATGTCCCTCCCTCAAAGTCCATGTGGGATGGGAGCGGGGTGGGGGCAGCCCTAATCAAGGGATGGCTGCTGGACTTGGAGCTGACCACTGGCTCCCTGGCAGGCCTTAGACCTTCCGCAGAAGGATTTCAGCAGGTTCCTCAGAGCAGAATGGTATGCTCCTTGACCTCGGGAGCTCCCTTCTCAGACAAAAGCCCCGGTTCCCCACGCCCCGTCTGGGCTCCCTGAGGCCTGGCTGCACGTCCCTCCTCCGATAGGGCTCCCTGAGGGCAGGGTCCGCTCCTTCCGCGTGGTCCCTGCGGGGAAACGCCGTGTGGGGCTGGGGCTGCCCACAGGGAGCTTCTGGGCCGGCTAGCCAGCAGGGGGCGCTGTGGACTCAGACACGCGGCTCTGGCCAAGGATGGGAGGCGGCTGGATGGATGGTGAGGTCTCCCTACAGCAACTCTTGTCATATCCCCCGCCCAGCCAGGCTCTCCTGCCTTGCACACAGCGAGGTCTCCACCTCCTCACAACTTCCCAGCCCAGCCCCATTGTTCTCCCTGTCCTCTGGCTGAGGAAGCAAGAGAAGCAATTATTATGCCCATTTTGCAGATGAGGAGACTAAGGTCATTCAGATGCCAAAAGAAAGGCAGAAGGGGCAGCAGCAGGGCAGAGTGGATAGCATCTGGACTTTGGAGCTAGAAGCCACTGGTGTACTGTGTGCCACCTCAGCGGCTCAGTCCCCGTGTGGTTGCAGCAACCCTTGGGGCCTTATTGAGCAAAGCACTGCAGTTGCAACCAGGGAGAGGAGTGCGGCAGCCCACACAGTCCCCGGCTGAGAACGAGTCTGACACTGGACCCTGCCGCCGGTGTGGACAGCACTGGGTCCTGGGGAGGAAGTGCTGCAGAGGGGAAGAGGCGGCCTCGCCCAAGCCCTCTGCTGGGTGGAGATCACAGACAGCCAGAAAGGGGGAAGAACAGGAGGACTGTGCTGGAGAGACCTGGTCCCTCTGCACTTTCTCCCAGGTCCTAGCAAGTCATCAAAACAGCGGGTGCCGCATGGACGCCCTGTGCTGCCCTTCACGGTGTGCCAGGCCCAACCACCCACCCTGGGAGGCAGGTTATGTTATCCTCCCATTTGACAGATGAGGAAAGGAAGACCGAGAGAGAGAAAGTCACTTGTCCGAGGTCCCCAGTGGGAAGTGGGTAAAACGGGATACCCACACCCAGGTCTGCCTGGTATGTAGCCACAACATAGGGTTGGTGGAGCTACAGTCTAGGTAGAGAGAAGAAGGCCCTGTCTGTGGCCAGGGTCGGGGCTGAGTCTGTAACTGGGAAGGCACCCCAGGGAGGAGCATGCTCAGCAGGAAGTGGACAGAGTAGGGGCATGGAGGAAGGAGCACCAGCCATGTGTCTCCAGTCAGGAAAGCCTCCTGGAGGAGGCAGTGAAGGGGGAAGAGGAGGAGAGGAGGGCCTTGCCAGCAGCCTGAGCACTGGTAATGAAGCAGGTAGGCCCAGCTGTTTCCAGATGCACATGGTCTGCACCCAGGAGGGTCAGAGCATGAAGCTGGAGGGGCAGGCAGGGAGACACTGAGAGGGGGGCACCATGGCATCAGAAAAGAGCCCCTGGCAGCTGTGCGAGGATGGCCTCGGAGTTCTGATTGGTTCCGCTGGCTGTTCTTAAGGAAAGAGATGAGGATCTAAATTACTATAGAAACTGAGGGGTGGAGAGGAATGAGGAAGAGGGGATGAAGCCTTAAGACACCAAAGCGTTAGAACTCACCAGATGAGAGGGCCAATAAGATGCCCTGGACAGAAGGAGTGGTCAGGGGTGGCTCAGCCTCTGGTGTGGATGATGGCTTACAGTGTGACTGTGAGCTAAGATGTAGCATTCAAGTGGAGGAATGTGCTGGTGAGAGAAAGACAAGTTTGGTTTGGGACAAATGAGTGTGAGGTATGTATGGGCTATGGAAGTGGACGGGAGCTTTGAGCTCAGAGTTAAAGAGGGATAAGGGGTCAGGACAGGAGTGGTAGTTCTTTGTGAGGCCGAGGCGGGAGGATCACCTGAGGGCTGGAGTTCAAGACTAGCCTGGCCAATATGGTGAAACCCCATCTCTAATAAAAATACAAAAATTAGCCAGGCACATTGGTGCACACCTGTAATCCCAGTTACTCAGCAGGCTGAGGCAGGAGAATCGCTTGAGCCCAGGAGGCAGAGGTTGCAGTGAGCCAAGATCATGCCACTGCACTCCAGCCTGGGTGACAGAGTGAGACTCCATCTCAAAGAAAAAAAAAAGAGGAATAAGGGCTCAAACTAGAGCTGAAGTCAGGCTGTACACTTCAACTGAGGGAAGCCATCAGGGTGGACTAGAATTTGAGCTTAGTCTGCAATCAAGTAGGGAAGTACAACAGAAAGAACACCCATTAACTCTGGTTAGGTTGTATTCTAGAACTTGGAGAAGGAGCCAAGGGTCTGAGCAGACCACAGGCCGAGTTCAGCAATGGTGCCAATCACTCTCAAGGCGTGCAGTTCCCTAGAAGCATTCATAAGAACTCAGCTCAGGACTTAAAGGGACCCTATCAGCTCTGAGGCCAGATGTTGTCAACTGACCTTAAATCATTGAGGTGGGATCTCTTCTCTGAAATGTTCCCTCTCCCCTTTCCCTTCTCTGCAGGGCCCCAGCCTCTTGGCTGGCCAGTGAACACTTCCAAGAACCTTCATACTTAATACCTCTATCACTCCTCCACTCAACAGGTGAGGAAACATCAGTCCAGTGAGAGTGGCATGTGTGGGGAGGAGCCCAGGCTTGCTCTGACCTCTCTCTGGGGCCCCCCACTCCAGAAGGTTGGAACAGCATTCTACAGCATTCCAGGATGTGGAGGGGGCAGCAGTGTTTGTGTGCAGAGTGGCGAGGCCGACCTCCGATGAGCTTCCCGTAGGAAGGGTGCAGTGGGGGGTGCTCACCCTGCCCAGGGATGCTATCTGCTCCAGGACTTGTTTATCAGCCCACGGGGTGATCGGCATGACATCAATGGTGAGGTTTTTTGGGTTTCGTGGTTTTGTTTTTTTCTTTTTCCTTCTAAGGAACAATTCGTTTTGGTCAAATAACTAGAGCAAAAGTGACTGGTGTTTAGACACCTCTTTCCCCAGCCTCTGGCAGTGCCATTGGAGGAACCGTCCCCTGAGGGTCATAGAGGAAGCTGTCTGGCAGCTCAGAGGGTTGCCTCTTGTCCCTGCCCAGCCCCACCGGCTTCCCCTGGCTGCCTCCCTCACATGCCAGGCTTGGGCAGCTTCCCATCACAGACCGAGGTCCAGCCAGAGAGGCCTGTGCTCAGCCCCTCCCTGGGGCCTCTCAGTCTCCCCTCTCTGCTGTCCCGCTCAAATGGTGGGGAGGGGGTAGAGTAGGACAATTCAGAGAGAGGAACTAATCCCCTCCCTCATCCCACTGGGATGCAGAGGAGGAGGCCAGGCTGAAAGGGAACCACACACATCTCCAGTCACTTCTGTCATTGCTATACTGACCCTACAGCACTTCCCATGTGCCACTGGGCCTGCAGGTCGGTATTGGCAAGGGTGAAGGTGAGGGGACGCAAAAGGGAATGCTAGGCTGTGGCGGGGAAGGGCTGGCCTGGGCTCCCAGGAGGTGAGGGGCTGAGTCCCAGGTCATGGTGGCCGGACACAGAGGCGGGTAGAAGGCCAGCAGGGCTGCCCCATCTGAGCCTGGGAGAGCCTGGGAACCCAAAGGCCCATCACAGAGGCTCGGAGGCAGCTGTGTCCACGCGAGACAGAACTTAGGCTGGACTTGGGGGTACAACCCCAGGATAAACTTGGACACATTGAAGGGCAAGCAGCTTGGCCTCTGTCCAACAGGAAACCCCCTCTGCACAAGGAGAGAGGGAATGAGCACAGAGTAGAGGTGCCATGTGTTTCCCAGGGCTTCACTGCAGACAGCATCTCCTGGGAGGTAAACTGAGGCCCCTGTGTGCAAAGCAAGAAACTAGGGCAAGCCCCTTGGGGCTAAAGGTCAAGGAACTGAAGGTTCCAATTTACCTGCCCTGGTAGTTTCTGGCAAGAGACCTCCACCGCCTTCCCTTCCAGGATATGCCAGGCTGCAGGCTACAGTGCCGAGAAGGAGAAGACGGAGGCGGTGGTGATGTCACCCAAGGAATTAAGTAAGCAGGGGAGCTGATAACATCGTCCAGCCAGGCTCACTGTGGGCAGGGTGACTCACTGAAGACGGCCTGCGATCGCCAGGTGATTGTTGTTGTGCCCAGCCTGTGGGGCTGGGGAGGAGGAAGGGGGGCAGGCCACAGAGCTGTGACAAGTTCCTCACCGAGGCCCCTGCTCAGGGGAGAGACCTCAGTACACAGTGTCCTCCACCTCTGAGCCCGGGGCTGGCTCAGGAAACAGCCCCCCTCTGCCTGTGCGATTATCTTTGTCCACAGTGTTTGGTGTGTGTTTGTGGGGTGTGTCAGGTGATTTTCCTGCCCGAAGCCTGCTGGGTGCTCCAGGTACTAGCGATTGCTCACAGCAGAGCAGTAGCCCCCTCCCTGGTTGGACAACTGTCTGTGGAGACAACACCGGATGGCAAACTGCTAACCGCAACCACGTGGCGTCCTTACAGAGGGAACAGCCTGTTCCTCCCGCTGAGGGCACCTGCAGACCTGCCCCATTCATGGCTCCCTTCTCCCTCAGTCCCTGCTGAGGGGATGGTCCCTTCCCACCCTTAAGGGCACCATGGACTGTTGTCCAAGTTGAGAACTGTCCAACTGCAGGGGGCACCATTCACTTGGCAGTCTTCGTGCCAGATGCTATGGCTGTCCACAGTGGCCCTGCCCCTTCCCTTTTGTAAATTACTTCTCAGTTCCCTCCTCCACCAGAATTATCACACCAAACTTTCCCCCATGTATGCTTGCTTCTTTATCACCTGACACTCTCATTCATTCATTCCACAAAAAAATTGTGGCGTTTGTGCAAGGTACTATTCTAGGCAAGGGAACAAGACAGACCCTCCTGGAGCTCATGGAGTTCATATTCTAGCATGGGGGAGAACCAATAAATAAATAATTGGATACATAAAACTGCAAGTGACAATAAGTGCTACAAAGAAAACTAAAGCCAGCCCAGGATAGAGGGTGATAGTGCCCTACTTCAGCTAGGACTGCCAGAAAGGCTTCTCTGTGGGGAGGTGGCCTCTGAGGGGAGACCTGGAGGCAGCAAAGGAGGAAGCCTTCCCGGCAGAGCCCCTCCCATTGGCACCCAATGCCAAAAGAAGTTTCTATAACCCGTCCTGGTTCTGCCAGGAGCCTGCGGCATGGCCTGGGGCGCTCAATTCCCAGTGCAGGGTGTCTATTTCTTCCCCCAACAAACAAGAGGCCTAGTCGCATAGTCTCTTCCAGCACAAATTCACCCACCTGTCGGCTTGAGGAACATGACAGGAATCTGGGTTGGAAGGCCAACTCAGCCACCCACAAGCTGTGTCATCTTGAGCAGGTTACTCAGCCTCTCTGAGCCAGTTTTCTTTCCTATAAAATGTCAGGGAATTGTGGAGGATTAAATGAGGTTGTGGAACTGAAACCACCTGGCACAGGTGCTATCTATGAAGTGAGTGCTTCATAGATATTTTCTGGGGCTGCGCCTAGGTGAGGTGGGGCGAGGTGGGGTGAGGTGGGGCGAGGTGGGGTGAGGTGGGGCGAGGTGGGGTGAGGTGGGGCGAGGTGGGGCCTGGGGGTGCGGTGAGGAGGCGGCTTCCACTGGAGGAGCCTGGAGAAGGCAATGCTGACCCCAAGACGCAAAGCTCTGGTGGCTGCCCAGGTCTGCAGTGGCAGGGCCCGGGGAGCTGGCCCAGGCTGGGACCCTACCTCTACCCACCCCGGGCCTGTGCACTTCCCACTGACAGCAGCCGGTGGGGCGGGCAGGGAGCTACAGTGGGGCCCCCAAGAACTGTCACTCCGCGGCCTAGCTTTCAACATCCTTTGGGGCCCAAGCCACTCAGTTCAACCTCTCTTCCTTCCTCCTTCACTCAGGCTGTTTTGAGTGAGGGCCAGCCACACTCAGACTCCAGCCATGGTGCTCCCTCTCAGCTCCAAGAGCCCAAGGCAAGGAGGTGGAAGGTTAATCAGAGTCCACCCTGGTCAACACAACTTCCCTAACACCTGATGTGAGTTTAGGCATTTAGACCCTGCCGGGAACCCAGAGGAACATGCAGGTGCTCAGCAGGTGCAGGGTGCGGGCAATAACACCAATAGCAGTAATAATAACTAGCCTTCTCGGCTGCCATGGGCCAGGTGCTTTTCATCTAAGACCTTGCTTGATGTTAATCCTGAGATGTGGGCATTTTTTATCCCCTTTCATACTTGAGGAAACTGAGGCTCCAGGAAGGAGGGGTTGTGGGGTGTCGGCGGCAGGGTTTGTGGGCCTACTTCCTGCAGGACAGGAACCTTGCAAGGCACAGGGGATCTGGAGAAGCAGAATTGGAAAGACTCGGGTGGGTGGACCAGCCTGAGGCTGGGGAAGGGCCTTGCAGGGGATTCCTGTCCCACAGATGCCTGCAGGCCCAGGTGTGAGGCCCCCAGCCCCACCACCCCAGCCCAGCCCACAGCTGCTGTGTCACAACCCCTAGAGCGGCTTGGGACTCTGAGTCTCCAACAAGCTCCCAGGTGACCTGGAAGCAGCTGGCTCAGTCTGGGAGGCCAGAGCTGGGCTGCAAAGCCCTGACAAAGCCATTTCTCAGGCCCTCCTGACTTTGAGGCAGGAAATGATCATCATGGCAGCTAATATTAATTGACACCTTACCTGCACAGTAGGTGCTGTGCTAAGCACTTTGCATATGTGAACCTACTTAACTCTCACAATAGTTCTGCGAGGAAGAGAACCTGGGCACAAAGAGGCTAAGTGACTTGCCAGTCATACAGTGCTGGCATTGAACCTGGACACCTGGCTCAAGGCCACACATCTGCCCGCAAAGCAGGATGCCTGGGGTAGGGAAGGCGGCAGGGCAGGGCCTCGAGCACTGGGTCTGAGTGCGGGGCTGGACCTGGTAGGCCCTGGGCAGCAGCAGGTTTCTGAGCAGGGGACCGGCATGCTCCCCAGGACTGGCCACATGGTGTGCGCGTGAGGGAGGCCTGGGCAGACAAGCTCAACACCACTAAGGGCTGAATGTGAAACCCTCCCGCAGGGATGTGGTTTTGACATGAGAAGGCAAAAGAAATAACGCTTCCCTCAAAGGAAAGAACTGACAAACAAAGCTGGGCGCCCATGTGTCGGGCACAAACACTAAAGGTGGAAGTTCAGACGCTAGGAAGGGCGCCCGCAGCCACTTCCTCTGCCGCCCCTCTTCCCCTGCAACAAGGCCTAGTATAGATAGGTGCACAGCTCCTGGGCCTGAGGTCTAAGGACAGCCAGCCTGGGGGACCACCTGTCTGTCCACATGTGTGTGCAAGAGGTCAGGGAGAAAGGGCCTCTGGGTGCTTGCTTGCAGGGAGTGCCTGTCCCCATCCCACCCTGCTCCTGCAGCCGAAAAGGACAGACGCCCTGACTCTAATCTGTACCTCTGGGGCCTCAAAACCACAGCCACGTCAGCCGCGCATGCATCTGGACTAGGTGGGAGGTGGGGCCACCTATGCAGGGTACGCAGGTGTGTGCCAACATGCGTGTGCAGGGCAGACATGCCCCCCCACCCCCGAGGGAGGAGGGCAAGTGGGGTGGAGGGGTCCAGAGATCCGGTGGCCGCCCGGCCCCGCTCCTTCCCCTGCCCCTGCCTCCCCTCTGAGGGGTAGCCATGGCTTTGAGGACCCCCCTTCTTCCCTCAAGCTTCTCTCTGCTCTCAGCTCCAGTGCCAGCGACAATCTAAATAAATGTCTATGGAGCACCTAAAATGGCCTGGCAAGTTCTGGGCACTTGGGAGACATCAGCGAGAAAAGTAAAGATTCCTGCCCTCGGCCGGGCGTGGTGGCTCACGCCTGTAATCCCAGAACATTGGGAGACCGAGGCGGGTGGATCACCTGAGGTCAGGAGTTCGAGACCAGCTTGGCCAACATGGTGAAACCCCGTCTCTACTAAAAATACAAAAATTAGCTGGGCGTCATGGCATCTGTCTGTAATCCCAGCTACTCAGGAGGCTGAGGCAGGAGAATTGCTTGAACCTGTGACGCAGAGGTTGCAGTGAGCCGAGATCGTGCCATTGCACTCCAGCCTGGGTGACAAAAGCGAAACTCCATCTCAAAAAAAAAAAAAAAAAAAAAAAAAGATTCCTGCCCTCTTGGGGCCCACATTTTGTTGGGGAGGCACAATAGACAGAATAAATACATTCCTTTCTTTCTGTCTTTTTTTTTTTTTTGAGATAGGGTATCCCTCTGTGACCCAGGCTAGAGTGCAGTGGCAGGATCACAGCTCACTGCAGCCTCAAACTCTTGGGCTCAAGTGAACCTCCTACCTCAACCTCCTGAGTAGCTGGGACCACCAAGCCCGGCTAATTTTCGTTTTCTTTTTTGTAGGGACGGGTCTTACTATGTTGCCCAGGCTGGCCTCAAGGGATCCTCCTGCCTCAGCTTCCCAAAGTGCTGGGATTACAGGTGTGAACCACTGCGCCCAGCCTTACATTCTATAATCCTCATGTAGGCAGTGGGTTCCATGGAAAGAAAGAGGAAGCAGATAGGGCTGGGAGATGAGGAGTGCTGGTGGGTGCGAGGGTGTGCACTCACTCGGGTCACCGTACTAAGCTGGGTGCTCCAGGGAGGCCCCATGAAGAGGCCAACATTTCAACAGGAGCTTGGGGAAGGAATAGCCAAGCAGAGTCTGGGCTAGAACATTTCAGACAGAGGAAACAGCTAGAACAAAAGGCCTGAGGCAGGAGCCTGGCCAGGACTGGGGGAAGGGCAGGCTGTTGGGGTGGGGACTAAACTGGCCCTACACCTCCAGGATTTCCAGTGCGGTCCATGTGAGGATGGCTCGGCTCATGGCTGAAATGATTCTCTAGTCTGTCGGGCAACTCAGGCTAACAGCAAAGGCCTGATTTCCAGTGGATTAAAGAGAAAGGACCCTGTAGTACCTACAGAAGAGGCCACAGGGTTCACAGAGGAACCAGTGCCCTGGGAGGAAGAGAAGGAGAGGGGTTTACATCAGAAGGAGCCCTGCTTTGGGGCCCAGTGTGGGGGCCCCTAGAGGGTGCAGGGGAGGGAGCAAAGGATGGGACCAGCTACCCTGAGGCCCGCAGGTCTCTCTAGAGGGCCAAGTCTCTGCGTTCCCAGGACCCCCACGAGCCCACCCTGGGAGCTCACTGACAGAGTGCAGTGTAGACTTCCATTCTACAGCTTGGACTCAGCTGCTACCCACAGGGAGGAAGGGAGCCTGGAACACAGCCACTTCTGCGCACCTGCGTCTGCCTGCTGGAGGCCACCAGGCCTGCTTACTAGACCCTACTGAGGCTGCTGCCCCTCCTTCTCCAAAGCACCATTAAACAACTCACGTGGGGGGCTGGGGGAGGTGACCCCAGGAGGTCTAGCCTGATGGTTGAACAGGGGCAGGGATGTGCGCCTGCATGTCCACTTTGCCCTGCAGCATGTGGGCAGCTGGCATTCTAGGAGGTAGATCCACTCGAAAGCAATCAAAGCCACGGAGTGTGTGATTCTGACAGAGGGGGTGGTGGGATGTCAGCGGTGGAGGGCTTCTTATGGCCTAGAAAAGTGAGGGGACTTCTTGCAGAAGTGGGCTTGACCTGGGCTTTTCAGGATGGGAGCAAATTTGAAGGAGGAGAGAGGATACCTCCATGTGCTCACACATTTGCACACACATTTACTCTCGTGCACACACCCAGTCCCTTAAGCCCCCCATCTATAGGTGCTCACAGCCAGCAGTATGCACACACACCTCACACACAGCCAAAGTAATGCACACAAACTCAGAAACACACACACTGGGGCATTCACACTCTTATGAGGCATGCCGATGCTACAACGGTCGCCCACATACACTCTGGGCACCAGAAACATACAGGCCCCTTAGAAATGGGCTTGGGAGAAGATGAAGATGTGTCTGCAATGCGTAAGAAGAGCAGAAGCTGACAGGTGGCAGTAGGGGGTGGAGATGGGGTGACAACAGATATGGAGACCCAGAGAAAGGCAAGACTTACAGACACACCCACGTGCAGACCACACATCCGTTACTGTCAGCTTCAGACAGACCCCGCAACCTTCCTGCCTTCAGAAAGACACTGCTTAGTAACTACGTGACACGATGCATGTCATCCAGCCTCGCCAAGGTTTGATGCTGTCTTCTATAACATGAGGATTTGATAACACCTGCTTGTCATGCCAAATTGATATCCTGTGATTTGACAGGAAAGTCCTGTCTAACTCCAAAGCACTGTTCAGAATTCAGTTACCTCTCCCACCTCCAGTGGGACGCCCCTGGCCAGGCCACCCTCCCACCAGTCTCCCTGCCTCTTCTTGCTCCCACTATAGTCTTTGGCCTACCCTGCAGCCACTGCTCTCCTCCTCCACGCCAGCCTCTGTGATTTCATCTTATTCATAGTAAAAGACAAATTCCTTTGTGGGGGCGGGTAGTGGGGATGCTTCCTGATCTGCCCTCCCTAGTTCCCTTATCTCTCCCCTTCTTCCCTCCGCCAGCCACCCGGGACCCCTCACCACCCCTCACTCACCTGAGACGTGCTCCCCTCTCGGCGCCCTTGCACTAGCTGTTCTCTGCCTGGAACATCCCCAGGGCTCCTCCTTTAGGATTTACTCAGATGACTTCCTCTCAGTGAGGCCTTCCCAGGCCGCCCTAGCGAACACTGGGCCCTCACCACAGAACTCTCTAGCCCCCTACCGTTTTTTTTTCCTTCTCCTTGGCCTCTTTACTTCCCAACACAATACGTATTTTATTTGTTTGCCTCATTTATTGTCTGTCTCTCTTGTCAAAACGAACTCCATAGGGGCAAGGACTTTTGTCTGTTTTATTCTCAGCTGTGATCCCTGGCTCTCAGAGCAGAGCCTGACTCATAGGACTCAATAAAGATTAAGTGAATGAATGACTGAAATGAGACAGCAAATCAGTAAGCATTTATAAAGCACGATTAAGAAATAGAAGCGGGGCTGGGCGCAGTGGCTCACGCCTGTAATCCTTGCACTTTGGGAGGCCGAGGTGGGCGGATCACCTGAGGTCAGGAGTTTGAGACCAACCTGGCCAACATGGTGAAACCCTGTCTCTACTAAAAATACAAAATTAGTAGAGCGTGGTGTTGCACGTCTCTAGTCCCAGCTACTCGGGAGGCTAAGGCAGGAGAATCGTTTGAACCCGGGGGGCAGAGGTTGCAGTGAGACCAGATTGTGCCACTGCACTCCGGCCTGGGCGACAAAGTGAGGCTCCATTCCCCGCCCTCCCAAAACAAAAAATAGAAGGGGAGGGACCAACCCTGAATGAGGCATCACCATGTTCCAGGAAATTGCAAGCACAATATTCCCTTATTCTCCATCAACCCTGGGGAATCATTCCCATTTTACAGATAAGAAGATGAGATCAGAAAGGGGATGACCTATGGTGGTTGTAGATTGTCTGCGAAGATGGTCACTGACAATTCCTCTCCTCTCTGTATTAGAATGCTGTTCTTCCCTTCAAAAGGTGGAGCCAGTTCCGCACCACACACACACACATACACACACACACACACACACACACACCTGCATACCCCCACCTCTTCCTTGGCTCTAGGCTGCCCTTGTGACTTGCTCTGACCAATAGAATGTGGCAAAAGTGATGCTGTGTCGGTTCTGGCACAGGCTTTAAGAGGCCTATGCCTAGGCTTATACAATTTTTGGAATTCAAAGCAAAATGAAAATGTGGAGCCCCTTATTCAAAAAGCAAGATAAACATTGTTAGAGGCACTAAAATATAAAGCTTTCTCTTTTGATAGTCTCTCTCCCTTAACTCACCATGGTGTTTTTAACTTGCTATTTAATGCTACCCTAATAAAAAAGCTAAAATTTGAAAATGTTACTATGAATTTTGCTGTTCAACTTTATATGGTGCAAAGCCAGTTTTAAATGCAAAAAGAGCATTTAGCTCATATGTACAATCATCAGAATTATGCAATTCATATTTCATAGGTCATACATGCATATATATTTCATTCCTACCAGAAGAGTGGGAACACCACACAAAACTAACAACTTTTTTTTTTAAATTTTTTATTTTTTAGACAGAGTTTCATTCTTGTTACCCAGGCTGCAGTGCAGTGGCGCGATCTCGGCTCACTGCAACCTCCACCTTCAAGCAATTCTCCTGCCTCAGCCTCCTGAGTAGCTGGGATTACAGGTGTGTGCCACCACACTTTACTAATGTTTTTTTTTTTTTTTTTTTTAGTAGAGACGGGGTCTCACCATGTTGGCCAGACTGGTCTCTAACTCCTGACCTCAGGTGATCCACCTGCCTCGGCCTCCCAAAGTGCTGGGATTACAGGCATAAGCCACCGTGCCTGGCCAAAACTAACACCTTTTAATTTCTCTTCTTGCTATGCATATATTCTACCAACACTCTCTTCCTTTGGTTTACTGATGAGTAAGGACAGATGAAAAGAAAAGGAATGATCTGTACAGAGATGAGAGACCAGGAACAGGGTGGACATGCATTTTATGGACTTCCTCTGCTCATGCACATGCACCATTGTCTTAACTTACAAAACACAACACCATGGGCAGGGCGCCATGTCTTGTGCCTGGAGTCCCAGCACTTTGAGAGGGTGAAGAGGGAGGAAGCCCAGGGGCTCGAGACCAGCTTGGGCAGCATAGCAAGACCCTGACTCTACAGAACATTTAAAAATTAGCCAGGCATGGTTATGTGCACTCGTAGTCCTAGCTACTTGGCAGACTGAGGCAGGAGGATCCCTTGAGCCCGAGAGTTTGAGGCTGCCATGAGTTATGATCACACCACTGCACTCCAGCCTGTGTGACAAAGTGAGACCCTGTCTCAAAACACACACACACACACGCAAAATTCCCTGCAACACTATGTAGAGAAAAAGTGAGCTGTCCTGTCAATCCCTGCCCAAATTTTAGAATCGTGAGCAATAAACAGTTGTTATTTTGAGCCACTAGGTTTTGTGGTGGCTTCTTACACAGAAGCTGATGACTGATGTAATGGTTGAGATCACAAAGCTAGTAAAAGACCAGGCTGTGGTTGAACCCACATTGGTCTGAATCTCAAGTTCACACTCCTCTCTACCCCACCCAGGTTTCCTTACAAAGCTTTCATAGTGTTACTCCTTCTCTACTCCATGGTGAGTTGGTAAGTTTAGGGTTGAGCTAGGGGGTGAAGGTTGCTTCGCTGCAACAAATCAAAATTATTATTAGAACTTGGAAGAAGCCACATCTGGACTTGATGTGGCGGACAGGAGGTTGGTGGACGGGTCAGGGCTGAGAACAGGCCCAGCCTCTGTCCAGGGTGAATCTGGGCCCAGCGGGGTACTGGGACATCTGTTTTCCATCCTGATTCGGAAACTAAAGCTGCTTTCCTCTGCCTACCCCATCCTCCACCTCTGCTGACCCTACAGGAAATGGGAGTTGGAAATCTGGCTGGCCAGCAGCGGCGCCTCCTCCGATGGGAGCTCTCTGCCTGCCACAAGATTCAGAGTGCAAGGGCCTCGGGCCGCCTGTGCTTCTGCACACTCTCTCCCTCTTCCCCACTGAACCAGCGGCGAAGGGAATTCTCAGGGTCCCCCTTGGTCAAGGAGTCAGGTTTTCCCCTTTTAACTGATGGCTGTTGTTCCTGCTGCAGCTATTAGCATACCAAATTAGTAAGGATATTTTAGCGACAAGAAACAGAACTCCTATTCAATTGGCTTAGACAAGAAGAAAAGTGTGTTATCTCACAGTGATAAAATTCCTTTTTGAGATGGAGTCTCGCTGTGTGGCCCAGGCTGGAGTTCAGTGGCGCTATCTCGGCTCACTGCAAGCTCCGCCTCCCAGCTTCACACCATTCTCCTGCCTCAGCCTCCTGAGTAGCTGGGACTACAGGCGCCCGCCACCACACCTGGCTAATTTGTGTATTTTTAGTAGTGATGGGATTTCACCATGTTGGCCAGGCTGGTCTCGAACTCCTGACCTCAGGTGATCCACCCGCCTCAGCATCCCAAATTGCTGGGGTTACAGGTGTGAGCCACCACACCCAGCCTTTCCTCTGTATTTTAAATCATCTTTAGATTACTTTAAATACCTAATTATAATGTAAATGGTATGTACATAGTTGTTACAGTACATAAATGTACACACTATATTGTTCAGGGAATAATGACAAGAAAAAAGTCTGTGTATTCAGTACAGACACAACTTTTTTTCAAAAACTTTTTTTTGAGACAGGGTCTCCTGTCTCCCAGGGTGGAGTGCAGTGGTGTAATCTTGGCTTACTGCAGCCTCTGCCTCCCTGACTCAAGTAATCCTTCCATCTCAGCCTCCCAAGTAGCTTGAACTACAGGTGTGCGCCACCACACCCAGCTAATTTATTTTTGTATTTTTAGTAGAGATGGGGTTTCACCATGTTGCCCAGGCTGATCTTGAACTCCTGGGCTCAAGCGATCTGCCTGCCTCAGCCTCCTCATATTTTTTCAATTTTTTTTTTTTTTTTTTTTTTTTGACAGTCTCACTCTGTTGTCCAGGCTGGAGTACAGTGGCGCAATGTCAGCTCACTGCAACCTCTGCCTCCTGGGTTCAAGTGATTCTCCTGCCTCAGCCTCCCAAGTAGCTGGAAATACAGGCGTGCATCATCATGCTCAGATAATTTTAGTATTTTTAGTAGAGACGAGGTTTCACCATATTGACCAGGCTGGTCTTGAACTCCTGGCCTCAAGCAATCTGCCCGCCTCAGCTTCCCAAAGTGCTGGGATTACAAGCATGAGCCACCGCACCCGGCCCGCAAATGTTTTTGATAGCAGTTGGTTGAATACACAGATGAGGAACCCACAGACACTGAGGGCCGACTATATAAAAACTCAGGGATTGAGGCAGAGACTTTGCTTCCTCATCTGAGCACCTGTTGAGGTTGTTAAGAGCATCAGTGTCAGAGTTAGGCAGACTTAGGTCTGAATTCTGACCCTGTCCCTTTCTGGTTTTCTGATCTTATTCAGGTTGTTTAATCCTCCTGTAACACAATTTCTTTGTAGGTAAAATGAGGATAATACCCATCCCTGGACTGTTTTATTAACCAATACATTGCCTGGCATATAGAAAAGGGTGAAAAAGGCCGGGCGCGATGGCTCACACCTGTAATCCCAGCACTTTGGGAGGCCAAGGTGGGCGGATCACCTGAGGACAGGAGTTCAAGACCAGCCTGGCCAACATGATGAAACCCCATCTGTACTGAAAATACAAAAAAAATTAGCTGGGTGTGGTGGTGCATGCTTGTAATCCCAGCTACTCAGAAGGCTGAGACAGGAGAATCATTTGAACCTGGGAGGCAGAGGTTGCAGTGAGCTGAGATTGTGCCACTGCACTCTAGCCTGGTGACAGAGCAAGACTCCCTCTCAAAAATAAAAATAAAAAATAAAAAAAAGAGAAAAGAAAAAGGTGAAAAAATATTTTAAGCATGTGGAACCATGTGACCCAATCTGGCTATCTCCTTCTGCAATGCCACCCTCCTCTTCTTCCTGAGTCCATCTCTCTCCTCCCAGTTCAATCCTCAGTCCCCAGCTTTAGGCTCTCCCCTCTTAGATCCCTCCCACCCCTTACCCACAGCACTCCTTGTCTGGGCTTCCCCACCTAGCACCTAGACAGGGTGTCCCATCCACATTTCAGACAAGGCAACAAGATTCCTCCATGGCTGCCCATGCCTCAGAATCACTGCTTATCAAGCCCAGATGTGTCCACACTCCAGGCCCCCCTTCCTTGCCATCCCCATGAATACTGACTTCTTTGTACTTACTTGTCAGGGTTCTTGGTTGCAAGCAACAGAGAACTAACTCACGGACTTCTAGGGCTGGCTAGAGAGCCAGGCTCACAGCAACCAGGGAGGGCTGGACGGCAGCCAGAACCCCAGCCCAAATCACGCCTTGAGGACAGACCAGGGAGGACAACTGAGTAACCAACCTGAGGACTGGCCCTGCGGCCCCACTGCCCCGACACCTCCCTCCTGCTGCTGCTGCTGCCTCCACTTGGGGCAGATGCACTCCATCTCTGCTTCTTTGTGTCTTCTGCCTGAGTCAGGGTTGCTGAATGTGTGTGTCTGATTGGCTGAGCCAGGTCACAAGCCTGCAGCAACTGCAAGGGAGGCTGGGAAAGTGAGGCCTGGTGCCTAGAGTCTGCCTCTTGGGGAGACTCACAAGGTCAGGAAGGTTCCAGACAGAGGCCAGAGAGTCTGGAAAACATAAAGGTGGGCCAGGCGCAGTGGCTTACACCTGTAATCCCAGCACTTTGGGAGGCCGAGGCAAGAGTATCACCTGAGGTCAGGCTTTCAAGATCGGCCTGGCCAACATGGTGAAACCCTGTCTCTACTAAAAATGCAAAAAATAGCTGGGTATGGTGGTGCGTGCCTATAGTCCCAGCTACTCGGGAGGCTGAGGCAGGAGAATCGCTTGAACCCAGGAGATGGAAGTTGCAGTGGGCCAAGATCATGCCACTGCACTCCAGCCTGGGCCAAAGAATGAGACTCCGTCTCAAAAAAACAAAACAAAACAAAACAAAAAAACATATAAAGGTCCCCTCTGCTGGGTAAGAAACCATTTGCTCCTGGGGCAGGGCCTGTGTCTGCCTATCCCAGCCCCCACCCCAGCCTCAGGAGTGGCTGTGCTCTCAACAGGGCGCAGGAAACCTTCCTCAGGTGAGGGGTCCCAGAATTAGAGACCACGGGAGCTGGAGGGGCCATATAGGGGCATCTCTACAAAAGAAGTCCGTGGACTAACATTCAACCACCCAGTTTTTATTTTGTCAAGTAAGAATATCAGAGAAATAATAAACCATTTTTTTTTCTTTTTTGAGACAAGATCTCGCTCCGTCACCCAGGCTGGAGTGCAGTGGTGCAATCTCAGCTTACTGCAACCTCCGCCTCTTAAGGCTTAAGCAATCCTCCCACCTCAGCCTCCCAAGTAGCCGGGACTACAGGTGCACGACACCATGCCTGGCTAATTTATTTATTTATTTTTTTGTTGCCCAGGCTAGCCTCGAACTTCTGGCCTCAAGTGATCCTCCTACCTCAGCCTCCCAAAGTGCTGGGACTGCAGACATGAGCCTAGGCTAACAAATCACTTTCTCCTGGCACCATCATTTCATCAAAAAAGAGACAAGCGACATCTTAAACACCAAAAAAATAAAAAGAGAGGAGAGCAGGTTTTAGAATAGAGCATAATCCTTTAAGCTAAATACATATTGGCTTTAAGAAAACTCATTATATTGCCCTGAATTTCCAGGACTTTTCAGGACTTTTGCTGGAAACCTGTGAAAAGATCATGACACAGCTGAACTTGAATATGGGCTGTGGATTAGAGAATAGTATTGGATCAATGCTGAGTTTCCCGTGTCTACCATGCAGGAGTTACGTAAGTCTTGCACTGTAAAAGAGCATCCTTGTTCTTAGGAAATACACCCTGAAGTATTTAGAGGTAAAAGGGCATGATGTCTGCAACTTATTCTTAATTGGGAAATTTCAGGAAAAAATTACACATACACACATCCACATTCACACACATAAACATATATAAAGAAAAATAAAGTAAAAGGGGTAAAATGTAAACAATTAGTATATCTGCAAAAAAGTTATACTAGAGTCTTTGTAGTATTGTTGCAACTTTTTGGTAAATTTGAAATTATGTCAGAATTAAGTTACCCAAAAAAATGTTAGCAGTGAGTTAGCAGTGAGCCTCAGGGTTGGTTTTCCCTTGGTACATTACCTATTTTGGAAGTGTTTGAAGTTTTATGAGCATGTATGATGTTTGTAGTCACAAAGAAGAAAGACCAAAATTACAAAAATTAAAGCGAAAAAGAAAAGGCCATGAAAGACTCAGTCTAGCTTTTTTTTTTTTTGAGGCAGAGTCTCACTCTATTGCCCAGGCTGGAGTGCAATGGCGTGGTCTCGGCTCATTGCAACCTCCACCTCCCGGATTCAAGTGATTTTCCTGCCTCAAAGGCACCTGCCACCACACCTGGCTAATTTTTGTATTTTTAGTAGAGATGGGGTTTCACTATGTTGGCCAGGCTTGTCTCGAACACCTGACCTCAGGTGATCCACACGCCTCGGCCTCCCAAAGTTCTGGGATTACAGGCGTGAGCCACCGCGCCTGACCCAGTCTGGCATTCGACACTTGCTGATCTGGCCTAAGTTCCCATTCTACAGGAAAGGAAACTGAGGCCCAGGCAGGGCTTGCAGCTTGCTCAGTGGCACACAGTAAGTATCGTCAGTGAGGACTTGGCCAAGGCTGCTCCCAGCACAATTCCTTCCATGCGAGGATGTTGCCCATGAAGCAGAGTGTAGGTCTCAAGGGTAAGTAGGGCCAGGCAGGACTGGACAGGACGTTGGGACTTGTCCCTTCGAGAATGCCAGGTCCCATAGGGATGCATTTCTTCGACATTTTACCCCGATACGTTCCCTTCAAGCCAAGGAGGATGATCAAGAATTGCTCCCTACACGTTTACCTATTTCTCATATGGGGAAACTGAGGCCCTGAGAGGTTCCGGGACTTGCCTGAGATCGTACTGCAAGCAAATTCCAGGCTGTAAAGTTGAGTTGTAGTGTAATTGGCCAGATCTGGCTAAGTTGCCTCAAGCCCAAGTTAGAAAGGAATAAAGGAAAGGGCGAGGCCGTAAGAACAGGAGGGAAAAGGGAGGGGAAACCCTGCAGTGTCAGAGTTGGGAGATCCTCGTTCCCTGAGCCCTTTCACTCTTCATGTGGATTAAATTCGCTTGAGTTTAGAAGAGGAAGAAACAGTGTTTTGCAGGTGCACCATGTCCCACAGCTTCAGGAGGCATCACTCACATGACAGTCTAGGAAAATAGAGCCTCCTGGAGTTGTGCAGTGGACAGTCTGTACAGCTATCCATGGCAGCTCTGAGAAAGTCATCTGTTGTTGTTTGTGGGGGGATGTTCGGGTAGGAAAGGGGAGTAATTAATTCACTGTCGCCTGAATTAACCAGTGACTGATTCCATCAGTTCGATCAACCACTGTTTATTGCCATAGATTGTATGCCAGGTACCACGCTAGGGGTTGGGGCTTCCCAGGCTTGACATATACTCAAGGGAGGAGCCGCAGGTGGGAGCAGGGGAGAAAGGAAGGCCTCCCAGAACAAAAACCCACAAACCACCCCCTACCATTCCTCCTTCCCCTCGGCTCAGCCTTCTCCATTCTTCAGGCCTCCTAGGAAAAGCCCTCATGACTCCTCCAGGCCCCTCCTCCCACAGTTGCATAGAACATCGGGTTCTCTGCTCTTTCTGTGTCTCCACCAGGTGGTGGGAGCTTCTTGGGCTCCAGGATGCAGTGCAGTTCTTCTTCTTCTTATTATTATTTTATTATTATTATTATTATTATTATTATTATTAGAGAAAAAGTCTCGCTCTGTCTCCCAGGCTGGAGTGCAGTGACTCCCGGGCTCAAGCGATTCTCCTGCCTCAGCCTCCCAAGTAGCTGGGATTACAGGCGCCCACCACCACACCTGGCTAATTTTTGTACTTTTAGTAGAGATGCGGTTTTGCCCTATTGGCCAGGCTGGCCTTGAACTTCTGATCTCAGTTGATCTGCCCGCCTTGGCCTCCCAAAGTGCTGGGATTACAGGCGTGAGCCACTGCACCCGGCCTTTTTTGTTTGTTTGTTTTTAAGAGACAGGGTCGAGGTCCGTCACCCATGCTGGAATATAATGGTGTGATCATGGTTCACTGCAGCCTCAAACTCCTAGGCTTAAGCAATCCTCCTGTCAGCCTCCTGAGTAGCTGGGACTACAGGTATGTGACACCATACCTGACTAATTTTTTTATTTTTTGTAGAGATGGGGGGGGTCTTGCTATGTTGCCCAGGCTGGTCTTGAACTTCTGGCCTTGAGCGATCCTCCTGCCTCAGCTTCCCAAATTACTGGGATTGCAGGCATGAGCCACCACACCAGGCCTTCAGTGGAGTTCCTTCCCCAACCAAGCACCTAAAATTCATTCATCCATTCATTTAGTCATTCATTCGTTTGTTTTACTTCTTTTATTCCACAGGCATTTGTCTATCTGTTTGCTAACTAGATTTTTTTAAATTAAAAAAGAGATATGCACTTATAATTAAAAAATAAAATTAGGCCAGACGTGGTGGCTTACGCCTGTAATCCCAGCACTTTGGGAGGCGGAGGCTGGCAGATCACCTGAGGTCAGGAGTTCAATATCAGCCTGGCCAACATGGTGAAATCCCGTCTCTACTAAAAATATGAAAACTAGCTGGGCATGGTTCCACACGTCTATAATCCCAGCTACTCAGGAGGCTGAGGCAGGAGAATCACTTGAACCCAGGAGGCAAAGGTTACGGTGAGCCGAGATCATGCCACTTTACTCCAGACTGGGCAACAGAGCAAGACTCCATCTCAAAAAAAAATTAAAAGTAAAAAATTAAATTAAACAGAGCAAGCAAACAGTTCCCCTCTCAGAAACAACTATTCTTCTCAATTTCTGAGTCTTCTTCCAAGTATTTCTAGGCAGTTCCTAGTATATAACTATAAATAAACACAAACATATGTGTGTGGTGTGTATTGTTTTCCTTTTTTCACAAAAGAAATCATACATTACACACAGCTCTGCACCTTGAATTGTTTTCACTTAATTCTGTATTGAGGTATTTGTTCCATATCAACACGTGCACACCTTTCATGGCTGTGAACTATTCCAGATTGTGATGTCTTGCCATCTGTGTCAGTTGTCTGTCAGTTGATATCTAGTCTGTTTCCAGTTTTTCACAGCAATGAAAGTCTTTCTACAGGCATCTTTGTATATCTGTGAGTGTATCTGGAGCTCAGCTTCCTTGAAGTGTAATTGATGGGGCAAAGGAATGAGCAATTCGCATTATGATAGATATCATCCAATAGTCCTCTAAAAATTTGCACCAAATTGTACAAAAAATCACTTTTTGGTCTCTGCCAATCTGAGATATGAAAAAAACAGTATCTCATTTTAATTTGCATTCTTTATGATGAGAGATGTTAGCTTTTTTTTTTTTTCATGTTTCCAAATCATTTGTATTTCTGTCTCTCTCTCTCACTTCTCTTTAACAATATTCAAGGAGCCACCCTCGGCCAGGCTGTTCGTTCTTTAAGTCACATAGGCAGTGTCTGGGGCCTATCAAAATTTTATGCTCCTGCAAAAAGGTTTGAGACTTGGAAGGTGAGAGGGGACATACTGGCTTCATTTTTTTTTTTTTTTTTTTTGAGACAGAGTCTCACTCTGTTGCCCAGGCTTGAGTACAGTGGCGTGATCTCTGCTCACTGCAATCTCCACCTCCCAGGTTCAAGTGATTCTCGCCCCTCAGCCTCCTGAGTAGCTGGGATTACCAGACACTCACCCACCACACCCGGCTAATTTTTGTATTTTTAGTAGAGACAGGGTTTCACCATGTTGGCCAGGCTCGTCTCAACTCCTGACCTCAAGAGATCCACCCGCCTCAGCCTCCCAAAATGCTGAGATTACAGGCGTGAGCCACCGTGCCCAGCCCAAAGTATTTTTTAAAAACCAGAAAATGAAAACGAAAATTATGTCATTTAATGTCAATAAACCATAATTGTATGACAACTTCATTAATTGGAAAGCCTGGAAATCATGACTATTTCATTACATTTTAAAGCTATTGGTTGGTTTAGATGTTCTCATTTCAAAGAAGTCTCAAGTTTGCATGATGCTTTTTAAGAAATTAGAGTCAATCTTTGTTTTTTTTTTATTGTGATGGAGTTTCACTCTTGTTGCCCAGGCTGGAGTGCAATGACGCGATCTCAGCTCACTGCAACCTCCGCCTCCCAGGTTCAAGCGATTCTCCTGTCTCAGCCTCCAGAGCAGCTGGGATTACAGGCACGTGCCACCATGCCCGGCTAATTTTGTATTTTTAGTAGAGACCGGGTTTCTCCATGTTGGTCAGGCTGGTCTCGAACTCCTGACCTCAGGTGATCCGCCTGCCTCGGCCTCCCAAAGTGCTGGGATTACAGGTGTGAGCCACCGTGCCTGGCCCAGAGAGCTTTCTATCCACAAACAAGCCAACATTTCAACAAAAGTAGGAGACAGTGAAGGAGTTCAGATCTAAGTCTTGGGCTAGCCAAGGACCCCTGACTTCCCTCCCAACCCCCAAGTGTCAAAAAGAAGAAACCCTCTTGTGCCTCACCCCCCAAGCCCCAGCCTAGTGGCTCAGCACTGGACACCGGGATTTGGGGAAAGCTGGTGCAGGGAAGGATGGGTGGAAGTGATGCTCTCTGTGGTCTTAGGACCAGTCTGGGTTGAAGGTGAGGGAGGAGAGAGATAGAGATAGGGAGGAAAAGGAACAAATTGCCCCCACATGACAACTTGAAACTGCAGAACAAAACGTTTTTCTCTTTCATACTCTCTCCCTCTTTTAAAGGGAAATAGAGCTCATTTCTTGAAAGGGACCATCTGGGAGTCTAAGTCACAAGTGTGAAGATTTTAAGACTGGGTGGTGAGTAATTCAGCACCTACCACCTCCTCCCTGTCTGCTTTCCCTCCCATCTGAAACTCAGAAGGGAAAGGGCAGAGAGGACCAGAGGACATCCCACCACCTGCCAGCAGGAAATGGTATCAGAACCATGCGCGCGTGCACGTGTGTGTGTGTGTCTGTGTGTGTGTGTGTGTGTGTGTGTGTCTATGTATGTGTGTGTGTCTGTGTGTACACCTGTGTGTGCATCTGTGTGTCTGTGTGTGTCCGTGTGTGTCTGTGTACGTGTGTGTCTGTGTGTCGATGTGTCTGTGTGTGTCTGTGTATGTGTGTGTATGTGTCTGTGTTTGTGTGTGTGTGTGTCTGTGTGTGTGTGTGTCTGTGTCTGTGTGCATCTGTATATGCGTCTGTGTATCTGTGTGTGCTGTGTGTCCGTGTGTGTGTCTGTGTGTGTGTCTGTGTACATGTGTGTCTATGTATGTGTCTGTGTGTGTGTCTGTGTGTATGTGTGTGTGTGTGTGTGTGCATGCATGCATGCATGTGCATATACATTATCCCTCTCCCCTAATAGTCTGTATCCCCGATCCTTAGCACAGGGCTTGGCACTGAGTTATGCTCAGTAAAGATCTATGAAATGCAGCTGAACTGCATGGCACACTGGAGTCAGGTGAGCCTGCTCTGGAATCCCACTTGTGCTCTTTACTAGCTGTGTGACCTGGGGCAAGTTGCTGTCCTATTCTGAGTTCAGTTTCTTCATTTCTAAAAAACAAACAAAAAAATGCATAAGAAAACCTAGCCTGTGGGGACATTCTGCAGATTGAATGAAATGAAGTGGGTAGGGTGCCTCAGCTTGAGGCAGGAGGGCAGCGAGAGAAGAGGCCACGGGCCACGGGCAGAGCAGGAGCAGTGTCTGCCTGGGTGAGAGGGTGCTTGTCGGGAGGAGGAGAGGGAGGCTGTGCAGGCAAGGCTGCCTGCTGGACAGAGGACTTGGAGCTACCCTGGGAAGCATCTGTAGGGAGCCATTGTAGGTTCTACAGCAGGGGAGGGACCAGAGGATGGGAGGTGGCTGGGATCCCCTGGTTGCCACCATCTTCCATGGCTACAGCCTGGACCCCACATGTGCTTATTGCTCCTTCCTCCCTCTGTGCACCCCTAACTCAGTCCAGGGAGTGCACAGAAGAAGAGGAGCCAATAAAACACATTTAAAAAAATAAGTCATTATTATTACTTTAATTTGACTTCTAGGCACCTTCTTATTCAAGACACAGTTGTGGCTGGGCTCAGTGGCTCACACCTGTAATCCTAGCACTTTGGGAGGCTGAGGCAGGTGGATCACTTGAGGTCAGGAGTTCAACACCAGCCTGGCCAACATGGCGAAACCCTGTCTCTACTAAAAATACAAAAATTAGTTGCGTGTGGTGGCATGTGCTTGTAGTCCTAGCTACTCGGGAAGCTGAGGCAGAAGAATCATTGGAACCCAGGAAGCGGAGGTTGCAGTAAGCTGAGATTGCACCACTGCACTCCAACCTGGGCGACGCAGAAAGACTGTCAAAAAAAAAAAGAGACACAATTGCATTTCACAGTGAAAAACACAAAGCCTCTCCAATGTATTCACACACATTTAGAGCAGAATTTGATTCCAATACTCTAATCAATGAACATCTAGCAAAGTGTGGTGAATATTACTGATGCAGTAATGGGAAAATGCTAAAGTAACAGTCTGAATAGTTTTGTGCATCCTGAGTTTTCTGAACTAAGACTTTTTTTTTTTTTTTGAGATGGAGTCTCTCTCTCACTCTGTTGCCCAGGCTGGAGTGCAATGGCGTGATCTCAGCTCACTGCAACCTCCATCTCCCAGCTCCAAGCAATTCTCCTGCCTCAGCCTCCTGAGTAGCTGGGATTACAGGCACACACCACCACACCCGGCTAATTTTTGTATTTTTAGTAGAGACGGGGTTTCATCATATTGGTCAGGCTGGTCTCGAACTCCTGACCTCATGATCCACCCGCCTCGGCCTCCCAAAGTGCTGGGATTACAGGCATGAGCCACCGTGCCCGGCGACTTTATTTTTAATTAAAAGCAAAACTTACATTTTCTTTTCTTTCTTTTTTTTTCTTTTCTTTTTCTTTCTTTTTTTTTTTTTTTTTTTTTTTTTGATGCAGAGTCTCACTCTGACATCCAGGCTGGAGTGCAGTGGCATGATTTTGGCACACTGCAACCCCGGCCTCCCAGGTTCAAGCAATTCTCCTGCCTCAGTCTCCCTAGTAGCTAGGATTACAGGTGCCCGCCACCAGGCCTGGCTAATTCTTAGTAGAGACAGGGTTTCACCATGTTGTCCAGGCTGATCTGGAACTCCTGACCTCAGGTGATCCACCCTCCCCGGCCTCCCAAAGTGCTGGGATTATAGGCATACAGCACCTCGCCCAGCCAAAACTTACATTTTCAAAAGAAGTTTGCCTCTCCAAAAAAACCAGATTAGATAGCTTCTAAACTATATTAAATAAGACCAAATAAAGATTTTAATTATTATCAAACAAAAGTGAGTAATTCGGGGAAACATCACCTCCACAAATGTCGAGCCAATTCAGGTGTTGCTGGTAGAATCCTAAAGAGTGATGTCTCTGGTTCCTGTGAACAATGTCCACAGTCCACACCCCTCGAGGACACAGCTCAGCTCCCACCAAGGGACCATGGCTGGGAGGAGAGCAACAGAGCGTGATCCCAAGGCCGCAGTACAGCTAAGGGCTCTCCAGAACCTGGGCAGGAAGCCCTACACTCTGCCCTCCTCACTGGGTGATGTGGATGCCTCTGAGCTGCGGCTTTCTCCCTTCTAGTGGAATAACAATTGCTGACCTCACAGAGTTGCTCTGAGGATGAAAGGAGAGCATACACGCAAAGCACTTAGCATCATGCCTGCTAACAGATCAATGCACGACTGTTATTAACTCAGAGCAGTGACAAGGGCGAGAGAAGATCAGGTAAATAGGACACACGGTGCAGAGAGTGAGGGAGTGTCAGAGGCAGGGGAGGGCAACACCCAGGCAGCCCTAGCTTCTACCTACCTGGACTATCCACTTGCAGCCAGGGAAGAAGACCCCATGGAAGGAGGGGGTGATGGAGGGGCTCAGATATTTGATAAGATGGGAGGTCATCCTTGATCTGCTTCCCTCCTCCCCTCTCACCTCCAACCCTGCCTGGCCCACTTCTGAGGGTGATCAGGCAGGGCACACCATGGGCCAGCGGAGCCTTGGAGGGTTCCAGAGCTGTGCCTCCCACACAGGGGCTATGCTGGGAGGCAGGAGGTAGGGCTGCAGGTGTGAGGCAAGGCAGCTGGGATTCCCCCATCGATCAGCAGGAACCCAGGCACACCCCACCCCGGTTACCTGGGGGCCACAGGCTGCTCCATTTGAAGTGTGGGCTCTCTCTGCAGATAGGCCAGCCGGGCCCTCCCTAGAGGCTAGGCACCTGAGCAGGTATGGGATAGGGATGGGGGTGGGTGCGGGGATTTGCAGGCTGTCGCTTCTAAAAATAGAGCCCCGCAGCCTGGGAGCCAGCCAGGTGTGGTTGCCACACAGCCTCCCAAACTGGCTGATAGGCACATGTCAATTCTGGGCCTGCACAGGCACACAAACTCCTTGGCACAGAACCCAGTGGACACTCCTATCCACCAAAGACAGACACTTGAGTCTGAACACCCATGTCCTGACTTAGACCTGGCCCTGTTCCTGTACAGGCCCCTTCTCCACAGGCTCTCACCATCCTCACACTCACTCACACTCCCTGACACTCACAGGCCCTGCAGCCTCCTAGGTCTCCCTGGCTGGGACATCTGCCTCCTGGGGGCAGGGGCCATTGGTTTTGTTCACTGCTATCTCTCCAGTGCCTGCAATGGTGTCTGGCACGTGCCAGTGCTCAGGAAATGTTTGTTCTATAAATGAATGCCACACACACTTGCACACACACACACAGACACACATTCCATGATTAATTACCCCACCCTCACCCCCCCCACCCTGGCGCTCTGAGTTCTCTGAGGCCCTGGAGGGAGCGGCACCTGGAGGTCTGTCCCTCTCTGACCAGGTGAGCCCCTCGAACCCATTGTCCAGGCAAGGGAGGGTGGGAGGTGGCCCAGGGAAGCAGAGCTTTGGGAAGCAGCAGCTTTGAGCCTATGTGTGGAAGGTGAGCGGGGATCCTGGTGTTCTACAGGAAGAACCTCCCGCGGGGGCCACAGCACCATGCTGAAATTCTGAGTGGGAAAAGGTCTGGCTGGGTCCATGTCATGGGTAATCCCTTTTGGGAGAAAGCCCGGGTTTCCCACAGGCTGAGCCTGGCTGCAACAAATTGAGACCTATGAGTAGAGCATGTGGTGGCCGCAGAGCCCATGGGTGGGTGGTCAGGGAGTCCTCCCTGGAGGAGAGGAACCTTGTCCAGGTGAGAGACAAGAGGACCATCTGGGAACAGGACTGAAAGGGGAATCTGAAGCTGTTGGTGTGATTATTTCAGGACTGGCAAGGATGCATCAGATCTGTTTTAGGAGTTCATGACACCCTCCAGAGTGAGGCAGAGGCGCACCGGGCAGGCTCACACACTAGGGATTGGGCAGGCCCAAGTTGCAGCCACAGGGGCTATTGAGGGGCCAGAGTGAAGCCCCTGATCATAGCCTGCATCAGACCACTCAAGAATGAGGTGCCTGGGGGAACAGGCAGGTGACGGAGGGGACCAGAGACAGACAGGGGGCCAATGGGAGGCCAAAAGGATAGACTAACAGATGGACTGAAAGATGGAGGAAGACAGATGGACAAACAGACTAACAGATGGACAGAAAGGCAGAGGAGGACGGACGGACAAATGGATAGACGGATGGACAAATGGATAGACTCACAGATGGATCAAAAGGCAGAGGAGGATGGACGGACAGACAAATGGACAGACTAACAGATGGACTGAAAGATGGCTGAGGACAGACAGACAAATGAATAGACTAACAGACCGAAAGGTGGAGGAGGATGGACGGACAAACGAATAGACTAACAGACAGACCGAAAGGTGGAGGAGGACAGATGGACAAATGGATAGACTAACAGATGGGCTGAAAGGCAGAGGAGGATGGATGGACAAATGGAAAGGCAGAAATGGGTGGATGAAGGAATGGACATTTGGAGTGGGGATGGATGGAGGTTGGAGAGGCAGGGAGAGAGGGCTGCTGGACCTTTATCCCCACAGTCACCCTCAGGAGCCTTAAGACCCAGCTACTCCCACTCCAGAACTCCCACCCCTGCACATCCCCGGGCCAGGCTCCAGGGAAGCCAACGCCTGCTTGGCCTTGTGCCCAGAGATGCACATTCCAGCCAGGTATGATCCTGCTGCTGTTACTACTGCAAGCCCAGATGTGGAATCACCTCCAGATGTTCTCACCATAGCAGCTGTGCCTAGGATGGGATTGGGGTAGGCTGTATCTACGGACTAATACTCGTCAGCCCTCCAGCACCTGGGGAGTGCCCCAATCATGGCAGACACCTGCACCACGCACACACACACACACACATACAATGGCTGAACCACAGCCCACAGACACTCACTGACACACACAAATGGGCACAGTCACTAATGCCCAGACACCAGGCCCCAGATGCCACAGAGATGCCATGTTGCACAACTCCACAATGAGCCAGTCATGTGGTCTGCATTGTATGGGGTAACCTGGACCCTCAGACCCACCCAACACTCATGCTGTCATTAACTAGCCAAGGCTCACTGAACAGCTCCTGGACCAGGCCTCGTGGGATGACAGGAAAGTCACCTTCAATCTCTGGATATTTGAAGTTGCACCTTCAAGGGCTCCTTCCAGAGGATGCTGGACCCCTGAGCCTGCCTCACAGGGCCCTTCCTCATCTCAGCCCCAGCCCTGCCTCCTGCCCTGCCCTCCTCCCATTAGCCCTCCCTTCGGCCACATTTCCCACCTTGGGCAGGCTTTCCCTTTTCACTGTGCCTTGGTGCACACAATGCCTGCAGCCAGGAATCCCTTTCTCATCACAATAAGCCCATCCTTCAAGACAGAGACGTCTGTGTACCTCCACTTTAATGGTGTGACATGCAATAGGGCCTCCAAAAATGTTTGTTGACTGCCTGACTGACTGACTTGCTGGATGAAATCATTAGAAGTGTAAGTTAGCTCAGAATTAGTGCCAGACAGACTGGCCTGGACTTGCTGCTATCAGTTCTAGTCAGAGCAGGAGAGCGCCCATGGATTGGAGGATTTTGAGCCCCCATAAGCACACACATGTGACTACAGCCCCCCTGGAGTGAGTCCTGCACCCTCGTACCCTCCACATGCCATGGAAAACATGCGCCACTGCCCCGTGCCAGGCCTGGACACACAGCGAGGGCTGCGGGAGGGTCTCAGCCACGGTCAGGGGCTCCCAAGCTCCTCTTCCCTCTACCCACTGACACCTAAGGAAGCCCCAGGCACTTTTCTAGAGCGTTCTTTGGGGCTGGGGAGTGTCAGGGCAGGCCCTCTGCCAACTCAGCAGGCCGGGGACTTTGGATGTGCTGACACTGGCTGCCCTGACACACCCTATGTGGGCCCAGTTGGCCAGAGCTCTGGCCGGCCTGGGCCTGGGCCTGGCAATAATCGATTGACTGACATGGAATTCCATTCCTTCAGCAAGGACCAACCACACCTGCATAGAGTTGACGTAAGGCCCGTTTCTAAACACTTCATTTATATTTGCTCATTTCATTCTTGTAATGACCCTGTGAGGTAGATACAGTTCTGATGCCCATTTCACAGTTGTGGAAACTGAGACACAGAGACAGATAAACTGACTTCACACCATCAAAGCAGTTAGGAGTGGGCAGTCACGGTCCACACCCAGGCTATGGGGTCTGGAGTCTGCACTTTCCTTTTTTTTTTTTTTTAAGATGGAGTCTCACTCTGTCACCCAGGCTGGAGCGCAATGGCGTGATCTTGGCTAACTGCAACCTCCGCCTCCCGTGTTCAAGTGATTCTCCCACCTCAGCCTCCCAAGTAGCTGGGATTACAGGCATCCGCCATCATGCCTGGCTAATGTTTGTATTTTTGTAGAGATGGAGTTTCACCATGTTGGCCAGGCTGGTCTTGAACTCCTGACCTCAGGTGATCCACCCGCCTCAGCTTTCCAAAGTGCTGGGATTACAGGCGTGAGCCATGGCGCCCAGCCTGGAGTCTACATTTTTTTTTTTTTTTGAGACAGAGTCTCGCTCTGTTGCCCAGGCTGGAGTGCAGTGTCGCGATCTCCGCTCACTGCAACCCCGCCTCCTGGGTTCAAGCGATTCTTCTGCCTCAGCCTCCCGAGTAGCTGGGATTACAGGCACATGCCACCACGCCCAGTTAGTAGAGACGGTATTTCAACATATTGGCCAGGCTGGTCTCAAACTCCTGACCTTGTGATCCGCCCACCTCGGCCTCCCAAAGGGCTGGGATTACAGGCTTGAGCCACCACACCCGGCCTGAGTCTGCACTTTCAACCACTACACTCTACCATGTCTCTTCTTTAACATTTTTTACAAACAACAACAAAAAAAGTGAGGCTGGGCATGGTGGTTCTTGTCTATAATCCCAGCACTGTGGGAGGCCAAGGTGGGAGCATCACTTGAGGCCAGAAGTTTGAGACCAGCCTGGGCAACATGGTGAGATTCCCATCTCTACAGAAAATTCATGCCTGTGGTCCCAGCTGAGGTGGGAGAATCACTTGAGCCCAGGAGGTTGAGGCTGCAGTGAGCTGTGTTCGCACCACTGCACTCCAGCTGGGTGACAGAGTGAGACCCTGTCTCAAAAAAGAAAAAGAAAAAGTAATATTACTTGCACCAGGCAGCCTTTGGCATTAGGGGCATGGACATGTGACATTCCAGGTCCCTTCCAGCCCTGTGTCTCACTCGCGCGCACACTCCTACCTGCCTCATCCTGATGTTGCCCATTGCATCCCTGTGACCTCCCGGTTCCTCCACAGCCAGGCATTGGCTCGTGGGAACTCGGTGCTCTCGGGTTTGGGTCCCAGTAGATTCTGGAACATCCCACCCCACGCCTGTCCTTCCCTGCCACCCCTGCTCCGCCCCAGGCCAGCATTCCTGGAAAGTTCAAAGGCACTTGGTTCAGGGGAGATGTTTCCACACAGCTTCTGTAGCTGGAACTGGGCTAGGCAGAGAGGGGGCCCACCCACAGCCCCACAGGGACTGCATCTTGAGACCAGAAAACTTGGAGTGGCCCTGGGGGAGCAGTGCTGTTCCCATTCTCTGTGGCAGGGGCCTTGGCAGGTGCAAGACCCAGAGTGTCCCCCCACAACCTGAGGGGGCTGCTTCTGGACACAGAGAGCTCAGGCCTCAAATGCATCTTTTCACTAGCCTTCCTGGGTCCTGCCCATTCCTAGAGACGGAGTTCACTATGCTCCTAGCCATGTGCTGGGTGCGGGGCGAGCCCCAGATGGCTCATCGCCACGAGGTGCAGGCACAGCCTCTCCATGAGCCATCAGGAACTCGGGGTTGCATCAAATCCCCAAAGACTTTACTGGGCCCACGCTAGGCATCAGCCTGGGATTCTCCTCCCAGGTCTCCACCAGCTGCTGAGCACAGCGGAGGTGGGGAGGCAAGAGCATGTCCTATCCTGCCTCCTGGCCCCCAGCCCCAGTAACACAGAACTAGGGTGCCTATTGTTTCAATGGCAGAAATCCCCCTCCCCTCCGACCCCTGCCCCCTGCAGCACTGCTCCCCATCACTGGGCTAAACGAATGACCCGCCACTCAGCAGGTGACGACTTACTCCTCCTTGGCCGGCCCTTCAGCTCCTCCTCCTCACCCATCCTGACTCAGAGGCCTGTCAGCTGCCACTGCCCCCGAGGCCTGGCAGATTTGGGTGGGAAGGAGCTATCTGGGTGCCAGGACCTGAGGGGCTGGCCATGCCCTCACTCCTTACTGACCTGACCTTTAGCAGGGCCTCTGAGCATTCTCTGATCTAGAAATGCCACATGTACACGCATGTGTGTGCACACACACACAAACACCCACACACTCACACCCAGCCGCTCTATGACCTGATGAAACAGTCTGGGTGCAGGGCTGAGGCAGGCCAGGGAGGAGAGTTAGACTGAGCAAAAGCAGGATGTGTGTGGAGCAGCCTCCTGGCCTCTCTCCCGCAGAGGCACTTCCTGGTACTGGAGGGCAAAGCGGCCCGGGGTTGGGAAAGAGACCGGTGCTGCTTGCTCCCTCTCCAGAACAGGCATTAATTCTGGCTGCCCCTTGGTATTGGCCTCCAACTTTATAGTTCTCTCCCTTTCTTTCTCTCTCTCTCTCCTACACACACCCCTCTAGACTCCTCCCCTGCACCTCCTCAAAATTTCTCACCCACCCTCACCCCACAGAAGGAGCATCAAAGCCCCACATAGCCTCTGGCCTCTCTCAACACCTAGGAGTTGAGATCAGGCCCTTGTGGCCCAGTCTTGGGGACTTCCCCCTACCAGGGTTGGCCCTCTTGGGTCCACGCCTCTTTGGCTAGACTTCTGATCGCTCTGGCGGCCACTCCGCAGTTTCACCACGCCTGCTCCTGCCTGCAACACACAGAAGTTGGCAGTGACTCTGCACTGCTCCCAGCACCCCGGATGGCTCAGGGCTGTGGCATTTTGTTTTCTTTCGTTTTTCGCCTTCATGTCTGTGCTGTTCACTGTGCCTGAAATCCCCTCCCCGCTAACCCTCCTGCCCATAGCGTCAGTGGCCCACATGTCAGCACCCAGCACTTACCACTAGCGAGGCTGTGTCCTATCCTCCTGACCATGCCAATGAAAAAAGTCCCATTAATTATACCCACTGTTGGCCGGGTGCGATGGCTCTCACCTGTAATCCCAGCACTTTGGGAGGCCGAGGCAGAAGGATCACTTGAGCTCAGGAGTTCAAGACCAGCCTGGGCAACATGGCAAGCCCCATCTCTACAAACAATGCAAAAATTAGCCGGGTGTGGTGGCGTGCACCTGTAGTCCCAGTCCCAGCTACTTGGGAGGCTGAGGTGGGAGGATCACTGGAGCCCTGGAGGTGGAGGTTGCTGTGAGCTGAGATCACGCCACTGCACTCCAGCCTGGGCAACTGAGGGACCTTGTCTCAAAAAAAAAAAAAAAAAAAAGATACCATTGTTCAGAGGAGGAAGCTGAGCTGACAGAGGTCAAGGAAGATGCATTTCTACCCAGCTTTCAAGATTCACTTTGGACATCACCTTCCTCAGACTCTGCCTTCTCCTCTTCACCGCCCCACTACGCCCCAGGCAGGAGAAACTGCTCCCAGCCTAGAGCCACTGCCCGTTGTAGTGACTTCTGTTTGAGGCTGAGACCTCAGCCCCCAGGTCCTGATTTGTGCCCTCCTCCCTCAGTTTTGGGGCCTGTGAGAGTGGGTGGCTGGGCCTGGGGCTGAGTCACTGCCTAGCCTTGCCTGCCCAGCCCCGAACCAGGCAAGCCTCGGTGCAGGTGACCCTGCTGCCCAGAGAAGTGGGCGGCAGGAAGAATGGTCAGGCCCTCCTCCTTTTTCTCCTCCCTCCTACTCACCCACCTCCTGGCCACTTTCCTCCCTTTTTTTTCTTTTTTTGAGATGGAGTCTCACTCTGTCGCCCACACTGCAGTGCAGTGGCACAATCTTGGCTCACTGCAACCTCTGCCTCCCAGGTTCAAGTGATTCTCCTGCCTCAGCCTCCCGAGTAGCTGGGACTACAGGCATGTGCCACCATGCCCAGCTAAATTTTTGTATTTTTAGTACAGACGGGGTTACACCGTGTTAGCCAGGATGGTCTCGATCTCCTGACCTCGTGATCCACCCGCCTCAGCCTCCCAAAGTGCTGGGGTTACATGGTTAAGCCACCGCTCCCGGCCCCTCCCTGTCTTTTCACACCCACTTCTCTCTCTGCCCAACCCTGTCTACACCCTTCCTGCCAGTTCCCAGGAAAAGTGACTTGGACTTTGCTGATGGGAAGCAGAATCTGGGCTAAAACTAGGACAGGAGCAGGGCTGGTTCCTCCAGCAACTCCCCCAGCTCGAAGGAGGCCCAGCCTGAACCACATCGCCAGGAGCCCTGGCTCAGCACTGGGGGTTACCTATGGGCGGCCACTTCAACTTGTGTGTGTGTGTGTGTGTGTGTGTGTGTGTGTGTGTGTGGTGGGCAGGGCGGGGGAGATGTATATTGATGAGGGAGGGGAAATGGACCATTGGGCCCCAGCTTCAACGCCACATTTATTTACTGGGCACTGAGTTAAAAATAGACCTGAGTGCCCCTAGTGCAGGCTGCAGATAGGGAGAGGGATTCCAGGACCCCTGGGAACTAGCTATGTCTCAGGGCCTCCACATGACCTCCCTCTCCCTGAGGGGTGGATCTGTGATTCTGCCGAGTGTCACACACACCCCTGTGTTACTGGGTGGCACCAGGGCAATGTTTTGTGCACTTCACAGATTACAGTGTTGTGTCGCAGAAGAGCATGGACTTTAAACCTAGACGGGATCCCAGCAAGGGATGACTGCACACCTGCCCCACTTCTGGCCTCCATTTTACAGAGAGGGAGACTGCGGCTTAGGGACAAATGACCAGCTCAAGGGCATGCAGAACCAGGCTGGACTCGGGTTCCTTGGCTCCCAATTCTGGACTTTTTTTTTTGAGACGGAGTCTCGCTCTGTCGCCCAGGCTGGAGTGCAGTAGCGTGACCTCGGCTCACTGTAACCTCCGCCTCCCGGGTTCAAGCGATTCTGCTGCCTCAGCCTCCCGATTAGCTGGGACTACAGGTGCCCGCCACCACGCCTGGCTAATTTTTGTATTTTTAGTAGACACCTGGTTTCACCGTGTTGGTCAGGCTGGTCTCGAACTCCTGACCTCATGTGATCCGCCTGCCTCCGCCTCCCAAAGTGCTGGGATTACAGGCATGAGCCACCACACCTGGCCCCAAGTCAGGACTCTTTCCACTGTGTTATATGGCACCCATCACATTGGATTCTGTTTTATTCCATCTTGTTTCATGTTATGTTATATAATGCAGGCAGAGGGGTGGGAGGTAGCGGTTGGAGGTGGAAAAGTGGCCAGAAGGTGACAAAAAAGCAATAGGCTAAGGTCCAGGCAATGAGCCCACATCTTCCCCCACCTGAGATTTCTCCTCCATCAGGTGTAGGGGGCGTGGCTCACCCCGGCACCCAGTGCCCTAATTAGCTCCTGTTGACAGTTTCTGGTTTATGTGTTATCACCTTGAGCCTGCTTATCTTTATCAGAGCCAAAGGTTGATTGGGGCATTCTGGCCAAAGCTCAAAGCAACTCCACTCCAATTTCACAGGGCATTTATGACTACTGTGAATAATAACCCTCTTTCCTCAAGATAGCAGCCTGATCCATTCAGGACCTTCCCTGCAGAGTCCTTGGTGTGATCCTTACCATCCTCACCAGGAAGACAGCACAGAGTCCTTCTCCCATTGGCTGGGGAGAAAAGCGATGCACAGCCCCAGGGTGAGCTGGCCGGGGACCCAGGTCTCCTGAGCCCTGTCCTCAGCACCCAGCAGCAATGCCCCGGCTCTGGAACCTGACAAAGTGAGACCTCCCTACCAGGGCCATGGCCCCCGCTTCTCCAGCCTCGCTCGCCGGGACAAAGGTTACGGGCCTTATCAACCAAGGAGGTAGAATATTAATCTGGCCATCTATGCCCCAGCCCTGACCCGCATAGCAAAGCCGCCATCATCCAGGTGGTGGGAGTATCTGTGCATCGGGACAGAATGAGGTGGGGCTATGTAAGGGGCCCCCATGAGGGCAGGGCCCTGCACATGGCCTTTGTGGCCGCTGGAGGGGCTCACCCTAGGTCTTTTCCCACATCAGCCTTGGAGCCACGACCTCAGGTTCTCACCAGCTCCCCTCTGAGCCCCAGGAGAGATATCTTGTCTGAGAAGTGACCCAAACCCTTCCTGACCCCTGATATTCCTACTTGGACCCCCTTGGGGGCAGTGGCCAGAGGGTTTGTCACTGTCAGAGCAGACCTGGGTCCTACTCCCAGCTCTGCCATCATCTCCATCCTTGGTACCCGGGGCAAGCCACAGCACGCACAGACCTCAGCTGCATCACCGGTAAAATGGGAGTAGACTTTGATCTGTCCCAGAATACCCTCCTTCCCTGGAGATGTGGTACCTGAGTCTGGGTGGCGACCCCTCCCCATCTGCATAGATACACCTGGAACAGGATCCAGGCCCCTGGATGTCACTCTTTTGTGTTTTACACTTCACTGGCCTCACTTATGGCCACCTAAACCCCTTAGCTCCTGGGCCAAGTCTTCAGGGACTCCAAGGGAGATGGAGATGCCTTGCAAGGATGTCTTTGGAGACCTCAATTGGGACAGGTCCCTGCCTGGCAGTTGTGTGTGTGTGTGTGTGTGTGTGTGTGTGTGTGTGTGTGTACACCCACCCTCCCGAGGCATTGTCTAGAGGGGGCATTGTCCAGAGGGCTGGGCGGTTGCCTTTATGGCCAGGCATAAAAGGTAATCATTGACCACATCAATGCCGCCCTGCGCGTCAGTGCCCGCCCAGGCTCGACCCTGCCAGGCCCTGGATTACTTTACAGTCACATAAAAGGAGCCTCCAGACTGGCCCCTGGGGACTTTGGCCCTCAAGGGGCAGTGGGAGGGGAGCCGTTCCCTGGAGACAGCCTTTTCTTCTAATATTTACTTGGCCAGAGAAGAGCCCCCGCCTTTTATCAAACACCACTGGGATGTCTCAGCTCAGCCTGCCTAAGTCACAAGAGTCCCCGTCACCTGGTGCAGCTCCTCTTCCCCTCCCTTCTCTGCCTCTCCTGTCAGGACCCACCAGCAGCTTGGACGCACCCAACAAGGCTCTGCCCAGGCTGGAACTCAGACACATCTGGGAGGCACAGATGTGTCTGAGTTTTATCCAAGCTTTATCTCACCAAGGCCCCATAACCTCATGAGGTAGGCACCAAGATAATTCCCGTTTTATAGGCAGGAAAACTTGAGCTCAGAGAGGCTGAGTGACTTGCCCAAGTCACACAGCCAGTAAACAACCAACTTCAACAACTCTGCACAGCAGTGGTTTCCAGACTTGTTTGATTATGTTCTGCTATCAGGAAGAAACAACTCTTGGCACACACCTTCAGGATAATTATGCTTCCACAAATCATATACATGTGTGACTGAAATCTGTGTATTAAATGTTAGCAAATATCTGCACTCCTATTCTCATCCCATCATTCAAACCAGATCATTCAAACAGAACACACTCCCCAAGTCTCCATTCCAGCCAGGCCATCTCAGCAAAGAGACAAGGGGGGAACTGGGCCGAGCTTAGAAGGAAAAGCAGGCCTCAGGCAGAAGGATATATTTGGGAAAGGGCATTCCAAACACAAGGAACAACTTGAGCAAAACTGAAAACGCAGGAAATGGGCTGGGCTGGACACGGTGGCTCACGCCTGTAATCCCAGCACTTTAGGAGGCCTAGGCAGGAGGATCACTTGAGCCCAGGAGTTTGAGACCAGCCTGGGCAATATAGTGAGACCCCATCACTACAAAAAAGTAAAAAAAAAAAAAATTAGCCAAGTGTGGTGGCGTATGCCTGTAGTCCCAGCTACTTGGGAGGCTGAGGTGGGAGGATGACTCGAGCCCAGGAGGTTGAGGCTGTAGTGAGCAGTAATCACTCCACTGTACTCCAGCCTGGGCAAAAGAGAGAGATCCTCTCTTGGGGAAAAAAAATTTTGATGCAAACAACAACAAGAAAAACCAGTAATACATGCATCATAGATATTGTAGATCCGACAGAAGGGGAGAATTGGAAAACTGCGTGATTCAATATCTGGCACACAGCAGGTGCTCAGTAAATGGCAGTTGCTGTCATTATTAGAATGCTCCATTCTCCCTGCTCTGCCTAAAGAAACCGAACTAACCCTTTGATATCTAGTATCTCTAGTTCAGACTTCACTTTTGAGGATGTCAGTAAACATACCTCCCCTGGGCTTGCCTAGCTCTGGACTCACAGTGGTAATATAGCACTTAGCACATCATGTGATGGTCACTTGCATATATGTCTGTCCCCCCAGCCACCTATCACTTCTGTGCTCCTGTACTATTATACACACTTAGTGGGCCTGGAAAGCTTCCTGTGACCTGGTTCGAAGTGGCAGAAAAAGAGAAATAACATTAGAAGAGAAAGGGAAAAAGGAGGAAGAAACAGCCGCGTATTTCCGGGCACTTTGCTAAGCTCTTCACTTGTGTTATTTAGTGCATAATCTCATCACTAGGTAATCTCTTCAACCCAATGAGGTAGGTGTATCAGTCAGGAGACGCTAGTTTATGCTGCAGTAACAAACATCCCAATGTTTTGGGGGGTTCGTTTTGTTTTAGAGACAGGGTCTCGCTTTGTCGTCAAGGCTGCAGTCTGGAACTCCTGGCCTCGAACAATTCTCCTGCCTCCCGAGTAGCTGGGACCACAGGTTTGCGCCACCATACCAGGCTAATTTTTTTATTTTTTGTAGAGACAGGGTTTTCCTATGTTGCTTGGAACACACAAATCCTAGGCTGCTCTCAAACTCCTGGGCTCAAGTAATCCACCTGCCTACACCTCCCAGCGTGCTGGGATTACAGGCATGAGCCACCGGGCCTGGCCCATCCCAATGTTTTGGTGGCTTAAAACAGCAAAGATTTATTTCTGTCATGGCAAATGAGCACTGCAGATGACTTGGAGGATCCTGAGCTGTGTTGTGCTAGCCCAGAGACCCGGGCTTAAGGAGGCTTCATATCAACAGCATTGCAGATGATCACACGGTAGCAAGAAGGGGCTATGGGGATTCACACATTTGCTCTTATTGCTGCTACCTGGAAGGGAGATGTATCCATTCTACTCACATTTCTTTGGCCAAAGCAACTCACATGGCCACACTTACTTCAAGGGGGTAGTGAAGTTACCAGGCGAGTGAAGTTACCAGGTAATGAAGTTGCCAGGCCTGCACCCCCAACTCTGTGTCATGAAGGCCACCATCCCCAGGTGTGCTAGCAGCCACTCCAAACTGTGCCACCCAAAGCCCCCTTGTGGCAAAGAGTGGACCCTACCCCTCCAAAGGCTGTCCATCTCCCCTTTCCCTGGAACACTCCCCCCATAGTATCAGCACACAAGAATCTGGGTCAGTCCTTATCTTCTAGCAAAACTGAACTCATCAAGGAATCCAGCCTTGACTTTGGTTAAGCATAAAATCACAACCATATTTCACAGACACGGTGGGTCCGGCAACCAGCAAGGGGGGGCGGTGGAGAAAACCAAGGACAGCTGGCTTGGGGTTGGAATGCGATTTTTTATCAAATAATCACATGCTATGTGCAGGCTGGGATCACACGCTTGAGGTTGCACCACGAAGAGAGTCTGCCCCATGTGTTTCCCAGCACCCATTACCTGTTTTTCCCATCATTGCTTAAAAAGGAGATTCTGTGGGCTCTGAAGGCAAGTCAGCTATGGTACGTGTGTGTGCAAGGGACGGTCAGCCAGAGAGGTGCAAACCCACAAGGAGAGCCTCTTGGGAACACAGCCCCTGCTGGTCCCTGGAGAGGGAAGGACAGGTTTCTGTCTAGCTTCTGAGTCCAGGTTTAAGAAAAGCCTTGCAGGCTGGGTGTGGTGGCTCACGCCTGTAATCCCAACACTTTGGGAGGCCGAGGTGGGCGAATCACGAGGTCAGGAGTTCGAGACCAGCCTGGCCAACATGGTGAAACCCCGTCTCTACTAAAAATACAAAAAAAAAAAAAAAAAAATTAGCTGGGTGTAGGGGCGGTGCCTGTAATCCCAGCTACTCGGGAGGCTGAGGCAAGAGAATCGCTTGAACCCATGAGGTGGAGGTTGCAATGAGCCGAGATCATGCCACTGCACTCCAGCCTGGCAACAGAGTGAGACTCTGTCTCAAAAAAAAAAAAAAAAAAAAAAAAAAAAAAAAAAGAAAGAAAGAAAGAAAAGGAAAGCCTTGCACACTTTGGGAGGCCGAGGCAGGTGAATCACCTGAGGTCAGGAGTTCGAGACCAGCCTGGCCAACAATGGCAAAACCCCGTCTCTACTAAAAAAAATACAAAAGTTAGCTGGGCGTGGTGGTGCACACTTGTAATCCCAGCTACTCGGGAGGCTGAGGCAGGAGAATTGCTTGAACCCAGGAGGTGGAGGTTGCAGTGAGCTGAGATCGTGCCACTGCACTCCAGCCTGGACAACAGAGCAAGACTCTGTCTCAAAAATAAATAAATAAATAAGGGGGCCGGGCGCAGTCGCTCACGCCTATAATCCCAGCACTTTGGGAGGCCAAGGCGAGCGAATCACGAGGTCAGGAGATTGAGACCACCCTGGCTAACACAGTGAAACCCCGTCTCTACTAAAAATACAACAAAATTAGCCAGGCGTGGTGGTGGGCACCTGTAGTCCCAGCTACTCAGGAGGCTGAGGCAGGAGAATGGCGTGAACCCGGGAGGTGGAGCTTGCAGTGAGCTGAGATTGCACCACTGCACTCCAGCCTGGGTGACAGAGCAAGACTCCGTCTCAAAAAAAGAAAGAAAGAAAGAGAGAGAAAGAAAGAAAGAAAGAAAGAAAGAAAGAAAGAAAGAAAGAAAGAAAGAAGGAAAGAAAGAAAAGCCTTGTGGTGGCTCACGCCTGTAATCTCAGCTCTTTGTAGGTGGATGGATCACCTGAGCCCAGGAATTTGAGAACAGCCTGGGTAACATGGTGAAACCCTGTCTCTATTTTTTTTTTTAACCACCACATCTGGCCTACCTGTCCCTATGATTATTATTATTATTTTGAGACAGAGTCTTGCTCTGTCACCCGGGCTGGAATGCAATGGCATGATCTCAGCTCACTGCAATCTCTGCCTCCCAGGTTCAAGTGATTCTCCTGCCTCAGCCTCCCAAGTAGCTGGGATTACAGGCATGTACCACCACACCCGGCTAGTTTTTGTATTTTTAGTAGTGATGGGGTTTTGCCACGTTGGCCAGGCTGGTCCAGAACTCCTGACCTCAGGTGATTCGCCCTCCTCGGCCTCCCTAAGTGCTGGGATTACAGGCATGAGCCACCACGCTCGGCCCCTATTATATTTTTAAAAATTATACTTTTAAATAAAAAAAAGAAAAGGCTTTCCACATCCAGAATTGTGTACTAAGCCTCGCTCCCTCTGAGAAACAGCATATACAGATGCCCACAGCTATGGGCCTTCTTCCTTCTTCTGCTCCAGGGGCAAGTAAAAGGAGGTGCAGTGAGGCAAAGGGGTGGAGGCTCAGGAGAGTGATAGGGGAAGAAATGAGCAGAGTTTCAGGAGATGAAACAGAGCAAAAGTTTGAGGTCTGAGACCAGTGAGATTCAGAGGCAGGGGCTGCTGGGGGCAGGGACTGTGGGGGCAGGGGCGGTAGGGAATGGAGGAAAGAGCATGGATCTGGGGCTCTGCTGCTCACCAGTTAGGTGACCTGGGCAATCCCCAGGCCTCTCTAAGCCTCAGTTTCCTGAGCTAGTGGAAGCCCCTAGGTCACAGGGCTATTGTAGGGATGGGTGTGCTCCTGAGGAAAACTAGCATGAGCTTGGCACCAGGCAGGTGAGGCCATGTGCTGCTCTCTGGGCCCCCAGCTTCTGTCCCCCAGACCCTGGTGTCAGACAGGACCTGGTGAGAAATCCTTGCGGCCCTAGCCTGCCTAAGCTGTGGAGGGGCTTGTCCAGGACCTGCCAGGCAGAGGCTGCAGAAGGGTTCACTTGGCCTTTTCAGTCCCTCTCAGTCCCTTACTGTCTGCCTCTCAAGAACATCCTGGCACTTGCTGCTCCACAGCCCTGCTGGGGTCCTGGGTGGGACTTTCTGGGGGCAGAGGAAGAAATTCCAGGGCCTGCCCTTGACGAGCTCATAGTCTAACTGGGAAGAGAGTAGTGGCTCACTATCCAGAAAACATGGAAAAGAGACTGTGGTTTGGAGAAAGCAGGAAGCGTTCAGAAGCGGGAGGCAGAACAGGGGAAGGCGCTGGAGCCTGAAGGATGGAGCGGACCAAGTGCAGAGGGGATGGAGGGCACTGCAGGCAGGAGGCACAGCGAGAAGAATGGCCTGGAGGGTTGGATGGGGAACACGGGGTCCTAGAGACGGAAGCAGGGTCCAGGCTGTGAGTGGTGGGGCCGCCTCAGCTGGGGAGTTATGGTAAGGATAAACAGAAGGGCTCTGGGGCCGCCCAGAGTGCATACCCCCCAGGGTGCAGACGGGGGAACAGCAATTGTCTCTGAGGGGGATCCTCACCTCCCTATCTCATCGGCCTAGGAGACAGGACCTCACTTGACTGGCCCACAGCCAGGCCCTGGCTGTGTTGACAAATGGGTCCTTCCCCCTGGCCTGGTGAGCTGAGATGTGGCATTGTTAAGCTGCAAGTGAGTCACAGAACTTTTCCTTCCCTTTCTTCCTCTCTGCCCTGCTTGTCCCACACCCTGCTCATTTTTTTTTTCTCTCTCTCTCTCTCTCTCTCACACACACACACACACACACACACTTGCCTTTCAGAACCTGTGAACTATAAATAAGTGCTTTATCACCATAAATGACTTGATCCAGGCTAGGGTCGTGAGGGGCTTGGCTCAGGTTCCTGGGCATGTGGATACCTGCAGAGTGGGTTCCTGAGCACGTGAGGGCACAAGCGTGCAGTCTCGGACAAGGTGGAGTCTCAATGTGTGAGCTTGCTGAGGCCAGGGCAGTGTCTGGGAAGGGAGTGGAGGCATCTTTGTGTCTGTGGGGTTGTGGTGGGAGGGAGGTTTCGGGGGCTGTGAGGCGAGCACAGGCGTGTGTGCTGTCTATGCCCCCAAGGGGACAGGGCGTGGGTGGAGAACGTATTTGTGCCCGAGGTGTGTCCGCAGGGATATCCGTGTGGTGAGTGTGGGAGGAGGGGCGCTGGGCATGGAGGAAGTGTTTCTGTCTGTCTGTGTGTGTGTTGTGGGGGTGGCGGGGATTGGCGGGGGTGGGTTGTGCCTGGCCAGCCAACCTTTACATCTGGTTCTGCAGGATGTGAAAAGGTTTGTGACTGAGGCCAGTGGCACACCCTCCAGTCGGATCAGAGGGTTGGAGATAAACCCAAGTGAGCAAGCATTGGTGGCTGTGGCCGTGTGGTGTCCCATTCCTGGGGGGCTCCAGGAGATAGGGAAGCTCATCTGACTTCCTGAGGGCCTGGCAGCCCCTCCTGCCCTCCTCAAGGTGGTCCATCTGCCACGCCAAGCCCAGCCAGAGAGAAGGGGCACCCGGAGCACAGTGCCTGTGACTCTGCAGGCAGGGCACCGGCGGGCACCCAGGGAGGACCTGCTCTGTTCCCACTCACGAGCCCCTCCCACCTGACGCCGCCCCAGCTAGACTGAGAACCCCAGGAGGCAGGGCTTGACTTTTCTTTCTTCTCCCAGCCTCAGTCTCCCCAGATGTCAAAGGAGGACAATGATCTCTACAGAGAGGGGCTAACTGCACCGGGGTGAGCTTGGCGTCGTGGCTGGCAGGGAACGGAGGCTCCCTTCCTTCACCTCCCAGCCTCCAAAGAAAAGGTTCAGTTGAGGCCTCCTTGGGGGTGGGTGCGGGTCCTTGGGCCATCTCTAGGGGGCGCTGACAGTCAGCCAGCACGTGCCTGCACCTGTCCCTAGTTAAATGAGCAAAAGACAGCTGAAAAAAAGAACCCAGGCAGGCCTTGGGGCAGGGCAGAGGGTCTTGAGGCTAAGTGTGAATGGGGGATGGAAGTTCAGTGGGGCGTGACTGGAGGGTTTGTCTGGGGCATGTGTGACTTCTGTCACCCACTGGCCTAAGAAAGAGCACCAAAGGCCCTTCTGTGAATAAACTCTCAGGCTAACGCAGGCTGGGCTTCATGGAAGGGATGGAAGGGAAGGTAGTCCTTGGATGTTTGGTTGAGGCCCCACTCCTCCTGGGATGGTGGAAGGAGGGCAATGAGGCATCAATGGGGTTTCCTTCTTTCCCTCTCCTTTGCGAGCCTCACCAAGGCAGGCCTGCCACCTGGAGCCCCTCAAGGAGATGAGAATCCACAGTCCCCGTGCCAGGAGGTGGCAGCAGGCAGAGTGATGGGCCCTGGAGGGAGGGCTCACTTGGGGCACTCTCGCCTTTTAAAGGCGGCTGCTTTCTCCTGGGATTACCCCCATGATTTGGGGTCCCTGGGGGCAATGCCATGGCCTCCATGCAACCAGGCCTCCTGAGTGGCTGCATTGCTGGCAGGGAGGTAGCTCTAAGGTCAATTCTGAACCTGCCTCCCTCCAGCACTGCCCATCCATAAAGGGCATCTGTGCCCAGGCAACACCCACCCACCTGGGGCTTGGGGAGCCGGGGCTGCTGCAAACACAGTGCCGCAGTGAAAGTGGGACAAACGCGCCTGTGTGCATCCTGGCCGAGGTGCCGGAGGAAGCGTGGTCGGGGCAGAAGTGTTAATGGGCCTCCTTCCTGCCGTGCCCTGCCCGTGCCAGCTCCTCGGTGCTCATCCCGGCTCCCTGAAATGCTCGCTTCCACTCAGGGCCAGCGCACTCCCTCCACGTCCCTGGCCGCAGATCTGTCCTGCTTTGACAAATAACCCGCTCAGCCTTCGGGTTTATGGTTTTTCCGTGCGCCTTCCTTCATGTGGTTGGGAACCAAGCTCTGGTCTCCAGAGCTGTGTGGGGCTGGGAATGGCGCCTGGACCTGCAGGGCTCCCCAAGCAACAGTGCAGGGGGACTGGAATCCTGCTCTCAGGGAGACAGGGCCCATCAGGGAACCACGTAGGAGGGCCAGCGCCGCATGCTAAAGGGGCATAGGCAAGGGAAGGGGTCTGCAGGGACAGTCTGCAGGAGCCAGGAGGGCTTCCTGAAGGAGGCTGAGCTTGAAGGATGGAGGGGCCAAAGGAGACCATTCCAAAAGCAGACAGCACCAGCCCACAGGATGGTGAGCAGCAACTGCAAGAAGAGAAGCTTGGGCACTCGTGGGTTTGTTTTTATTTTTGCTTTTAAATGTAATATTTGGGCCGGCTGTGGTGGCTCATGCCTGTAATCCCAGCACTTTGGGAGGCCGAGGCGGGTGGATCACCTGAGGTCAGAGTTTGAGACCACCCTGACCAACATGGAGAAACCCCGTCTCTACTAAAAAATATATATATATATTAGCCAGGCCCCAACTACTCGGGAGGCTGAGGCAGGAGAATCGCTTGAATCCAGGAGGCGGAGGTTGCAGTGAGCTGAGATCGCACCATCGTACTCCAGCCTGGGCAGCAAAAGTAAAACTCCATCTCAAAAAAAAAAAAAAAAAAAGTAATATTTGTTAAGCAACAACTGTGCCCTGTGCTAAGTAAGTCTCATGAGTTCATTATCTCATTAATTTTCACAAAAACTCGCAAGTACTGTCAACCTCATTTTATAGGTGACAATCCTGGGGCCCAGGAGATAAAGTAGCATGCCTTGGGGGAGAGCTGGTTAGTGGCAGAACAAGGATGGAAGCCCTGGCAGGCATCCAAGGCAGGATCCACATGTTAAAGAGAAACCACTACACTGCACATTCTGGTCAGTCACTGTTGGACTTTTGCATTTGAGCCAGGGCTACCCATCTGGTGTCCCTGAGTCCCTGGGTCTGCCCCAGGAGGGCCAAGGAGGAATCAACTAATTCCAGGGCTATCTGTCCCCTCAAAGACACAAATTTGCACATGCTGGGAGCCTCAAGCCCCTTAGGAATCAGCATCATCCACAAGCTGATGCCTCCCACATAAGGGAACACATTTTCTTTTTTTCTTTTTTTGAGTCAGAGTCTCACTCTGTTGCTCAGGCTGGAGTACAGTGGCTCAGTCTCGGCTCACTGCAACCTCTGCCTCCCAGGTTCAAGCAATTCTCCTGCCTCAGCCCCCCGAGTAGTTGGGATTACAAGTACCAGCCACCATGTCCGGCTAATTTTTTGTATTTTTAGTAGAGACGGGGTTTCACCATGTTGGCTAGGCTGGTCTCGAACTCCTAACTTCAGGTGATCCGCCTGCCTCAGCCTCCCAAAGTGCTGGAATTACAGATGTGAGCCACCACACCCAGCCAAGGGGACACATTTTCAAAAGTACTTAGGGCTGTTGAATAAAATATACACTCATCTAAAAGCATTGCATGCCGGGCACAGTGGCTCATGCTTGTAATACCAGCACTTTGGGAGGCCAAGGTGGGCAGATCACCCGAGGTCAGGAGTTCAAGACCAGCCTGACCAACACAGACAAACCCCATCTCTACTAAAAATACAAAAAGTTAGCTGGGCGTGGTGACGCATGTCTGTAATTCCAACTACTCAGGAGTCTGAGGCAGGAGAATTGCTTGAACCCCAGAAGCGGAGGTTGTGGTGAGCTGAGATCATGCCATTGCACTCCAGCCTGCGCAACAAGAGCGAAACCCCATCTCAAAAATAAATAAATAAATAAAATTTTAAAAAAATTAAAGCACAGATGAAGGTATCCTTGCAGATGGTCATTTGTCTTTTTTTTTTTTTTTTTTTTTTTTGAGACGGAGTCTTGCTCTGTCACCCAGGCTGGAGTGAAGTGGCACAATCCGGGCTCACTGTAAGCTCCACCTCCCGAGTTCACACCATTCTCCTGCCTCAGCCTCCTGCGTAGCTGGGACTACAGGCATGTGCCACCACGCCCAGTTAATTTTTTTTTTTTTTTTGTATTTTTAGTAGAGACGGGGTTTCACCATGTTAGCCAGGATGATCTCGATCACCTGACCTCATGATTCGCCTGCCTCGGCCTCCCGAAGTGCTGGGATTATGGGGGTGAGCCACCACGCCCAGCCCATTTGTCCTTTTTTTAATCAAAAGATTTTAAAAGTACAAGTACTGCCACAGAGTGCAGGTCTGCAAAGTGTTTCGACTCTACAAAAGAGTGTTTGTATTTTAAAAGTTCAGGAACCATTTTACGGACTAAGACACTGAGGCCCTAGGAGATAGGGCTTCTTGGCCAAGTTGCAGAGCCAGCTGGGGCCCAGGGAGTTTAATCCAAGTGGTGTGGGTCTCCCTTTCTCTCTGTTCAGGGAAGTGCCCCCTTCATCCCCTCAGAGAAGGGCCCCAGGACTGCAGGACAGGCCATGGGGGGTGCAACCTTGGGAGGCATGAAGCTTGAGGAACTGAAGGGCTAGGAGAAATTCAAGGGCTGGGCACAGTGGGTCACACCTATAATCCCAGCATTTTGGGAGATCAAGGCAGGTGGATCACCTGAAGTCAGGAGTTCAACACCAGCCTGGCCAACATGGTGAAACCCCGTCTCTACTAAAAGTACAAAAAAATTAGCTGGGCGTAGTGGCAGGTGCCCATAATCCCAGCTACTTGGGAGGCTGAGGCAGGAGAATGGCTTGATCCCAGGAGGCAGAGGTTGCAGTGAGCCGAGATTGCGCCATTGCATTCCAGTCTGGGCAACAAGAGGGAAACTCCATCTCAAAAAGAAAAGAAAAAGAAATTCAAAGGCAAGGTTAGACTGTCTCTTAACAGACTGGGGACAACCCCAAGAAATAAGAAGGCACCCCCAGCCTCACCTGTTATTTACTTCTCAGAGCCTTCTGTGAGTCCAGCATTTGCAGGTCCTGCCATGGAAGAAGCCGGCTCTGGGTGGACAAGCAGGAAGACAGGAGGGTGGCCCTGGGTATACCATACCACTGGGCTCATGATATAGACCCCCCCAGTGGAAGGAAGCAAAGGAAAGACATTTCTGGGACATTTAGTGTAGGCCCAGCACTGTGTTTTTACAAGCGAGTATTTTTGTTTTTAATCTCAACAACCCTATGACTCCCATTTATACAGATACACCTCAGACCAGTGAAAAGCAGTTAAAAGGCAGAGCCGGCACTTAAACTTGACCCCACAACGTGGCCTGATCTGTGTTCTGGGGGTCTCCCCAGGCGCCGAGCTGCCAGGAGAAGGGTTGCCAGAGGGAAAGAGGAGGAGGTGTTGGCCCAGCCCCCACAGCCCCAGCCCAGGCGAACATCCTCTCAGCCTGCCTTTATTGTTCACAAAACCGAAAAAGTGATGATGGTTTTCCTTCCTCTCTTTAAGAAAACAACAGAATCAAAACAAACAGAGAAGGGGAACTCCCCTCCTGTAGCTTTTGCCAGAAATGAAAGGAAGAAATAATCCCCGTCATGACCTGGGCCGCCTCACTGCTGCAACAGGGTCTGGGAGGGGAAGAGAAAAACCCCTGCCCCCCGACCATAAAACCCAGAGTTTCTGCTTCCTGATACTGATACAAGCTCAACCTCACCCCCAGCAAATCCCTCACTGTCCTCTGTCCATCACCTCACACCGAAGATCTGACACACACACACACACACACACACACACATACACACAGCTGAAGCAGCTGAAACTTCCCAAAGAGCTTTAGTAAATCCTAAGGAAGGGCAAAGAGGAAATAAAAACATACAAGTCCAGGAAATAAAAACAGCCCTCAAAATGCATTCCAGCATGTTTGACCCCCCATAGTCACTTCCCACTTGAGGCTCCCAGGTCCTACCCCATTTCTCACTCCAGAGCTACCTGCACTGAGGCCCCCAAAGGACTAGAATAGCCTCACAGGGTCCTTTCCAAGCTCTAGATTTGGGCTTGCCTGTATCTCAGCTGCCTCAACAATCAAAGTCTAGAGCAGCGTAGAGCTTATGGTAATACAGGACACCAGATCCCATCCTCACAGGAGCCCTCTCATTCATAACTTAATATAGCTTTTAATTCCAGATAGCTTGTGCTGATTGGCTCACTTGGAGTGACTGGCAGCCTTCAGAGATCACTCTGTCCACAGTACACAGGGTTGTGGCCTTAAAGGCTCAGCAAGGTCATCATTTCTGAGCCTACAGTAACAGCCCTGTGGTCTCACAGAATGGGACCACCTGGTCAGCCTCATTCTTTAACAGGGACTCTAGGGCCCATAGCACCTTTTGAAAACTTCTGGATAAATTAAGGAATTTGTCTGTGGTCTGGATTCAAGGTCAGCGGGAGAACAGTTTTTCTCCATTATTACTAATTAGCCTCAGCAAAGACTAAATGACTACTTAGTAATATACTCAGTACTGTACCTGGTCCTGTGGGAAATGTACATATGAAGATAGATGAGTCTCAAAGCCTCTCAGGGGCAAGAGAAGGATGGAGGCAGGGAGAGGTTTCTGCCTAAACAATCAGAAAAGAGTCTATATGAAAACTCCTCTAAGAGCTGTTGGAGGGTTGGAGGGGATAAGGCAGCATGTGTGACATTGCTAACTGTTTGAGGATTATGGACCACAATGACCTGAGCTCCCTGAGGTCAGAAAATGTCTTGCCCCTTTTGGGTCTCAGGACTGATAGGTCCTGCACTTAGGAGGGGCTCAATTGGCATCTGTTGGGTGAATCACCATTTTCTGGCTTCACTGGCAGCAGATGGTCAGAGGAGGTCAAGCAATGATTATTCTCCTGAAGAAGAGACCAGACCAGGGCTGAAGCCAGATCTTCTACCTCTCTGAGCAATCCCTTTTTCTCAGCAGCCTCAATGCCCCACTCAGCCTTCAACCTTTCTCAACTGAACAGCAAGATAGTTATCCTCCTTTGCATTGTGGCTTTTTTTTTTTTTTTTTCGAGACGGAGTCTAGCTCTGTCACCAGGCTGGAGTGCAGTGCGCGATCTCGGCTCACTGCAACCTCCACCTTCTGGGTTCAAGCAATTCTGCTGCCTCAGCCTCCCAAATAGCTCGGATTACAGGCACGCGCCGCCACACCCAGCTAATTTTTGTATTTTTAGTAGAGACAGGGTTTCACCATGTTGGCCAGGATGGTCTTGATCTCCTGACCTCGTGCTCCACCCAACTCGGCCTCCCAAAGTGCTGGGATTACAGGTGTGAGCCACTGTACCCAGCCTGCACTGTATTTTTAATATATTCTCCAAGTGGCCTCTGGAGTTATTGTGCCAAAACACAGGTCAGATTATGTAATTCCCTTCCTCAGAAGCCTTTGCTGGCTCCCCATTGCCTGATGAATAAAGTCCTGGCTCTTTAGCCTGGCAATTAAGGCTGTTACTGCTGCTTCTCCCATCCCTCCATCCCCTGGAACTGGAATAAGCAGAGTGGCTAAAGGCTCAGGCTCCACACACAGGCTCCTGAGTTAAGATTCTGGCTCCACTCCAGAGCCTCTTTCTGAGCCTCTGTTTCCTGTTTATAAAATGGAAATAAGAAGAATGTCCACCTGTGAGGATTAAATAAGGTAGGTTTTTTGTTTTGTTTTGTTTTGTTTTGTTTGTTTGTTTTTTGAGACAGGGTCTCGCTCAGTCATCCAGGCTGGAGTGCAGTGGCTTAATCTCAGCTCACTGTAGCCTCCCAGGCTCAGGTGATTCTCCCACCTCAGCTTCCAGAGTAGCTGGGACTACAGGCGTGCACCACCACACCCAGCTAATTTTTGTATTTTTTGTAGAGACTGTTTTTGGCCATGTTGCCCAGGCTGGTCTTGAACTTACGGGCTCAAGCAATCTGACTGCCTCGGCCTCCCAAATTGCTGGGATTATGGGCATGAGCCACCACGCCTGGCCAAACAAGGTAAGCTCTGCATAGAGATACAGTAGGCCCTCCCTATCCTCAGGCTCCACATCAATGGATTCAACCAACCACGGATGGAAAGTATACTAAAAACATGATAAAAATAACAATACAATGAAAAATGATACAACATTTTAAAATACAGCATAATAAATATTTACATAGCACCCAGGCCTAGTGGCACACGCCTGTAATCCCAACACTTTGGGAGGCTGAAGCAGGAGGATTGCTTGAGCCTGGAAGTTCAAGACCAGACTGAGCAACATAGAGAGATCGTAGCTGTACAAAAAATTTTTTTAATGAGCTGGGCGTGGTGGTGTGTCCCTGTAGTCTCAGCTAATCCAGAGGCTGAGGTAGGAGGATCATTTGAACCTGGGAGGTCGAGGCTGCAGTGAGCCATGATCAAGCCACTGCACTCCAGCCAGGGGCCACAAAGCAAGACCTTATCTCTACAGGAAAAAAAAAAAAAATACATAGCATTTACATTGTATTAGGTATTATAAGTAATCTAGAGATAATTTAAAGTATACCTGAGTCATTCATGCCTGCTTAGCCAAAAATAAAGTATGCAAGAAGTTAGGTGTGGGTTATTTGTAAATACTATGCCATTTTATATCACGGACTTGAGCTTCTGTGGATTTCAATATCCATGGGAGTCTTGGAACCAATCCCCCCGCCACAATACCCCTAGGATACAGAGGGAGGGACAACTGTTCACAGAGGAGCTCCCAACACTTGTTGGGTTTCCTCAACATTGCAAGGATGATAGTTTTGTCTTCTCCAATGGCCCAGGAAGCTTTTTGAGGGCAGGTACCATGTGATACTTGCCTTGTGTCCACACCCACACCACCCCCATTGTGGACCACTGGACCATTGTGGGAGCTCAGTTCTATGGACTGAGTGGTTCTGTAGACCCAACAGTGGATAGGGCCAAGACAGGGGGCCTGGGAGATTGTGGATATCATCACCCCCTGGCCCTGGTGCACTCATACTCAGTTCTTAAGACCCAGCTCTTTCTGACTCCTCCAGAAAGACTTCTCTGTCCCTCAGGCTGGGTCAGGCCCCTCAGCGTCCCACTGCACACATGGCAGATAAGTCTTGATCGATGTGCTGTGATAAAGCAGTTATCTGTGTGTACAGCTGGCTCCCCAAGAGACCGTGCCCTCCCTTCTCACTATTCTCTGGAGTCAGGCTCTGTAGCAGCCCAACATGGTTTTGATGAATGAATTAATAAATTTGCTCTGTGATCATGAGCAAATTCCCTCTGTCCTGTTCTCAACAACGGGAAGGCACTATCTTTACTAGATAAGTGAGAGGAAGGGGCCCGGAGGTGGAGGAGGCAGGGCCAGAGGAGGAATGGAGTGGCTCGTGACACCCACTGTGGGCAGATGGGATCTGTTAGGAGTGGCTTTGGCTCACTGGGGCAGGCCAGGGTGGAGAACTGTCACATACCCTGGTGTACCTCTGGCAAGGAGCTCTGGTGCCATGTGGGAATAGAAGTGCATGGTCCCTTGGCAAGGCTAACGTTTTGTTTTTAAAGAAGTCTGTGTTTCCAGCCTCTTCCTATCTAGTGACCTGGTCCCTGAGACCTGCCCACCCTCCCGGGCCATAGCACCAGCCATGCGACCTTGAACCGGTCACCACTCATCCCTGAACCTCCAAGTTCTCAGCTCTACTGACAGGGCTGCAGTGCCTTCATGGGCTGGTGCCTGCCTGGGAGGGAGCCCAGGGATAGAAGCCTGGTTCGCTGGCCACCTCCCGCTGGGGCGTTGGCCCAGGCTGCCAGGTTTCACGTTTCAGCTTTCAGAGTGTTTTCTTGTCTAGGGCACTTTCTATTTTTCAATACTTTTCCTATCACAGCCAAACAACAAAAAAGGAAATTGGTTGAGCCTTCTGAAGACCAAGGTCTGGGAGGGTGGGGGTGGGCAGAACCCACCATGGGAAAAGCTGGAGTCAGGGCTGAGGGAGGAGAGGCCTCTCCACCCGATTCCCCAGCACCCCTGCTCCCCTTCCTCCGGGGCTGACTCATTGTTTTGCAACAAACAGCCGGCAGCCAGGTCCCAGCAGTTTCTCAAGCCTGGCCCCCAGGCTGGCTGGGCTCAATCCTGGCCCTCCCAACTGCCTGGCCAGGCCCTGAACGATTGAGTTATCTCCACTCGCATCCCCTTTGTTTGGGGCGGCTACTTGCCCACTCAAGGTAAACAAATTCTGGGCCTGTGTGAAAAGAAAGGAACGGTTATCTCTGAGGCCCTCAGCGGCCTGGCTGGGGAGCAAGACTTTCAGAGGCTTCTGTCTCCAAAGAGAGGAGGGATTTCGGAGCATAGCGTCCAGAGGCCAGCTGCCTGGGTTCAAGCTCCACCTCGGCCACTGACTGCTGATGACCTTGGGCAAGTCCCTGACCTTCTGCTTCAACTTTTTTACCTGTAAAATTTGGGCACAATAATATCTATATCATAAAGTTGTTCTGAGGATTGATGAGTTCATATTTATAAAATGCTACATAAAGGATGTGAGGTTTTTTGGGGTTTTTTTGTTTTATTTTGTTTTTTGAGACCGAGTCTCGTTCTGTTGCCCAGGCTGGAGCGCAGTGGGGCAATCTTGGCTTACTGCAACCTCTGCCTCCCGGGCTCAAGCGATTCTTCTGCCTCAGACTCCTGAGTAGCTGGGACTACAGTCACACACCTCACACACCACCACGCCCAGCTAATTTTTATATTTTTAGTAGAGACAGGGTTTCTCCTTGTTGGCCAGGGTCGTCTCGAACTCCTGACCCCAGGTGATCCACCCGCCTCAGCCTCCCAAAGTGCTGGGATTAGAGGTGTAAGCCACCGCACCCGGCCTGATGTGAGTTTTTTAAAAAGCTACGTACAAGAGATGTTAAATGGGGGAAAAGGTGGGGGGTCCACAGGTAACATTAAATAAACTCAACACCCAAGGCCAGGCTCAGAGGGATTTTCCAGTGCCCCCTCCTCCACCCCACACCTGCTCCCACCCCCACCCCCTCCCCAGCAGGCCAGGCTCCTCCACTCTGCATCCCTGAGCCAGGGCATCGAACGGCCCAGCGGGGTCGGTACCGAGGCCCTAAGCTCCTTTTCAAATGGAAGCCGTACAGGGGAAATCCTCCAGGGAGGTAGGCGCCAGCCTGGGAGGATCTGGCCACCTGAGGACTTACTCAGAGAGGCTTTGGGGTTTGCATCCAGAGCTTTTGGAATTTCAAAAAGATGTCCCCACAGACGATGGGCCTGCAGGGGTGAAATGATGGAGGGAGGGTGGCCATGTCACCACCTCTCACCCACGGTGGGCTCTGTCCTACCATTTTCTTGTCTGGACTGATTTTTCCAAATAGCTGATTTCTCAGGCTCCAGATTCCAATCTGGTCCTGACACTTACTAGCTGGGAGACTTTGAGCGAGCTACTTTCTTTCTCTCAAGCTCCGTTTCCTTGTCTGTAGCAGGACATATTAATCCCTGCCTTGCATGGTGGGCAGGGTAGTAGATGAGGCAGCACAGGCCAAGCTCTTTGTGTGGGGCCTGGGTGTGAGGCCAGGGTTCCATTTGTGGTGTCCTCTCCCTCTCCCCCACCCCCACCCTTGTCTCCACCCCAGCTCCATCCCTAAGCCACACTATGGCCTTGAATAGCTCCTGTCTCAGCTTTTGTGCTGAGTGCCTGAGAATCTCCGTACCCCTAATCTGACTCCATTTGGTTGCCCCCACCCCACTCTAGCTCCAGCATCCTTTCTGGTGAGTCTAAGCACCTGGGGTCTGGATCCTCAGCCTCTCCCTTCCTGGTTCTCCCAAGGGTGCCAATATTGCATGAAGCTAACAGAGTGTACTTGAGAGCCCAAGAGATTGGGGTGACATCTAGGCTCCTCCACTCACTGGCAGCGAGACCCTAGCACAAGCCATGGGTCCTCCCCAAGCCTCTGTCACTCACTCATTTATTCAGCACATGTCTCTGAGCACCTGCTCTGTGCCTGACATTACGCTGGGTGCCGCAGGTACAATGGTGAACGACACAGACCCAATCCCTGCCCTGGGAGAGTGAATCATCTAGCAACGGAGACAAATATTCAATACACACCCAACGCATAGTTAGTGAGTATTGCAGAGAGTGAAGGGTGCGATGGGATCAGATTTCCCAGCGGGCCCAAGAGAGGGTATCCCTAAAGCTTACACCAGCAACTGAAGGATATCTAGGAATGATAGGAGCTAGGGAAGTAGAGATGGGGAGAGCACTGGACAAACAGCAGAAACAGCATGTACAAAAGCCCTGAGGTCAGAAGAGCTGGGTACTCCTTGTACTGAAAGGAGGCCACAGTGAGGGAGCAAAAGATAGACCAAAGATGAGGTTGGGAAGTAGACAGGGCTGAATCTGGCGAGAACACACAGGTCTTGGGAAGGACTCTTGACTGGAACCAGTGAGTGGTTTTAAGTGGTGGGGGGCATGGCTGCAGTTCTTGCTGTACTCCAGTAGCTGAAGGGGTAATGGCTTAGAGCGGGTTTCAGGAGACCAGGGAGGAGGCTATCTTCCAGGGGAAGAGTGGTTGGACTTGGAGGGGATAGTGGAGCCGGAGAGAAGGGGCAGAGCCAAGATGTGCGCAGGGAGTGGGTACAATAGGACCTGGTGATAGGGCAGTTATGGAGGTCAAAGGAGAAGATGTCAAATATACCGCTCAGGTTTCTGACTGGGGAAACTGGGTGGGGCCAGTTACTGAGATGGGAAACCCCAGAGGAGGGGCAGATTTGTTGGGAGAAGGGAGAGCAGGAATTTAGTTTTTGAGATCTATTTTTGAGATATCCCTAGCAAGTAAGCAACTGGATATATCAGTATTTTTTTTTTTTAAAAAGAAGGGGTCTCACCATGTTGGCCAGACTGGTCTTGAACTCCTGGCCTCAAGCAATCTTCCCACCTTGGCCTTGAAAAGTGCTGGGATTACAGTCTTGATTTTAAAAGAAAGGGGCTGGGCACCATGGCTCACACCTGTAATCTGAGCACTTTAGGGGGCCGAGGCAGGTGGATCACTTGAGGTCAGGAGTTTGAGAGCAGCCTGGCCAACATGGTGAAACCCTGCTTCTACTAAAAATACAAAAATTAGTCAGCATGGTGGCACACGCCTATAATCCCAGCTACCTGGGAGGTGAGGCACGAGAATCACTTGAACCCAGGAGGTTGCAGTGAGCCGAGATCAGGCCACTGCACTCCAGCCTGGGCAACAGAGTGAGGCTCCATCTCAAAAAAAAAAGTATCAAAAAAATAAAAATGCCAGTGCGGTGGCTCATGCCTGTAATCCCAGCACTTTGGGAGGCCGAGGGAGGCGGATCACCTGAGGTCAGGAGTTCGACACCAACCTGGCCAACATGGTGAAACCCCATATCTACTAAAAACACAAAATTAGCTGGGGGTGGTGGCGCATGCCTGTAATCCTAGCTACTCAGGAGGCTAAGGCAGGAGAATCACTTGAACCCGGGAGGCAGAGGTTGCAGTAAACTGAGATTGCGCCATTGCACTCCAGCCTGGGCAACAGGAGTGAAACTCTGTCTCGAAATAAATTAGTAAATAAATTAATTAAAAATAAAAGAAACATCAGCTGGGTGCAGTGGCTCACACCTGTAATCCCAACATTTCGGGATGCCGAGGAGGGCGGATCACTTGAACTCAGTAGTTTGAGACCAGCCTAGGCAACATGGCGAAACCTCATCTCTACAAAAAAATATAAACAATTAGTCAGGCATGGTGGTGCACACCTGTAGTCCCAGGTACTCGGGAGCTTAGGAGGCTAAGGTGGGAGGATCACCTGAGCCTGGGAGGTGGAGGTTGCAGTAAGCGGAGATTGTGCCACTGAACACAAGCCTGGGCAACAGAGTGAAACCCCGTCTCAAATAAGTAAAACAAAGAAATTTTCTAGATTGAAAATTGGAAATCGTAGAGGTGGAATTAAAAGACAGGAATGGGAAGATTGTTTGGGAGAGAGTAATCACGGCTCTCAAATAATCAGCCAAAGAGAACTCAGCCCAGGGCCTGAAGACCACCCCACTTAAACGTCCGGTGAAGTCGGAGCCTCAGTTTAATCAAATGTAAAATGTTGGTAGGCGCACCCGCAGCTCACAGCATAACTGAGAAGTCTATTAAGTAATGGATGTAAGGCACTTATCCGGTGCCTGGCACACAGCAAATGAGCAATAAATGCTGGGGAGGAATGCTGTGATGATGCATGTGGTCAATGACTTTCTTTAATTGCAAGTAATAGAAACTCAGACTTGCTTTAGAAAAAGAAGCGTTTGCCGGATGTGGTGGCTCACAACTGTAATCCCAGCACTTTGGGAGGCTGAGGCAGGCGGATCATCTGAGGTCAGGAGTTCAAGACTAGCCTGACCAACATAGTGAAACCCCATCTCTACTAAAAATACAAAATTAGCCAGGCGTGGTGGCACACGCCTGTAATCCTAGCTACTAGGGAAGCTGAGGCAGGAGAATTGCTTGAACCTGGGAGGCGGAGGTTGCAGTGAGCCAAGATCACATGAGGCGTTTATTCAAAGAATTTGGGTAGCTCCTACATCAGAGGAAGAACTGTCGCCAAGCCACACACAGTGGAAGGGCAGGAACGCAGGCCTCTCCCGACTCTCACTGAATCCCTTCCTGGTGGGATCAACTTCCTTCTCTCCTGAATTTTTTGACTTCCCTGTGGTAGGCAACACAGCTGCTGGCCAGGCCTGAGGTTCACATCTTGATGTTCCTGCTCACACAGAGGGACTTATACTCTCTCTGATCCCACGTGAACAAGACTCTTAGGGAAGGACCCCGATTGGCTGGGCTTTGCTCAGATGCTACCCCTGCACCAGTCAGTATGGAGGAGCAAAGGGACTGGCGTGTACCATGACATGATGGTGCCATGGAGGGCAGGAGGAGGGAAAGGACAGATACTTCATCAGCAAAACAATAGGCAGCCCCTTCACATTACTGCGGAAATGTGCTTGCAGTCAAAACTGCATTTAGTGCCTGTAGGCACGTTCCCTGGGGCTGTTTCCATCTATAGATCCTGGCACTCAGGGGAACCCCCACCCCACCACTCCCACTCCCAATCACATGGATTCACCAGCAACCTCCTCACATATCTCTAGTCCATGGTGTCTTCCCCCACCGTCCCCCCACCCCAGTTCCCCGGCGCCCAGGCAGCACCTGTAGATGAACCTCCCCTTGGCCCTACTTTGAAGGGGGCCCCTTCTCAGAGCCTTTAATGGCCAGACCCCAGGATTGAGTTTTCTTGACCTGACCTCTCCAAAGTTTCTCTCTCCTTCCATCACTGCTGGTCTCATATCAGTCCAGCTCACCCCCGCCTTCCTCCAGGAAAGGACTCCTGACCTCATTAGGCTCGCGCCCCCTCCCGCTGACCTCCGAATGGGCTGCTACAAGTTCATGGTTCACCTACAGGGAGTGGCTGCGCACACCAGTCACTGAGGTGAGTAAGTGCTTCATCTCTCTCAATCCCGGAACAGCAGACACCACCGTCCCTAGGTGACAGAGAAGAAACAGAGGTTCAGAGAGGCTTAGTAACATGCCATGACTCACACCAGTGGTTAGTTAAAAAACCAGGACTTGAATCCAAGGCTGACTTGATGACCGATCTGAAAAACTTCGCTTTGTTTCATGGGTCAGCAAACTATGGTTTGAGCTCCCAAGTAGCTGAGGCTACAGTTGACCTGTGGGCCCGGTTTTACCCACTGTCTGCTTTTGTGCAGCCTGAGAGCTAGAATGATTTTTTACGTGGTTGCAGGGAGAAAATCAAAAGCAGCATAACACTCTGGCACATGTGAAAATCATATGAAATTAAAATGTCAGTGCCCGTTAAAAAATGTTATTGAAGCACAGTTGTGCCCAGTCAGGTATGGCCAAGTTGGGTAGTTGTGACAGAGACAAAAGACTCCAAAGCCTTATTCTTTTTACATCTGGCCCTTTACAGAAAGCATTTGCTGGGCCCTGCGCTAAAGGGTTCTCCCACAGCCCCAGGGGCCCTAAACACACTGCCTGAATCTAGGGGTTGCTGGAAGACCCTGGAGGAAAAGTAAGGTGGATTTCAGCCCTTTGTACACCCAGGTACTCAAGATTTGCTAAAGGCTCAAGACCTGAAAACATCCAGAAAATGCCTCTAAACCAACCCCTACTGGTGTTCCCCGCTGAGCCAGACTATCTGTCCGAGGGTCTGCGGTGGGACACCTTGGTCCCTACAGGATCTGACTCATCTGGTGGAGTGCTCTTCCGGTCTTGTTTAGTTTTCAAAGAAACAACTTCCAGGAAAACAGCAGAAGGAAGAAGGCTTCATGGGAAGAATGAGTCAGAGAGTTGTTATGGGGACTGCATGGGACCCAGAAAGAAAATACTAAGCCTGAAAGGATAGCAAGTGACAGGTGCTGATGACCTGCAACTCTTAGGGGGAGGAGGAGGGAAATAGGGAATTCTGGAAACCTGTGTGGGACTTTTGCATAAATTAGAAAAAGGTGGCCGGGCGTGGTGACTCACGCCTATAATTCCAGCACTTTGGGAGGCTGAGGCAGGTGGATCACCTGAGGTCAGGAGTTCAAGACCAGCCTGACCAACATGGTGAAACTCCGTCTCTACTAAAAATATAAAAAATTAGCCGGGCGTGGGGGCGGGTGCCTGTAATTCCAGTTACTCGGGAGGCTGAGGCAGGGGAATCGCTTGAACACAGGAGGCAGAGGTTGCAATGAGCCAAGATTGCGCCATTGCACTCCAGCCTGGGCGACAGAGCAAGACTACATCTCGAAAAAAAAAAAAGAAGGAAAGAAAAAGGCTCCCCTTCCTCCTGCCCAACAAGGACGCCCTTGGTGAGTGGGGAGGGAGCTGTAGTTCAGCCCCGCCTTGCGCCCACCCCCAGGCCAGACACGCTTATGTAGTGCTCCCATTTCACAGCTGTCTGTGGCAGCCTGACTTGACCTGACAGTAGGCAGGTCCTGAACCAGCTTGGGTTTCCTGAGTTTCCCTCTAACTCTGCTCCTCACTCAAGCCAGTCCACCAGCCTTCCTGGGTTTGTTTCTTCTTCTGTATAATGGGAATGTCTGTCCTGTCTCCCTCCGGCAGTTCTGGGTATGCAATGATGAAGCAGATGTGGACACCAGGGTGGAGGGTTTTGATGTCAACCAAAGGACCAAATGGAAGCCTTCCATTTGGGGTCCTCCAGAAGCTGCTATTTACAGAAAAGGCTTTGTTGTCATTTTTAAAAACAGATATGGTGAAGAAAATTTGGAAAACAGAGGGGTGTAGTGCCCACAGTCTACCATGGCTAACATCATTCCTACACTCTATCTTGCTTTGGGGGCCAGGGAGGGAAGACACTTGAGCATTACTTCTCAAATGTCTCAACTTTCCCGGAGGAAATTGTTAAAAAGCAGGTTCTGGTTCAGAAGGCCTGGAGTGGGGCCCAAGAGTCCTCGCTTCTAACAGAGTCCCAGGTGACGCCCATCTGACACTCGGAGTCTCATGGGACCGAGAAGACCTTAGCGCAGGTTGAAGAGGTGAGGCCAAGGTGTCCTTGCCCTGAGGGGTAGTGGGAGCCCTGGAAGCTCCTAGCCTGTGGCAGGCCTGCCTCTTGAAGTAAGGCACAGGGGCAGCCTCCCAGGACCCCGGGGATCAGCCAACAGGCTCCACACTGGAAACTGTGGGAGTGAAGACCTCAAGGGCTCAAGCCCTTGGGCGGGGGTGGGAGGAGGTCTCGAGCTGGGGAGGCTGGGAAGGGCTGGGTTTCCCCAGATCAAAGCAGCTTCCCCAGCCTTTGATTCCCCAACAAGCAGCCTCTTTGGACTCGGACTGGAGTTTGGGGCCCGCTGGTCTTAGGGCCTGGGGAAAGTGGTAAGAGGCTCTGGCCTGCTCTCTTTTTGCATAACAGCTTGGCTGCCTAACAAAAGGGCGGTCCTTAAAAGGCCTTATGGGGCTGTTAAAAGCTTCCGGCGATGGTTTAATTGGGGGCGATTAAAGTGTCCTCCCCAGGAAGGCCTGCCCTTCAAAGGCCAGCCAGGCCTGGCTCCCCTGCCCTCAGCACCTCTCCCCGCAGCCTCTCCCAGACTGGTGGCCCGGCCCTCAGCCTCTCCCCTCCCCAGCCTCAGCCACACCTAGGAGGTCCAGGGCCGGACCCTTTGGCCAGCCTGTCTGTAGGGATTCTGTCTCAGCCTGGACAGCAGCACCATCTGCTCACACAGTTTGTTCTCTTGGCTGAGTCTGGCACAAGAGGGAGGGAAGGCTGGGTTAGAGACACAAACAGCCTCAGAAATTGGGGACCCCTTGCAGCACTCTCTCCCCTCAGAACACCTCGACTGGCCTTTGGGCCCCTCCTTGAGCTCCAGGTTACCAGCCCTTCCCCAGGACCCCCACCTGTCTGGAACTTCGTGGTCACTGCTGGGCACCCCATCTCCCACCACACATGAATCTTCAGGCATGTGTGGTGGGAGATGCCTGGAAGTGTGCAATCTTCTGAGCACACTACCTGGAAGGTGTTGGAGATTCAGAGGTGACCAGACAGGGACACCTCCAGGGAGGAGGGGATAGTGGAGGTGTAAGTAGGTGAAAGTGACGGGGCGTGATGTGAGGTGGAAGGAGCCGTGGTGGGGGTGGGCCACAGAGGGCCAGGAAGGACTTTCTGGAAGCAACAGCGCCTACAGTTAGAATGTGACCAGCTTAACTGGGCCCATTTGCCAACCCTGATGTTAACAACAGGACCACATCCAGCTTTACTAACAGACTTTGTCCACACCACCAACTCTGGGCTCCTGGGAGGGAGGTGGGGTAGACGGCCCATCCAGTCTAGAATAGCCACTCTGGGGGCATCTAATTCTTTTTTTCCTTGAGACAGGGTCTCGCTCTGTCACCCACGCTGAAGCGCAGTGCTGCAAACACGGCTCATTGCAGCCTCCACTTCCTGGGCTCAAGCCATTCTTCTTCCTCAGCCTCCTGAGTAGCTAGGACTACAGGCACGCACCACACCTGGCTAATTTTTGTTTTTTTGTGTGTAGTGACAGGGTTTCACCATGTTGCCCAGGCTGGTCTCCAACTCCCGGGCTCAAGTGATCCACCCAAAGTATCGGGATTGCAGGTGTTAGCCACTGCGCCCAGCTGGCATCTGATTCATACATTTCCCCAGAGCCCACCTTCCCTCTCAGATATTATACATTCTTTTGTCTGAACCTTAGGAGCTGCTTTGGATGCAACTTGCCTGTCTCATCCCCTCAGGCCCATCACCCAAACAAAACTCAGAGCCTTCTCCCCTGGGGTGCTCTGTTTCCTGCATGAATCTTGCTCTCATCTCCCCGTCCGTGCCCATCCTAGATGGGGTGCCAGGGCCAAGGGTCTTTAGGATTTTCACCTCCTGTGTCAGCATCAAGGTAAGGAAAGCCCCCCCACCTTTTTTTTTTTTTTTTTGAGATGGAGTCTTGCTCTCGTTGCCCAGGCTGGAGTGCAATGGCATGATCTTGGCTCACTGTAACCTCCCGCCTCCCAGGTTCAAGCAATTCTCCGGCCTCAGCCTCCCGAGTAGCTGGGATTGCAGGCAGGCACCACCACACCTGGACAATTTTTGTATTTTTAGTAGAGACAGGGTTTCGCCATGTTGACCAGGTTGGTTGACCTTGAGCTCCTGACCTTGTGATCCGCCCACCTTGGCCTCCCAAAGTGCTGGGATTACAGGCCTGAGCCACTGCGCCGATCCAAGGCCATGATTTTTTACAGTGTAAGTGCTGGAGGAAAGCAAGCCCAAGGCAGGGGGCAAGGGGGCGTAGGCTGGAAGAACAGGCTGCAGAGGGACTCCCTTCTGAATGCCCTGGGGCGAGGTGTCCCCAGGTATCCCTCTGCCCTCCTGACAGCTTTCCTGTCCAGTCCCAGCAGCCTATTCTGAACCTGTCATCAAGCACTGAGCCCCCAGCCGCGGTGCCTCCCTCACGTGAGGCTCCTGTCTCCTGACGGCCTTCTGCCTGGGTTTCTCCCTCCAACAGGGCCTGCTCTTTGCTGCCAAGCTCAGCCTGAGCGATGCTGGGGCTCCCCTCACAAGCCTCCAAGCGTTCCCCCCTCCATGGCAGCTGGACATTGCAAACCCTCCCTGACCACTCCCCACCCCAATCATCACCCTCACTTCCATCCTCCAGGAAGGGCTGTGGCCTCACAAGCTCCTGGTGACCCCAGCCATGCTGTGTTCCTTCCTGCCCACACTCGCCCTGGCCCCTCTTCAGGGAAGTGGTACCTTCCCTTCCTCTGGATCTCTGTGGACTCTGCTGGTCCTTCAAGGGCCTGCTTATACGTCTCCTCCTCCAGGAAGCTTCCCTGAACATGCCAGTCAAGAACACATTCTCGGCCGTGCGGTGGTTCACACCTATAATCACAACGCTTTGGGAGGCTGAGGTGGGTGGATCACCTGAGGTCAGGAGTTCGAGACCAGCCTGGCCAACATGGTGAAACCCTGCCTCTACTAAAAATACAAAAATTAGCTGGACGTGGTGGTGGGCGCCTGTAATCCCAGCTACTCAGGAGGCTGGGGCAGGAGAATCACTTGAACCTGGGAGGTGGAGGTTGCAGTGAGCCGATACCTTGCCATTGCACTCCAGCCTGGTCAACAGAGAGAGACTCTGTCTCAAAAAAAAAAAAAAAAGTAGGCAGGTGTGGTGGCATGCACCTGTAGTCCCAGCTACTTGGGAGGCTGAGGCAAGAGAATCGCTGGAACCCAGGAGGTGGAGGTTGCAGTGAACCGAGATCGAGCCGCTGCACTCCACCCTGGGCGACAGGGCAAGACTCTATCTCAAAAAAAAAAAAAAAAAAAATTAAAAAACAAACAAAAAACCACATTATCTTTCAAATGGCTGTAGAACTTACTATGTGCTAGGCACCGCACTGAGCCCTGGGTCTCATCTAACCCCCACAGCAACCAGAAGCAGCAAATGTACTCTACTATCACCTCTTTGTTGTAGATAAGAAACAAAGGCAGCCAGGCGTGGTGGCTCACGCCTGTGGGAGCACTTTGGGAGGCCGAGGCGGGTGCATCACTTGAGGTCAGGAGTTCGAGACCAGCCTGGTCAACATAGTGAAACCCTGTCTGTACTAAAAATACAAAAATTAGCCAGGCTTGGAGGCATGTGCCTGTAATACCAGCTACTGGGGAGGCTGAGGCAGGAGAATCGTTTGAACCTGGGAGGTGGAGGTTGCAGTGAGCTGAGATCACGCCACTGCACTCCAGCCTGGGTGCAAGACTCTGTCTCAAGAAAAAAACAAAAAACAAACAAACAAACAAACAAAAAACCAAAAACTGAATGGCTGGCCTCAGCAAACCATTCTGAATTGCTCAGGACTGAAGGGTTTCCCAGGACAGGCTTTCCACTCTGAAACTGGGAAAGCCCCAGGCAACCCAGGGCAAGTCGGTCACCCTTCTGTTACCCGAGAGGCTGGCCTCTGCCTCCATCAGTTCCCTGAAACAGTGTCCAAAGGCCACCATCAACCTTCAGAGGCCTCTCCCTTCTCCTGCCCATGGGGTGGTGTAAGGCTGGGCAGTACCCAACTGCCCTTCAGGGATGCAGTGGGGCTGGATGAGGGGCAGGGCAGTGCCAGCCTGGAGCAATGCCACCCTCCAGCCCAGCCTCACTGGTCGCACCACCTCTCCCTAAGCTGGCTGCTGGGCTTGGGCCCTTTATCATCCCCTCACACTATCAGGCCGCTGAAGGAGTATCTCCTCCGCGCCCACCCCAGCTTCTGCCCTGACCCAGATAAGCTGAGGGGCCAGCCCAGGAGGAGAGAGGCAAAGCTGTAGCCTGGCTCTTCCCCAGCCCTGAACCTCCCTGCCTGGCCCTTGGGTGGAAAGCAGCAGAGACTCCTCTTGGGACTTCTACATCCCAAGATCAGACCGCCTCTCCAACCCCATGGGCAAGGACAGTGGGCAGGAATTCCTGTGCCCACTTGGCAGATGAAAAAATGGAGGCTGGGGGCCGGGCACCGTGGCTCACGCCTGTAATCCCAGCAGGTTGGGAGGCTGAGACGGGCAGATCATGAGGTCAGGAGATCGAGACCATCCTGGCTAACACGGTGAAACCCCATTTCTACTAAAAATACAAAAAAAAAAAAAAAAAATTAGCTGGGCGTGGTGGTGGGCGCCTGTAGTCCCAGCTACTCAGGAGGCTGAGGCAGGAGAATGCTGTGAACCTGGGAGGCAGAGCTTGCGGTGAGCGGAGATCGCGCCACTGCACTCCAGCCTGGGCGACAAAGCAAGACTGTCTCAAAAAAAAAAAAAAAAAAAGAAAAGAAAAAAAAGAAAAAATGGAGGCTGGGTAAGTGACCTGCCCAAGGTCACTGGGCCAGACCCATAGGAAGTCGGGGCTGGACGGGGCCTCAGCATGTCCCAGGGCTCTCTGATGGGGCTTTGTGGAGGATGTTTTCTGAATGAGTCCAGCTGGAGAGGCCAGCCTGCAGATGAGGCCTGTGCACTGCCCCTTCCACAGTCTCCGGCCAGCCTCCCAGCACCGCCTGAGCCCAGAGCCCTCGTGCCTCCTTCCTGCAGGGCTCTTGTCTCCCGACAGCCTTCTGCCTGGGTTTCTTCCTCCAACAGGGCCTGCTCTTTGCTGCCAAGCTCAGCCTGAGCAATCCTGGGGCTCCCCTCACAAGCCTCCAAGCGTTCCCCTCTCCAGGACAGCTGGACATTGCAAACCCTCCCTGACCACTCCCCACCCTGATCATCACCCTCACTTCCGTCCTCCAAGCAGGGGCTGTGGCCTCACAGGCTCCTGGTGACCCCAACTATGCCACGTTCTTTCCTGCCCACACTCGCCCTGGCCCCTCCGCAGGGAAGTGGTACCTTCCCTCCCTCTGGATCTCTGGGGATCCTGCTGGTCCTTCAGGGGCCTGCTTATATGTCTCCTCCTCCAGGAAGCTTCCCTAAAGATGGCAGTCAAAAACACATTCTCCTTCAAATGGCTGTAGCACTTACTATATGCCAGGCACTGTGCTGAGCCCTGGGTCTCATCTAACCCTCACAGCAACCACAAGCAGCAAATTCACTCCACTATTATCACCTCCAGGTTCTAGATTAAAAAACAGAGGCACAGAGAGGTCGGGTAACAGACCCAAGGTCACACAGCCAGAAACAGATCAAGGCAGGATTCAGGCTCTGGCAGTTTGGATCCATGGCATCCACTGGATTAGCAACTCCTTGGGGCAGGGACCATGGGTCAGGACTGGCTTCCTGTAGGAGAAGTCTTAGTATTTGCTTAGAAAGCTCAGAGCTGGACCCCTCCCCCAGACCTCCAGTCCTCAGAGTCCCCTGTAGGAGGCAGCACGGGGAAGGACAGAATTTTGTTTTTATTACCACTCAGCCCAGTTTCTCAAAAGTCACTGCCTGGGCTGAGCAAGGTGGCTCACCCCTGTAATCCCAGCACTTTTGGAGGCCAAGGCAGGCGGCTCACAAGGTCAGGAGTTCAAGACCAGCCTGGCCAATATGGTGAAACCCCATCTCTACTGAAAATACAAAAATTAGCTGGACATGGTGGCATGCATCTGTAGTCTCAGCTACTCCTACTTGGGAGTCTAAGGCAGGAGAATCGCTTGAACCTGAGAGGCAGAGGTTGCAGTAAGCTGAGATTGAGCCACTGCACTCCAGCCTGGGCAACAGAGTGAGACTCTGTCTCACAAAAAAAAAAGAAAAGAAAAAAAAAGTCACTGCTTGGCTTCTTTTTGGTTCTGGCAGGCTGGGCCCAGCCCAAGTGTGGCATGTGAGTGAACCACCCAGAGGAGGGCTGGGGGCTTGGCTCCTGGGGGCTCCAGTAGCTCCCTGCGACCTATCTCTGCCCCTCAAATCCTTCCATTCTAAAGGCCAGCTCCATGCCCACCTCCTCCAAGAAGCGCCAGCTGCTGCCCCCAGGCCAGCCTCCACCTGCTCCCACAGGCTGGGGAGTGGTCAGGGAGGGTTTGCAATGTCCAGCTGCCCTGTCTCCTGTCCCAGGCAGCGATGTGTCCAGGGCTCCATACCAGCTCCAAGCTCTCTGCCTACAGCTCCCTCACATCCACACTCACTGGGTCCCAGCTGGAGACCTGGTGGCTTTGAGAGGATACCGTGGCTTCTTGATGTACCTGAAGACTTTGGAACGCCAGAAGTGTTCAGTCCTGTGATGGGTGTCAGCCAGGCCCAGAAAGCACACAAACTGGGGGACACATATGCTAAGTTATCCAGAAAGCCTCAGGGCTGGGGCTGGAAGAGGAGGGCCTTGCCATCCCAAGGTGCTGGTGTGTCCACACGCCCCTGGGGTGACCGTGTGCATCTGTGTGTGTGTGTTTGTGGGTGGGTGGCTGACTACTCTGAGTTTGTGGGTGATTCATGTGTACCCTCGCGACAGGCTGTGTTCAGATAGTCTGCTTATGTGCTTGAATTCAAGGACACAAACATCCCTAGGTGCAAGCTTGCACGCACAGTCCTCCCTACACCTCCACACGCAACTCCTAATCATCCCTCAGGATCCTCTCCCCGCCCTGCTTCAGCCTTAAGGCCTGCTCTGACCCTCCAGCCCATCCCACTGACCTGCTGACCTTCATCCCAGACACTGCTGGGTTCAGCCCTGGAGCCTGGTCACTCTTGCTCCCTGAGGGTGAGGTTGACTCCTTTTTAAATTACCCCTAAAGCCCCACTTAGGGAGACACAGCCTTATCAATCAACACTCCTTGAATGAATTAAAACAAACTCCAAGGAAAGGAACTGCATTTGGGTGGATGGAAACAAGAGCTCTCAAGCTGTTTTCTTTCCTCTTTACCCTTTGCTCTCTGTCTCTTCCCATCTGTACTTTCTCTAACTTGTTTGCTAACTCAATCGTCAGCTTAGAAAGTACTTCCTTGTATACCCTCCTCTCATTCAAATCTCATGACAATCCTCCAAGACACGAATAATTATCCTCATTGCACAGATGAGGAAACTGAGGTTCAGGGAGGCTACGTGAGTTGCCCAAGGTCACACAGCCTGGAAGGAGTGGGTAGGGACTAGAACCCTCATGCGTGAATGGACACCACCTCCCACCACTCCCCACCAGTAAGTAGAGGGTGGAGGGTAAAGGGCGATCCAGGGGCTCGGAGAGGATTGGCCTCTTCAAGCCCTCTCCATGGCCCAAGGTCACCGTGGGAGGGAGATGCACCTGGCCCCCAGGGCCAGGGGTTACCCCACTCGGCCAGCAATGGGAGAGGCCATGAGATCTGTGGACATTGTTCCTGGGCCTGTGGTTACTGATTTGACAACAGCCCTGTTCCTCCCCAGCCAGCCAGGGAGTTAATGATTAAGGAGGAGATTAAATATTAACCACCTGTGGGGCCACGGCGTAATGTCTCCATCTGCACCTGAGCCTACCTAAAAATCCCTCCCACCTGCCGTGGGCCAGCCCCACACAGGGCCTCTAAGCCCCTTGCTTAGGGATACCACTTCCCCATGCCCCCATCCTGCCCTGGCCCTGGCCCTGGCCCGTGTCCACCCCATCTCACTCTCTCATACCCACAGCACAGACCCAAGGACTCTTCCTGTAGCTTGGAAGCTGCAAGCTACACCACTGTAGGCACTCCTGGTGGGCCTTCTGGAGGAGAGGACCTGCCTGAACCCAGCTACTCCTGGGGCTTGGAGAGTCCGCAGGTTACATTCCTACCTGTGACCTCGTTTATCAGTGCTCTTATCGCTCTTATCTCCCAAGTCGTTCCTCCTAAAGACCCCTCTGAATCTACACATCCCAGGCCCCAACACCCTGGGCTACAGCAACTCCCCAACACGCCATTCTCTTCTTTCTTCTAGCAGTTAGAATCTGGGTGTGTTCTGCCTCCAGGAAGCCTCTCATATTAACCTGGGCTAAGGTCTCTGCGGGCCTCTGCTCCCCAGCTTCCCTTAGGCCGGGGTGATTCAGGCTGGCATTGGCTGCTGCACGGCTGCAGGAAACCAGCTGCATCTGTTGGAAGGTCCTTTGAAGTTTAAGTGCACAGCCTCCGAGCGCTGGGGGCGGGGACTGCTCTATCTCACCTAAGCCTAGGGCCTGCCCCTGGGTGAAGCCATGGTCACCCTCCCCACAGCAGGAACCACAGGCAGTATGACACAGGGTTCACCTGCGTCTTTTTCTATAAATATAGAAAAATGGAATTATTTATTCAAATAATAACTCTATTGATATGCTCTCATTCCTGTTTGTGGGGAAGCCCCAGATGACTGTGTGGGTAAGTTACTATGGTACGTAAGCCCCACCGTAGCCTGGGCCTGCACTGCTCTCTCTGCATGTCAGTGAACTGCATTGACACTGCAGGCCTAGTGACAGGCAATGTCATCCCCATTTTACAGATGGCGAAACTGAGGCTGGGTGAAATTAAAGGACTTGGCCACGCTCAAACAGACAGGAAATGGCAGAAGCTGGCCTGCCTGGTGCAAAAGCCATACAAAACTGAAAAGGACCTAACACCGTTCTTGCCACAGCTGTCTAGGCCCCAAGCTCAGCTTCTTTTCAGCCACAGTTCCCAACCATGTGTGGCTTGCTTGCTTTTCTTTCTTTCTTTCTTTCTTTCTTTCTTTCTTTCTTTCTTTCTTTCTTTCTTTCTTTCTTTCTTTCTTTCTTTCCTTCCTTCCTTCCTTCCTTCCTTCCTTCCTTCCTTCCTTCCTTCCTTCCTTCCTTCTTTCTTTCTTTCTTTCTTTCTTTCTCTCTTTCGAGATGGAGTCTCACTCTGTCACCCTCTGCCTCTCGGGTTCAAGCCATTCTCCTCCTGGGTTCAAGCCGTTCTCCTGCCTCAGCCTCCCGTGTAGCTGGGATTACAGGCACACACCACCACTCCTGGCTAATTTTTGTATTTTTAGTAGAGACGGGGTTTCACCATGTTGGCCAGACTGGTCTCAAACTCCTGACTTCACTCAAGTGATCCACCCTCCTCAGGCTTCCAAAGTGCTGGGATTACCGGTGTGAGGCACCGCGCCCGGCCTTTTTGTTTGTTTTTTTAAGACATGGTTTTGCTTTGTCACCCAGGCTGGAGTGCAGTGGTGCGATCATAACTCACTGCAGCCTTGACCTCCTGGGCTCAAGTGGTCTTCCTGCCTCAGCCTCCGAAATAGCTGGGACCACAGGTGTGCACCACCATGCCTGACTAATTTAAAAAAATTTTTTTAAATCTCAGCACTTTGGGAGGCCGAGGTGGGTGGATCACGAGGTCAGGAGATCGAGACCATCCTGGCTAATGTGGTGAAACCCTGTCTCTACTAAAAATACAAAAAATTAGCGGGGCGTGGTGGCGGGCGCCTGTAGTCCCAGCTACTCTGGAGGCTGAGGCAGGAGAATGGCGTGAACCCAGGAGGCGGTGCTTGCAGTGAGCCGAGATCACACCACTGCACTCCAGCCTGGGCAATAGAGCCAGACTCCATCTCAAAAAAAAAAAAAAAAATTATTTTTGTAGACTTGGGGATCTCATTATATTGCCCAGGCTGGTCTCAAACTCTTGGGTTCAAGCGATCCTCCCTCCTCAGCCTCCCAAAGTGCTGGGATTACAGGCGTGTGCCACTGCGCCTGGCCCCTTTCTCCTTTCAACTTTCTCTCACCTGTATTGATACCTGAACACTTAACAACCGCTTATGGCCTCCATTATGTGGGAGAGATGACTTTAGCTCTTCCAAGTAAGGGTGCCCCTGATCTCCTCAGAACCGAGGATATGACCCAAGGAGACTCCACGTGGAGACCCACTGGCTCTAGATGGGGATTTCTCTCTCCCTCCTAAAATGGGGCTCATTCCTTTAAGATGTTTTACTAAGTTTTTTGCAGAGACGTCTAGAAGGACCTGCCATTTTCCTTCTTCCTGCATGTTACAAATCATCTTACCAGTGCAGGATGGTGTAGAATCAGCATTGCACTGCGGTTTCCTCACACCAGCGCTTGTGTCTACAGATGAGGAAAGAAAGGCCCCCGAAGGTCAAGAGCCTCGCTGGCCCAGTGGCTCCCACACGAGTTCCTCAGGGCAGCAGCAACACTAAGGAAGGGGATGGCCTCTGACTGGCACTGATGGGGCTTCCAGACCCATACCTCAGGGGCTCAGAGGTTTCCTCTGGGGCCCCAGCCCCTTGTCTTAGACTCAGAGCTGAACCCCCAGTACATCCTTGAGAACCTCAACCTGCTCCCCTTTGCCCCTCACCTCCTCCCTGGACCACTGCTCCCCACAGTCCAGCTCCCCCATCCTTGACAGTGAGCCCAGGGTTTGTCAGGGGATAGTGGGGAGTCCGGGAAACATATAATACGAGCTTCTCAGCCATAAGCAGTGTTCCCATATCCCAGCACAGCACACACACTTTGAGCCAGGTTTCCCGCCCAGCCTGCCACGCTGTCTTTTGCCCTGTGTTTCTGTCTGTCTCTCTTTCTCTCCCACACGCACTCTCACTCATTCACACAAACTCACAAATTTTGATGACTCAGGCAAAGCAGAGAGGAGGGAAGCAACACTTAAAGCCGAAATTGGCTTTAACTGGGGATGCTCACATTTCTATTTACATCTCTTTTGCATGTATTTGCATAGACTGTTTTTGGACCATTCTCCATGTCCCTAAGGGCACTGAGAAGTAACGGATTTGTGGTCCTCAGGGGGCCCCAAGGCCTCCGTGAGGCCTCCAGATGCGTTAGGTGGGCCCTGGAATGCAGGGAGAATAGGGAGGCGACAGGTCATCTGGTTACATTACAGGGGCAGGCTAGAGGAAATAGGGTAGCTGGGGCCTGGAGGAACCTTGTGGGCCTTGGCTGCCTTCTTTTTTTTTTTTTTTGAGATGAACTTTCACCGTTGTTGCCCAGGCTGGAGTGGAATGGCACCATCTCAGCTCACTGCAACCTCCGCCTCCTGGGTTCAAGTGATTATCCTGCTTCAGCCTCCCAAGTAGCTGGGATTACAGGCGCCCGCCATCATGCCCAGCTAATTTTTTGTATTTTTAGTAGAGATGGGGTTTCATTATGTTGGTCAGGCTGGTCTCGAACTCCTGACCTCAGGTGATCCACCCGCCTCAGCCTCCCAAAGTGCTGGGATTACAGGCGGGAGTCACCGCGTCCGGCCTTTGGCTATCTTCTTGTCACAGGGTCCCCCACTCAGTGCCCCTGAAGGCCAGGCTGGCAGTGGGGTAGGGGGTGGGGCAGGAATTTTCCAAAAGTCCAGATGCCTAGTGAGGCTCCGCTCCTGGGCCAAGTATGGAAGGCAGCAGAGAAGCAAGAGGATGGACCCCAAGTGAGAGGGACACAGGAAACCCTGAGGCAGGGCCAGAGGAGAAGAGCACCCAGGAAAGGAAAGTGCCGGCTCAGAGGTGCTGGGAGGGTGGGTCCTACTCCTTAGGTGAACACAGACACCAGAGGCCCAGCACCAGCTGCCCTCCTACCCTGCACATCAGCTCTCAACTTAATTCGCCGCACAACCTGAGACAAGATTCTAGGCAGCCAGGGCTCTGGCCCAGCTCTGCACCCTTTGCCGGGTGACCTTGGGCGGGTCTTGGTCCCTCTCTGGGCCTCAGTCTCCTCTTCAGGAAAGGGCAAGCAGATGAGTTTCGAAGGCCCTCCCAGGTCTAATGTCTCTGCTGCCCTGACCCAGCCTCCCTGGCCCACTTCCCTGTGGCTCAGGAATCTTCAGTGTCTACCTCTAGGATCAGGGTCAAGTTTGAGTGTTCAGGACCCTCTGCATCTGGTGCCATCCAGCCTCATCAGCCTCACTTCCCTTGTTTTCTGGGGGTCCAGCAGGGACCTTGGGTCCTTGCTCCAACCTCCTTTCCTTTCCCCACCAAGGGCCCTGATTCTGGAACACCTGCCCTCTCCTGCAGGGCTGGCTTCATGAACAGTGACCTATGCAGCCCCATGGTTGGTTTAATGCTCTGTTAATGTCATCCTGGAATTTAAAAATTTTGAGCAAGGGCAAGGGGCCCTGACTTTCTTTTTTTCTTTTCTTTTCCTTTTTTTTTTTTTTTTTTTTTGAGACAGAGTCTCGATCCCTTGCCCAGGCTGGAGTGCAGTGGCGCGGTATTGGCTCACTGCAACCTCAGCCTCCCGGGTTCAAGCAATTCTCGTGCCTCAGTCTCCCAAGTAGCTGGGACTATAGGTGTATGCCACCATGCCTGGCTAATTTTTGTATTTTTGGTAGAGATGGGTTTTCACCATGTTGGCCAAGCTGGTCTTGAACTCCTGACCTCAAGCGATCCGCCTGCCTTGGCCTCCCAAAGTGCTGGGATTACAGGTGTGAGCCACCACGGGGCCCTGACTTTCCATTTTAGACTGGACTCCACAAATTATGTATCAGCCCTGCCTTCTTCTCCTCCCATCAACCGTTCCTCAGCCCTACCTCCCCTCCAAACCCTCATGGACCAGGGAGAAGGTCTGGCGTGGGATGGCCAGCCCTACAGTCCAAGGAAAAGAAGCAGAGACCCTTTGACATCACGGGCCCAGGCCATATGTCACCAGAGAAAATGGGCACAGAACTGCCAGGGGACATGGAGAACGGAAAGAAGGAGAGCCCCTGGTTCTGTCTTGGAAGAAGACTCGGCTTCCGCCCCCAGGAGGCCCCATTCTAAAGGGGGAGGCCAAGCAGCTGGCCCCGGAAGGCCCTCATCTCCTGAGGGAGGCAGTTCTCTGCCAGGGCACCGTGGTGCCAGGGGCCAGCCCACACTTTGGGCTCACACTCTCCTTTCCTGGGACCCTTCCTAGGAGCAGCGGCAGGAGGATGTAGCTGTGCTGGGGCTGGAGAAGCAGGAGCTGGGTACCTCTCTACTCCTAACCCCAACCCTGCAGAGTTCCGACTCCCAAACATCCCTTTGTGCACCCACAAAGAGAAGCTTCTCCCCAACACACTCCACTGAAGGAAGGCGTTGCCTTTCCTATTTGTAAATAGCCTTGCTGAGGTGGGGCCCACGTGGGCATGCCCCTCTGGCGGCAGCCCCTGCAGTGCCGTCCTCCCTCCCTGGCTCCAGGGTATGTGGTGTGGCCTCCCTGGGGGCAGGGCCGTCCTTTCCCAGCCACAGCTGGAGGGCTGTGTCCTGTGGGCCCTGTGAGTCAGGCCCAATCCCCTCCCTGTAGCCAGCAAGCACTACAGTGACCTCAGCCTCTGCTCACCTGGTGAGCCTGCTTCCTGGTGGGGGCAGACAGAGCCAGGACCTGCAGGGACTGTGATCCTGCTGATACCTCAGGGCACCTGAGGCCTTTGGCCAGTCTTGGATCCCAGGGAGTAGAGTAGAGGAGGCAGGATGAGTGGGAGCCTGTCCACATCAGGTACCCGCCTTACCTCTGGGTATTTGCTAATGGGATCCCCTTTCCCAGCTTTCTTTTTTTCTTTGAGACGGAGTCCTGCTCTGTTGCCCAGGCTGGAATGCAGTGGCGCAATCTCAGCTCACTGCAACCTCCGTCTCCTGGGTTCAGGTGACTCTCCTGCCTCAGCCTCTGGAGTAGCTGGGATTACAGGCGCTCGCCACCATGCCCAGCTAATTTTTGTATTTTAATAGAGACAGGGTTTTGTCATGTTGGCCAGGCTGGTCTTGAACTCCTGACCTCAGGTGATCCACCTGCCTCGGCCTCCCAAAGTGCTGGGATTACAGGCATGAGCCATCGCACCCGGCCCCCTTGCCCAGCTTTCTGTGCTGGGCTATCTCCACTCACTCTGAAACAACTGACTTGAGACTCTCTTCTTTGTTTTTTTTAGACAAGATCTCCTCTGTTGCCCAGGCTGGAGTGCAGTGGTGCCATCGTGGCTCCCTCAACCTCCTGGTGGGCTCAGGTGATCCTCCCACCTCTCCCACATCAGCTTCTCCAGTGGCTGGGACCACAGGTGTGTACCACCTGGCTAAGTTTCAAAAATTTTTGTACAGACAGGGCCTCAGTATATTGCCCAGGCTGGTCTCAAACTCCTGGGCTCCAGTGATCCTCCTACCTTGGCCTCCCAAAGTGTTGGAATTATCGGCGTGAGCCACCATGCCTGGCTGAAACACTCTTTCCCTAAGAATCTTTCCTTGAAACTCAGCCTTCCCACGCTGCTACCTCGAGTGACCACTTAGCAAAGTATGTCTGTCTCTAGCCTGAACCACCCTGGGTTTTCTGAGGGCGGGCCTGTCATCTACTCCCCAAGACCCCTGGCAGGTCTGGAGCTAGGATCAAGTTTGCGGTGTGAGGGGCCGCAAGGAGCAGAGGGTAAGAGGCAGGTAGGAAGGAGTAGGGGACAGGCTGGGTTTCCTGTCTTCTGATGTGTCCAAAGTATGGGCTCCATCTGCCATAACAGTAAGTGCTGATTACCAGCCTGTGTGCCTACGGAGTGGGAATTCACGGATGGTGAACCTGGGGCTTGGCTGGACAAAGTGGACTGCTCAAGTCACACCAGTAAGAAGGTGCCTGTACGGCTGTAGCAGGCTAAGGTGATGTCTACGGCTCAGCGGCCCAACCCCAATATGTGCTGCATCCAGGTAGAGGCTGAACTAACTGAGGTCTTAAAGGCTCCAGGCCTGAGGATTTGAGCCTCCAAATGATTTTAGCTGAGGCTCCAACCAACCCCCAGCTGCTGCCCCCTGGACTGGCAGCCCCTCAACCCACTCCCCAGCAAGTGTCCTCCCTCTCACCAGTTCAACTGGCTCCCAGTTCAGCTGCAGAAACGGCCAAACCTCTCTGTGGAACCCAAACAGGAAGCTGGGGAGAAGGGAGCCAACGGCCAAGGACCTTTGAGGCTCCTCCAGGAAGTGTGAGGGGAGATGAGAGGGGTGAAGATGGGCCTGCTGTCTTGCAGCCCCCAACACTGGGAGCCGACCAAAGCCTGTCTCACTTCCTCATGCTGGGAAGGAGCTGAGCATCCCTTAACCCACCTCCCCGCTGGCATGGACCAGAAAGGGCCTTGGGGAGAGGGTCAAGAGGGGCTCTTTGGAACCCTTGCTCCTGGGTCACTTTTTTAAAAATAGACTTTGTGCCAGGTGTAGTAGCTCATGTCTGTAATCCCAGCACTTTGGGAGGCCAAGGTGGACAGATCACTTGATCCCCAGAGTTTGAGACCAGCCTGGGAAACCTGGTCTCTACAAAAAATACAAAAAGTAGCCCAGTGTGGTGGTGCATACTTGTAGTCCCAGCTACTTGGGAGGCTGAGGTGGGAAGGATCACTAGAGTCTGACAGGGTGAGGCTGCAGTGAGCCGTGATCATGCCATTGCACTCCAGCCTGCATGACAGAGCAAGACCCTATCTCAAAAAAAAAAAAAAAAAAAAAAAAAAGGCTTTCTTTTTTAGAGTTTTGGCTTCTCAGCAAAAGTGAGCAGAAACTATAGAATGCTCATATACCTCCTTCTTCCCCCATTATCCATATCTCCCACCAGAGTGGTTCATTTGTTGTAATCAATGAACCTACATTGACACATAGTATCACCCAAAGTCCATAGTTTGCATTAGGGCTCACTCTTGGCCTTGTATATTCTGTGGGTTTGGACAAATGTATAATGACATCATACACTGTTGTTTCACTGCCCTAAAATCCTCTGTGCTCCATCTACCCATTTCTCCCTCTTCTCAGCCCCAGAGGACCACCTTTTTACCGATCATCTTTTTACTGTCTCCATAGTTTTGCCTTTTCCCAAATGTCATATAGTTGAAATCATACAGCATGCGTAACTTTTCAGATTGCCTTCTTTCACTTTGTGATATGCACTGAAGTTTTTCCTCCATGTCTTTTCATGACTTGATAGCTCATTTCTTTTTTTTTTCTTTTTGAGATGGAGTCTCACTCTGTTGCCCAGGCTGGAGTGCAGTGGCGCAATCTCAGCTCACTGCAACCTCTGCCTCCTGGATTCAAATGATTCTCCTGCCTCAGCCTCCCTAGTAGCTGGGATTACAGGCACGCACCACCACACCCAGCTAATTTTTGTATTTTTATTAGAGATGGGGTTTTGCCATGTTGGCCAGGTTGGTCACGAACTCCTGACTTCAGGTGATCCGCCTGCCTTGGCCTCCCAAAGTGCCGGAATTACAGGTGTGAGCCACCACGCCCAATCAATAGCTCATTTCTTTTTAGCATTTAATAATATTTCATTGTCTGGATGTCCCGCAATTTATTTCTCCCTTAACTACTGGAGGACATCTTGGTTATGCTCATGTTTTGGCAATTATGAATAAAGCTACTATAAGTATCTGTGTGCAGTTTTTTGTGCAGCAGACATAAGTTTTCTTTCTTTCTTTCTTTCTTTTTTTTTTTTTTTGAGACAGGGTTTCACTCTGTAGCCCCAGCTGGAACGCAGTGGCACAGTCTTGGCTCACTGCAGCTTCTACCTCCCGGGCTCAAGTGATCCTCCCACCTCAGTCTCCTGAGCAGCTGGGACTACAGGCGCTTGCCACCGCACCCGGCTAATTTTTGCATTTTTTTTTGTGGAGACGGGGTTTCACCATGTTATTCAGGTTAGTTTCAAACTCCTGAGCTCAAGCAATCCGCCCGCCTCGGCCTCCCAAAGTGCTGGGATCACAGGCTGCGGGTCACTTTTAGGGCAGGCTTTTCCTCACATAATCCTGAGATCCTATTAACTTCATTTCTTATCAGCCCGCCCTTAAGGGGCGAGCACCAGGATGGAGAGACACCTGGCTCTCAGGCTCTATGCTGTCACCAGCTCACCATGTCCTTGGCAAGTCACTTTACCAACCTGGCCTTCAGTTTCTCAGCCTGTGAAATGGAGCTCACAGCACTTTTCCCGCCTCAGGGATGTATGGGGAGGTCTCTGTCCACTAGGGATGAGGGGCATGGCTTGGCGTGGTGGTCAGTGCAGGGGTGATTGACCCCAGAAACCACAGCCTGCCCCATCTGGGGCTGGGCCAGGAGCAATGGCAACCTAGGGAGCCTGTCTGGCCCGACCATGGGGATATGTGGGGTGTCATCTTTGCACCCCTGCAGCCCTGGGCATCCCCAGGCCCTCCAGGAGTAGCCAGCAAGGTGTGGCTCCTGCCCGGTCATCTGCCACAGGAATGGAGGGAGGCAGCTGTGAGCAGACATGGCAAGACTCATCAGAGAGCCCCTGGCCTGAGATCTCCTTCACCTCCGCCTTCCATCTGCCACAGGCCACGGCCAGAGGCTCAGGAAGAGGACAGGCAGTGGGGGGACATGCAAACTGTGGGCAAACCTCAGGCACACAGACAGAGGTCTTGTTTCGTGCCCCCTGAGTAAAGGAGCTGGTGCTTTGGGAGGCTTAGCTCAACAGGGAGAGAGCGCTCCAAAGCCTGAGGCCCCACCCAGGCCCCTCAGAGGCTGCCCAGCCAGTGGGTGGCTGGGCAGGACCCCCACCCCATGCAGTGACTCCTCCATCCCCTTCTGGGGTCCTTGGGCCTTTCAGCCTCTTGTCCGCAGCCAGGCCCTGCCCCCAACAGCAAGACCCAACAAACCCATAGCTGTTTCCTGCCAACTTCCATTACCTCTTTCTTCTTTGACACCACAGAAAAAGAACAGAAAGGCCCCTCATCCCAAGCACTCAGATAATATCTGTTGGACATTTAAAAAATAATAACAGGCTGGGTGCAGTGGCTCACACCTGTAATCCCAGCACTTTGGGAGGCCGAGGCAGGCGGATCATTAGGTCAGGAATTTGAGACCAGCCTGACCAACATGACGAGAATCTGTCTCCACAAAAATACGAAAATCTGTCTCTACAAAAATACAAAAATTAGCCGGGCGTAGTGGCGCATGCCTGTAATCCCAGCTACCGGGAGGTACCAGAATTGCTTGAATCCGGGAGGCAGAGGTTGCAGTGAGACGAGATTGCGCCGCTGCACTCTAGCCTGGGCGACAGAGCGAGACTCTGTCTCAAAAATAAAATATAATAAAAAATAATAACAATATATTCACATGGTAGGAAAGTCAAACAAAAAGTATAAAATGAAGATAAAACTCTCCCCTCTTTTCCCAACCTTTCATTGAAGGTGACCGCTTAATAGTTTCTCAGGTAGCCTGCCAGAAAAAAATGTCATGCCCACGCTAGTGTATATGTATACATGTGTGTCTGTTAAAGACAATGTTCAGCCGAAGAGGTGGTGCTGTAACACATGGTTCTTTCCTTGCTCTTTTTTTTTTTGACAGGGTCTCGCTCTGTCCCCCAGGCTGGAGTGCAGTGGTACAATCTCTGCTCACTGCAACCTCCACCTCCTGGGTTAAAGCAATTCTCCCACTTCAGCCTCCCAAGTAGCTGGGACTACAGGTGTGTGCCACCATGCTCGGCTACTTTTTGTATTTTTGGTAGAGATGGGGTTCCATCTCTACGGAACCCCGTCTCTACCAAAGTTCTTTGGCCAGACTGGTCTTGAACTCCTGGCCTCAAGTGACTCGCCCGACTCAGCCTCCCATAGTGCTGGGATTACAGGCATGAGCTACCTCACCCAGTCTTTCAAGCTCTTTTAACTTTACCTGACAGCTTAAACATCCTTCTGACCACACAAAATCTACCATTTCACAGACATGCTGCCATGGGGCTGGTCTCCTGTAAACAGGCCACCTGGTGATCAGGCTCTTGTTAGGGAATTTTATTTTATTTTATTTTATTATTGTATTTTATTTGAGACAGAGTTTCACTGTGTGGCTCAGGCTGGAGTGAAGTGGTGTAGTGCAGTCTCAGCTCACTGCAACCTCCACGTCCCAGACTCAGATGATCCTCCCATCTCAGCCTCCCAAGTAGCTGGGACTACAGGCACGTACCACCATGCCCAGCTAATTTTTCTATTTTTAGTAGAGACGGGGTTTCTCCATGTTGCCCAGGCTGGTCTCAAACTCCTGGGCTCAAGCGATTCTCCCACCTCAGCCTCCCAGAGTGCTGGGATTATAGGCGTGAGCCACTGTGCCCGGCTGGAGGTAGAAATTTTAAAAGGACAGTGTGGCCTAATAAATGGGCTTCCTATACCCCTCTGGAACTCAGTGACTATTTGATGAGCACAACATTTCCCCTCCTGTATCTCCAGGGAAGAGTAACGATAAGGGAATAATAGATGAGGAAACAAGGCGCAGTGATTGAGGACCTGGCCCTAGACCACACACTGCAGGACCTCCAGGATGGAAGGGAGCAGCCCAGAGACTGTGCTCTGGGACATGGTGGGGGGTGCGATTGCTGTAGGAGGGCAGGAGCCTGGAGGAGTTTCCAGGGACAGGAGGGCTGGGCTGGAGGAGGCTGGCTGAGAAGGAGCTAGGGGTGAATAGGGGCCAAGGGAAGTGAAGGGACTTCCCAAACTGGATAAGGTACAGGTGCAAGAGTCACTCACCCCTCCTGGGCAGGGCGAGGGGTCTCAAGCCCTCTGCATCCCTCTTCCTCCATGGAGCCCCACGCAAAGAGGCTCTCTGTGTACTCCGACTTCACTAGAAGAAGTGACCATGGGAAAATCTGCAGGGATGGTGCCCACCAGGGGTGTGGGGCAAGGCACTGACATGACTTAGTGCCACTGTGTGCCAGGCAAGGTGTATTTTATGTATTATATGCCATTTAATCCTTGCACAAGAGACTATTTTACTGCTGAGGGAGGCTGGCCATTCCAGTTCATGGGAGCCATTCCAGTTCCCCATTCCCCAGGATGCATGAAGGTGGGGACTACATGGGCCCAGTGAAGGGGAGCCAGAGGGAAGAAGACGCCACCATCCTGGGCCCTGAAGACCTCTGAGGCCAGTGGCTCCAGCTTGCTCTGAGGAGGACGTTCTCCACCCGAGGGCCCATGGCCCCAGATCCAGCCTCAGGGCACCTCTCCCCTGCTGCCCTGTGCTTGGGCCAGGACCACAGCAACACCTGAGTCATCTCACCTTCTATCTCTCTGGTTTTCACTCACCTGCCTCCCCAGCTTGGGTTTCTTTGTGAAGAGAATTTTCTCTCTCCCTCCCATCTGTGCGCTCCCAGGGAAGCACAGCCTGCCTGGTGACAGCTTCTTTCAAGAATGCTCAGGGATGGCCAGGCGCGGTGGCTCACGCCTGTAATCCCAACATTTGGAGAGACCGAGGCGGGAGGATCACTTGAGGCCAGAAGTTCGAGACCAGCCTGGCCAACATGGTGAAACCCCGTCTCTACTAAGAATACAAAAAAAAAAATTAGCCGGGCATAGTGGTGTGTGTCTGTAATCCCAGCTACTCGGGAGGCCGAGGCAGGAGGATGGCTCGAGCCCGTGAGGTGGAGGTTGCAGTGAGCCAAGATTGTGCCACTGCACACCAGCCTGGACAAGAGAGCAAGACTCTGTCTTAAAAAAAAAAAAAGAAAAAGAAAAAGAAAAAGAAAAAAAGAATGCTCAGGGAAGGATTCCAAGGTCAAGGGGGTCCTGAACCTCCAGCTCATGAGAAGCCCCTAGGGCAGAGCCTTGGCTGCAGAGTCTCTGGGTCAGAGCCTGGCCTTCCTAGAGCTGAGCAGTCCACCTGGGCTACAAGACACCTCCTACTTCAACTGTGGGCTCCCCTGCCACAGGTTTACCTGAAGTTGAACTTGGAGCGAAAGGATCTTAGGGTCAAAAGAGGAGAAAGTATAGGACTCATCTCCCACCCTTGGACAAAGCTGGTGGGTTACAGGAGCCCCAGCCTCCCAAGCCTGGGGCTATGCATACCTGGTCCCTGCACAGCCCCAAGGAGCTGGCCTGCCCTGTCCACCTTCTTCCTCTGAAATCCACCTGAGCTTGGGGATTTCTGCACTGTGATGAGGTCAGTGAGGGGAGGCTGGGCTGTGGGCAGGTATAATCCCGGAAGCCTTTCTGCAAGAGGTAGCATGATTCAGCCAAAGGCATCGGGAGGACATTAGGGCAAGGGCATAACAGCATCAGGGTAAAGGTGCCTGGCATGAGTGTGCAGTGGCAGGAGGGTGGAGATCATGCAGTCATTCCCTCAAGTATTTGTTGAGCACGATGAAAAAGACCCCTCCTCTCCCCCTCCCCAAATCCCTGCAGCTGACATTTTAGTGGGAGACAGACAATGAAGACAAATCTGTAAACTCTATAGTGTGCTGACTGGTGAGGAGGCTGTGGAGAAACAGCAGAAGAGGGGAGTAGTGGAGGGCGGGGAGCTGCTGCAATGTTAGCTACGGGTCAGTAGGGGCTGCAGGAGGGCAGGGCCAGGTGCAGGGGCCTTGCCTGGGATGCCAGGTGCAGAAGCTAGGACTTGACCATGAGAGCAGACAGGAGTGAGGTGACAGAAGTGGGCTTTGGGGGCCGGGCACGGTGGCTCATGCCTGTAATCCCAGCAGTTTGGGAGGCCAAGGAGGGTGGATCGCCTGAGTTCGGGAGTTTGAGACCAGCCTGGCCAGCATGGTGAAACCTCGTCTCTACTAAAAATGCAAAAATTAGCTGGGCGCAGTGGCAGGCGCCTGTAATCCCAACTACTCGGGAAGCTGAGGCAGGAGAATCGCTTGAACCCAGGAGGCGGAGGTTGCAGTGAACCAAGGTCGCACCATTGCACTCCAGCCTGGGTGACAGAGCAAGACTCTTTCTCAAAAAAAAAAAAAAAAAAAAAAATAGAAATTGGCTTTGGAGGAGATTCTCCCAAAGCCCTGCATTGGGAAGGGATGGGGGAAAACAGGGGAATAGAGGTACAGCACTCAGGTACAGCCTGTGGACCCCAGGCCAGGCCAGGCTGGAGGTCTTCCAGGATTGGAAGGCTAACAGGGCAGGTCACCCTGGAGAGACAGGCTCAGCCTCCCCTGAAGGGCCACAGTGTCTTCCTCCTTTAAGGAGACAAGGTTACTCTGATGCCCACCTCTTCCTGTAAGGCCTCCTTGATTAATCCCTCCTTCACAGGGGTAGAAAAATGAGAGTACTATCTTTCCAAGAGGACACTGCTCTCTTGCTGATCAGAAACTTTTGTAAGGTCTAGAAAAATATTTTCCTCCATTGACTCCACTGCCTCTATCCACACTGACTGGATGAGAAGCGCTGGCCTGTTGTTAAAGGTTCCAGGCTAGGAATCAGCAATTTGCAGTTGCAGTCCAAGTCCTGCAGGAACTTGGGAAAGTGGTTTCTCTGGGCCTCAGTTTTCCTCACTGTTAAAATGGGAGAATATGCTTGCCCCAGCTCTACCCCGAAAGTGGAGCAGCAGCAGTTGACATTTTTGACTGCAAAATGTGTGCCAGGCACGGAGCCAAGCCCATCACACCCAGCGTCGCAGAAATTCTCTCAGTAACCTTGTGTGGAAGACACAATGGCGATTTCCATCTTGCAGGTGAGGAAACTGAGGCTCAGCTGGGTCTGTCAGTACCCTAAAGTCATATAGCTGAGTGATTCCAGAGCTCCTACTCTCAACATTGCACTTTATTGTTCCAAGTAAAAGATTGCATTCAATCCTGTTCAGTTACTCAGTCATCTAGCATTTAGATGGCACCAACTGCATGCAGCCACTGAGTAAGCCACAGCCTTGATTTAAGTATCTTGTGGCCGCCCAGCTGGCACTATGTTGGGGAAGGTGGGGGGCGGGAAGCAGGAGAGTTGCTGCTCCCCAAGAGCCTGGAGGTGTGGGGAAATGGGGCTCAGCCACGGGAGATTGTGAATACAGGTTCTGCCACCAGCCACTTCTAGGCGTGGCTGCATAACCGTGGATGATTCACTTAACCTCTGTCTGCTGGGGTTCTGGCTCCCATGATGGTTAGAACACCACCTTCTAGGATTGGTTCAAGGATGGCATGGCATAATAAGAACACTTTGAGGGAGGGGGTTTGACAGAGTATACTCCATAAATTATGGCCACTGTTATTATTATTATTATTGAGATGGAGTCTCAGTCTATCACCCAGGCTGGAGTGCAGTGGCGCAATCTCAGCTCACTGCAACCTCCGGCTCCCAGGTTCAAGTGATTCTCCTGCTTCGGCCTCCCTAGTAGCTGGGATTACAGGCGCGTGCCACCACGCCCAGCTAGTTTTTGTATTTTTAGTAGAGACAGGGTTTTGCCATGTTGGCCAGGCTGGTCTTGAACTCCTGACTCAGGTGATCCTCCCGCCTCAGCCTCCCAAAGTGCTGAGATTACAGGTGTGAGCCACTGCACCTGGCCATGGCCATTATTCTTAAAACGAGCAACTGGAGAACAGGGGACTATTGAGCTTGGCCAGATGTCCAGCTATGTATCCACAGGGGCCTCAGGAGTTTTCAGAGTGGGGAGCAAGGCCTCTGGCCTGGAGCAGACAGGGCTGCTTCCTAGAAGAGGAAGCCTCAGGTGCCAGGCTGAAGGGCTGGAAACTGGGAGCTGGTGGGAAGGAAGGTGTCTGGGCCAGGATGTGGAGTGGGGCAGGGAGGAGGTGCGCCTTTGAGTGTATGTGAGAGAGACAGAGACAGCTGGCCCTGAGGCCACCGTACAGGTGTGAACAGGTGAGCCGTGAACCCCATGCTGATTCTTTGCAGGGCAAGGGGCTCCTATGCCAGGGAGAGGCCTCTGGGACACAGGAGCGCTGTGGGGTAGGGAAGCCTGCACGCCTCACACGTGGGGGATGCATGGCCTGCAACTGACCAGAAGAAGCCCAGTTAGGCCCTGGCTGGGCTCTCCTTTGGTGCTATCCCTTGGGCCAGTATCAAGAGCTGCAGATGTGCACGCCTATGGAGCTCTTGGGAGCCTCAGCCCTCACGCCCCCATCATCACCCCCCAGCCAGCCCACGGGGCCTCAGGTGGCGGGAAGGCAGGACCGCAGGGCCTGTGGCAGGGCAGGGAAAGGCACGGAATGGTGTTTACATTTTCCCTCCTTCCCTGCTGGCCTGGCGGTTACACCACTGCGGTTTGTTGGCCCCAGGGAGCGCCTCCCTTACATAACGCCTGACATAACTGCCCTAAAACACACGCATGGCAACTCCCACATAGCACCACACATGCTGTCATGCCGGCTCACCCCCCCACACTCACACACACTCACAGAGCCACACCACAGCCTCACGCACTCACACACACACACCCCTTCCCACACACGCTGTCATCCCAATGCTGTCATTTCAGAAAGGATTTCTTTTGCTCCCACCACCCATCACACAGGCAGGGCCTCCCCGACGTGGCTTCAGTGCCTCTGGTTCCTCAGGCCCCAGGAGCCCTGAGCCCACTGGGACTGCTCCAGGCCTCGCCTGGGTCTCCCAGGTGGCAGCCTCAGACTGTGGTGCCAGCCTAGGCAGTGGACGACAACAGGGGGACTTGAGAACAGGGCAGGGAGTCGGAGAAAGACCAGAGTCCAGGCTGGAGCCCCTGAGATGTGGACTCCAGAAACTCAGAACAGGCAGTGGGGAGGGACAGACAGGGAGGGACGCGGCCTCCGAGGTATTATACTTAGTGCAACATGTTACTACGAGGGCAGGCTTCAAGCATTTAATGCATGATGGGCCAGGCGCAGTGGCTAACGCCTATAATCCCAGCACTTTGGCAGGCCGGAGGATGGCTTGAGCTCAGGAGTTCGACACCAGCCTGGACAACATAGCGAGACCCCCTGTCTATAAAAAATAAAATAATACTATAAATTAGGAAAAATGCATGTGACCCTCCCAAGAAACACGTGAGCCACACTGTGACCCATGCATGCTACTTCTCGGGATTCATCTGATGGAGATATTCACCCAAGGCCCTGAGTTAAAAAAACGTTCATGCTGCAATGTTGGTAAAAGCAAAATAATGCAGAGCCTCCCTGTCCATCCCCTGGACCCTCACAAACAGAGCCACATGCAGCCATGTTCCAATGCCCTAAATGATAGGTCAGGGGAGAGAATGACCCCATTTTGTGACTGAAACCATATATGAATGTGTGTGTATAAATATTTGTAGATAGGTGCCTCACCAGATCTCTGGAATGCCTTACACAAAGTGGCCACAAAGTGGCCACATTTGCTGAGTGGGCCTGAGGAGGAAGGTTAAGGGGGCCTTTTCCACTTGCACGTATTGGGATTCACTGCAGCTGTTGGAATATTCATAACAAGCAGGCATGAGTTCCAAATAAGAGGAAAAAATTGGCCAGGAGCGGTGGCTTACACCTGTAATCCCAGCACTTTGGGAGGCTGAGGAGGGCGGATCACCCGAGCTCAGGAGTTCAAGACCAGCCTGACCAACATGGTGAAACCCTGTCTCTACAAAAATACAAAAAAATTAGCCGGGCATGATGGTGGGTGCCTGTAATTCCAGCTACTCAGGAGGCTGAGGCAGGAGAATCGCTTGAACCCGGGAGGCGGAGGTTGCAGTGAGCCGAGATAGTGCCATTGTACTCCAGCCTGGCAACAGAGCAAGACTCTGTCTCAAAAAAAAAAAAAAAAAAAGATAAAAAAGAGGAAAAAATCAACATGAGGTTCCTTGTACCAAGGAATAGTGCATCTTTGCCTCTTCTGAATGGCTGGGACACTCCGCCCTCTTTGTGAGGGCCTGGGGCGGCATCATGGCGCTGCCACTTATGCACTGGGAGACCTCAGGCAAGCATCTTTCATTCTCTGAGCTCCATTTTCCTCATCTGTCCAATGGGAGCGAACAGGGCCAGTCTCACAGGGCAGATTGGTTTTGTCGTAGAAACAGTTACTGAAGCCCTTCGAGGAGCCAGGCTTGGGGGCTGCAAGGAGGAACACAATGTTCTTGCTTTGAAGGAACTGACAGGGTAGAGAGGAAGACAGACATAACCAGTTGTTGTGGGATGCTGTGATATGTGCTCTGATAAAGGCCTGGACAGTGCCCCGGTGGGGCCAGGGTTGGGTGGAGAGGCTAGATCTGAGTTTGAGATTCAGCCTGGGCTGACCGCGGAGGGAAGAGGCGAGGAAGCAGGGGGTCACAAGGGGATGTCCCAGGCAGGGGTGGAAGGAAAGTAAAGGGCCCAGAGTGTGAACAGCATCTCTAGGAATCCTTGGTGCTCCCGAGCAGCTAAGAAGCAAGGAGCATAGGCAGAGGAGGGAGGTTTTTCCGGATCCCAGAGCCTCCTTGGACTTGAACAGTGGGTGGTGGGACCCTGTGTAGCGTCCTAGGGCAGAGAAGAGTATGATCACCCAAGTGCTTTACAACCTTGCTCTAGAGGAGTGGTGGCCTGGAAGAGGACCAGCCAGGGCTCCTGGTTGACAAGGTGTCTGGGTGAGCGTGGGGCAGGCCTGAGTTGCAGAGGAGCTAGAGACAAAGGGGGCAAAGTCAAGGCCTGGTTAGAAAGCAGAGTCATGATGGTTGGGCAACCTATGAGGGAAGGGGTAGAGGGAAGTGAGAGAAAAGACTGGGGAAGCGTGCCAAGTTCTGGCATGGGTTCCTTGAGAGATGTGGTGTCACATGCTTGGGGACAGGGACAACTGGAGGGGTTGGTGTGAGGTGCATCTGGGAGGAGGTGGGTCCCAGACTGCTGAGTGGGGCTGAGAGATGCCAGCACGTGTGGGCAGTTAGGCAGAGCTCAGTCCCTTCCCCTCTCCACTGGCACTTTCAATCTGCCAGGTGGAGCAGTAGTTTGGGAATATTCTGGAGTCTCTTGGCTTTTGGAAGGAAGGAGAACCAGCAAGGACATCATGGGGGTATCCCAGGACCTGCTGCTGGAAGCATCTTTCCTTCAGCTGTTGGTATTTTAATAGAACATTCTAGACTCACAGTGCTGTCCAACAGAACTTTTGTGATGACAGAAATGTTCTGTGCTGTTTAATGCAGTAGCCCCTAGCTCCATGTGGCAACTGAATACTTAAAACGTAGCTATCTAGTATGGCTGAGGAAGTGAGTTTTACATTTTGCTTACTTTTAATTAATTTAAATCTAAATGGCTACACGCACAGCTACAAACCCTGGGAGTTTGGTGGGGGCAAACCATGGGGCCTTCCTGATGCCCATCAGATTGGATGCCTACTGATTAGAAGTGGAAAAATACCCCAAAATGGTAATAACAAACAAACCATAAATATTGCACTTTTTTTTTTTGAGACGGAGTTTCACTCTTGTCGCCCAGGCTGGAGTGCAGTGGTGCAATCTCGGCTCACCGCAACCTCCGCCTCCCAGGTTCAAGCGATTCTCCTGCCTCAGCCCTCTAGTAGCTGGGATTACAGGCATGCACCACCATGCCCAGCTAATTTTGTATTTTTAATAGGGATGGGGTTTCTCCATGTTGGTCAGGCTGGTCTTTTTTTTTTTTTTTTTTTGAGACAGGTTCTGGCCCACATGGCAAAACCCCGTCTCTACTGAAATACAAAAAATTAGCCGGGCATGATGGCGGGCGTCTGTAATCCCAGCTACTCGCGAGGCTCAGACAGGAGAATCACTTGAACCTGGGAGGCGGAGGTTGCGGTGAGCCGAGATCACGCCACTGCACTGCAGCCTGGGTGACAGAGCAACACTCTGCGTCAAAAAAAAAAAGAAAGAAAGAAAAGAAAAGAAAAAAGAAAACTGAAGTTCAGATTTGCTTGAGGTCACGCAGGTAGGAGGCAGCACTGGGCTGAGATTTGATTGCAGTCCAATGGGAGCCCCTGCTTGTAACCCCTTAGGGCCAGGCCCTTCCACAGCCATGGAGGTAATGCCTGCCCAAGCTCCCTCCGGTCCCAGCCCCTGCAGCGGCTCTGGACCTACAGGGCTATTGTTGGCAAGCTCCTGCCTGTCAGCCCCACAGACTCTCTGGGCCCCCTCTGAGAAGCCTGCTGGATGGAACATCCAGGGACCAGCCATGCTGAGCCTCTCAGCCAAGAAGGATTTGGGTTTGCTTTGGTGAGAATCGACACCAACAGCCCTATTGGCACAGCGCACGCTCAGGGAGGTGTCCTGGGTTCTTTCTTTTCCAAGTGCTAGGTAGAGACCCAGAAACTGGCAAGTCTCCAGAGGGGTGCCCCTACCCCTTCTCAACCTTAAGTTTCTCATCTATGGAATGAGAGGGCTACACTAAGTCATGGGTTTTTATTTTTTATTTTTTTTTGAAACGGAGTCTTGCTCTGTTGCCCAGGCTGGAGTGCAGTGGCGAGATCTCGGCTCACTGCAACCTCCGCCTCCGGGTTCAAGTGATTCTTGTGCCTCAGCTTCCTGAGTAGCTGAGATTACAGGCGTTTGCCACCACGCATGCCTGGCTAATTTTTGTATTTTTAGTAGAGATGGGGTTTTGCCATGATGGCTAGGCTGGTCTCGAACTCCTGACCTCAGGTGATCTGCCCACCTCGGCCTCCCATGGTGCTGGGATTACAGTTGTGAGCCACTACACCCAGCGGTCAGTGGTTTTTAAACCTTTTTTAGCATTAAAATTCTTATTATTTTTATTCTTATCATTTTTAGAGACAAGGTCTCACTCTGTTACTTGGGCCAGAGTGCAGTGACATGATCATAGTTCACTGCAGCCTCAAACTCCTGGGCTCCGGGGATTCTCCTACCTCAGTCTCCTGAGCAGCTGGGACTACAGGTGAGTGCCACCACGCCCAGCTAGTTTTTGTATTGTTTGTAGAGATGGGGTTTCGCCATGTTGCCCAGTCTGGTCTCAAATTCCTGGACTCAAGTGATCCGTCCGCCTCAGCTTCCCAAAATGCTGGGATTATAGGCAGGAGCCACTGTGCCCAGCTGTGTTTTAAAAAACAGATGAGGCCAGGTGTGGTGGCTCATGCCTATAATCCCAGCACTTTGGGAGGCTGAGGTGGGCGGATCACTTGAGCCCAGGAGTTTGAGACCAGCCTGGGCACAATGGTGAGACCCTGTCTCTATTAAAAACAAAACAAAACAAAACAAAAAAATGCACAGATGAGGCAGGACACAGTCTACCCTGGAATGAAATCCTGGAGGGTTTCTTAAAGGATCAGGGCTTTATAGACAGGTGGGAGTAAAGCAGGAAGAAAGGGGTCAGGAAAGCAGCCTGTGGCATTTGAAAGAGCAAAAGCTTAGATTCCTTTGGATTCTTCCTTGACATTTCCTACCCCATGGCCGCAGGCATATAACAACTCCTCTGAGCTCAATTTCCTCATCTTTGAAATGGGAATAGCAATAGGACTTCGGTCTTGGGTTGTTATAGGACTTCATTAACATATGTAAAGCTTTAGTATATAATAGGAGCTCCATAAATAGTAGCTATTAGAATTGTTAAGGCATTCTGACCTGGAGAACTGTGAGCTTGGGCCAGGGTAGGAGGGGTAGCAGAAGGGGATGAAGTGTTCTATTACTAATAATAGCAGCCAGCCCGTGCTCCTCAACACACCACCTCCAGGCCCTGGGCAAGGCACTTTACATGTATTATCCCACTTAATCTTTATAACAGCAACTACATATTAACCCATTTTTCGAATGAAGAAACTGAGTCTCAAAGAGGCTGTGAACTGTGCTCAAGGTAACCCAGCGAGTAATTCGCAGCACCTGAGGATCCATTGCCCCCATCTGACTCCAGAGTCCCAGCTCTTTCCATGTGTGATAACCCTCTGCGCTCTGCAGTGAAAAACACAACTTTTTTTTTTTTTGGAGACAGAATCTTGCTCTGTTCCCCAGGCTGGAGTGCAGTGGTGCACTATCACTCCCAGCTAATTTGTTAAAGAGCCGGGCGCGGTGGCTCAGGCCTGTAATCCCAGCACTTTGGGAGGCCAAGGCAGATGAATCACGAGGTCAGGAGTTTGAGACCAGCCTGGCCAACACAGTAAAACCCTGTCTCTACTAAAAATACAAAAATTAGCCGGATGTGGTGGCAAGCACCTGTAGTCCCAGCTACTCAGGAGGCTGAGGCAGGAGAATCGCTTGAACCTGGGAGGCAGAGGTTGCAGTGAGCCAAGACTGCGCTATTGCATTCCAGCCTGGATGACAGAGCAAGACTCTGCCTCAAAAAAAAAAAAAAAAAAGAATATTTTGTAGAGAAGGGGTTTCACCACGTCCCCCAGGCTGGTCTCCAACTTCTGGGCTCAAGCGATCCTCCCGCCTGGGCCTCCCAAAGTGCTGGGATTACACGTGTGAGCCACCATGCCCGGTCCTTTCTTGCTTCTTCAGGCGCCTTCTGGGCCCTATGTGTGTTCAATTTCCCTGACAGATGCTCCCTTAGTACCATGTTCTTCCCCTTTATAGCCTGGATTTCAGCTTGTGATTATACTTTTTGAAAAAACTAAGATGGGCTGGGCGCAGTGGTTCATGCCTGTAATCCCAGCACTTTGGGAGGCCAAGGTGGGTGGATCACCTGAGGTCAGGAGTTCAAGACCAGCCTGGCCAACATGGAGAAACCCTGTCTCTACTAAAAACACAAAAATTAACCGGGCGTGGTGGTGCTTACCTGTAATCCCAGCTACTCAGGAGGCTGAAGCAGGAGGATCACTTGAACTCGGGAGGCGGAGGTTGCAGTGAGCCGAGATTGCACCACTGCACTCCAGTCTGGGTGATAGATAGATTCCATCTCCAAAAAAAAAAAAAAAAAAAAAAAAGAAAGTTTATGTTCACACACGGACTTCTACACTTGTGCATAGCAGGATTATTCAACATTCAACAGTAGCTAAAAAGTGGAAACAACCCAAAGTCCCATCCACTGGAATATTATTCAGTCATAAAAAAGGAATGAAGTTGATTTCTGCTACAACATGAATGAACCTTGAAATCATTATGCAGACTCCCTGAAGGCAGGAATAACACCTGTCAGCTCCCCTCTCTTAGCCCAGTGCAGGCATTTACTAGACAATGGAGAAGTCTCTGTGGGATGAATGAAAGGGCAGGGCTGGGCCAACAGACCCAGTATCCTGCCCCACTGCTGTGTGGGCTGAATGCGGGGGACCATGGAGGGGGATCTGTCTGTAAGTCTGAATCCCACCAGCTCTGGCCCTCAGCAAAATCTGCCTCCACCCTGCAGCCTCACCGACTTCCATCTGCATAACATGTGGCCCTGGATGTCAGTTAAGTCCCACCCAACTCTGGGACTAGATGTCAGTCTGGGCATCTTATAGGTGCTCAATAAAGTCCTGGCACATTGGCGTGGTGGGAGCTGAAGACTCCACAGCTGCCAGGCCAGGGAGAAACCACCAGGTAGCAGAAGATCATGTGGCCACATGCCTCAGCCAAGTTCCTCTCCCCTGACGTGCACCCCCCTCTGCTCAGGTTATTAGTGGTGCAGGGGAAACAAACAGCAGGTTTCCAATTACCCCGCAGCCCCTTCTCAAGTGGTGCAGGACTCAGACTGCCCGCCTGCAAGCAGTCACCACACCAGCAAGCAGTCACCACGGGAGCGGAGGTGGGATTTAGTAAGACAAGGCCCTCGGTCTGCATTTCAAAGGCCCGGGTTCCCTCTCCCCATAAAACCAACACTGAGCGCACTGGAGGGGACACAGGCGGCCCCACAGCCGCCTGGCCCCCTGCAGAGGGGTCACCGGGAATTCTGTGTTTCATCAAATATTGCTGGGCCATGGAGTTTTATTTGAAAATAATTTTAATTAGCCGGAAACTAGGAGTTTAATAAATGGAAAACAGAGAACTTTCCAAGGCCACAGCTGGGAAACACTTGGTTTTTTAAAAATTCCGCCTGGCGTCCCAGACCAGCTAAGCACCCTGACACGAGGGCCGGAGGAATCCACAAGAAAAACAAAGCTTATTTTTAGAGAAATATTTTAAACTTGGTTTCAGCGAGCTCAGGAGTTTTCTTGTCTGTCTCGAGTCCTTAATATCTTTCCTTCTATTTCAGAGCTGCCTCTCGCCCCAGAGGGCACAAGAGCTGCTATCTGACAGGAGCTATTTCTGCCCAGATGAAAATAAAAGGGCCCCTCCCCCTTCCCACAGAGTGAATTCTTTCTAAAAATGTCCCTGCAGACAGCCAGCGGCACCAAGGCCTGTCCTTGGCAGGTGTGCCCAGCAACAGAGGTGAGTCTGGGGTCCCTGCAAGGCAGGGGCCCACTGACCACCCTCCCACCCAGCCCTGCCCGGCCTGCTGCCCTGCAGGAAGCGGATGCCAGCCTGGCGGTCATTTCCGGGTTTTGAAAGCAGTTTTTAAACTTGAAAGAGCCATGCTAAAAAGGTCTGCTTTTCCTCCGTAGGTGTTGGTAACACCCACATACAGACACACCCACATGCACACCGCAGCAGACACATCCAGACCCAAATACACAGCAACACTTACAGCTGCTCACCCCCCACAGAGCCACACACCTACCCACACACAGCAGCAGCTACACACAGGCACACCCAAACCCACTCCCATAGATCACACACACACACACACACACACACACACACACCCAGACTCAGACATACCCCAAGGACCCACATACCTACCTACACAGCAACAGACATACCCAAACCCCCACCAGCCCTCACACACATCCACACATACTTACACACAGACACACCCATGTATACCAACACACACGCCCCTGCGTACACACCAACCCCCACATCACAACAGACACACCCACACCCAGGCACACCCCAAAGATCCACATACCTACATAGCAACAGATACACCCAAACCCACACCAGCACTCACACACATCCACACACACTTACACACAGACACACTCACATCCAAACACAGCCATACCCACAGACCCTCCCCCCACATAGCCTCCACATGCAGAAGCACACAGATCCACACACCAGTACTCCCCTAGGGCGACATCACACATGCAGACCCCTGAACACCTGCAGACGGAGCAACACCACAAACCTCTGCACACCCACAGACAGAAAAGGACGCAGAAACACGTACTAATACACTTCCCATACAGGCGCACCCCTCAGGCCTCCACACACGTGCACGGCATGCATGCGCGCGCGCACACACACACACAACACACACAACACACACACACACACTCTTTCAAGGTCTAGCAAAACCCATCAGGAGAGGTTGGGCCCTGGAGGTGCTGTGGCTTCCTGCTGCCCCGCTCCCTCCCGCCTCCTCCCTGCAGGGCTCCTCCTGGGGAGGCCTGTCCAGCTGCCAGGCCCCGCCCCGCCACAGCCCCCGCTGTCCTCCTCCCTCCCTCAGCCGTGCCAGCAGCGGCACAGAACTGGAATTGCCCTGGACGGCCACAGCTCTGCATATCCCCCAGGAGTGTGGACAAGAAAAAATAAACACAATTAGAGTTCACGACAATGGGCCCCTGATGGAAGGTAAGCCCGGCTAGCCTCTAAGGGCTGTGCCGGCTCCCACGAACTTCCAAGGCCGAGGACGGTGCCGAGACCCAACTTCCGGTCTCAAGAAAACTTGGTGAGAGTCACATCCGCCCTCACTTGTCACCACAAGCAAAACTGAAGGAGAGCGGGTGTTTGGGGACGGTTCCTTTCCGAGGTTCAGTGCTCTCTAGCGGGCTTCCTCCCTGCACATGGCCACCCTGGCGTTTTTCTGAGCGCCCCCAGGCAGGTTTTAGCACCGAGCATTCTAGTGCCGGGCCAGGCTGGCGGCCAAGAGCTAGGCCTGCTTGTTTTTCCTGCGTCGGGCCCACCAGGCCTGGCTCTGTCATCCGGGGTCCTGAGCCACTGCAGGGCTCACAATCCTCCATCTATTCCCTGGGGCTGGTGCAGAGCTTTGGCCTTCTGAATAGTTTTTTTGTGTGTGCTTTTTTTTTTTTCTTTTACACACCCAGCAGTAGATTCAGACAGCATGAGCGGTGGAAAATGTGTACATGCACACATCCTTTCTCTGAAATAAGTTAGAAGGTGGCACACACTAATTGGGCTGCTTAAAAAATACCTTAGTCTTCAGACATCCAGTGGAAACGCCACGATGAAGACATTCTAAACACCATCACATTCTGGGCTCATTTTCACAACTGACTACGGAGGAATTTTCTCCTGTAGTTTCTAAG